>NT_187603.1:0-327382 GCF_000001405.40 Homo sapiens | reverse complement strand
GAATTCCTCATGGCCAAGGGGGTGGGCAAGGGCTGCAGGGAGGAAGAGTGTACCCTGTTCCGGCCAGTGCACCAGGAACGGCTTTCTAACCTGGGCAGGAAGGCGTGAAGCATTCAGGATGTGGGGGGGCACACAGTTCCCAGTGTGCGCCCAGGGATGACCAAGAGAAGGAGAGGCGCCAGGGCTTCCCCTACCCTAGCCCGAGGGGGACTCCCTAGCCAGGATCCAGCAGATCCTGGCTAGGAAACGCCAGTGAACCATAGCGCCAGGGAACAGGACCAGGCCGCCGGCTCCGCCCACCGCTGCGGTCTTGGGGGACTGGGGGTGGCCCTTGGGACTGCTGTGGAGCCTGGGCCTGACCCACTGACTAGGCTGAGCCGGGAGACTGGAGAGTCGCATCTGGAGCTGGGCCCGGGGACGCCCGCTGGCGGGAGGGGTGCGCGCGAGTCGGAGGCCGCGGCTGACCCTGCTCCGGTGCCGCCAGGTACCGCATCAGCCCGGACAGCATCATCCTGTACCGGCAGAGCATCGGCACAGTGCCCACCGTGGACCTGGCCTCGCGCTACGAGTCCGCCGCGGTGGTGCTGCACTCGCCGCTCACCTTGGACCTGAGCGTCGCCTTCCCGACACCAAGAAGACCTACTGCTTCGACGCCTTCCCCAAGTGAGCAGGCTGGGGCAGGGACAGGGGCGGGGACGGGGACTGGGTCGGGGACGGGGGCGGGGCGGGGCGGGGCCCGGGCCCGGAGAGTTCTCACCCGCCCCACGCCCCTCCCGCAGAATCCAGAAGGTGTCCAAGATCACGTCGCCCGTGCTCATCATCCACGGCACGAAAGACGAGGTGATCGACTTCTCGCAGGGGCTGGCGCTCTAGGAGCGCTGCCCCAAGGCTGTGGAGCCGCTGTGGGTGGAGGGCGCCGGGCACAAAGACATCCAGCTCTACAGCCAGTACCTGGAGCGCCTGCGCCGCTTCATCTCCCAGGAGCTGCGCAGCCAGAGCGCCTAGCGGCCGCCGGGGCCCCAACCGGCCGGACCTCAGCAATAAGGCGGCCCCCGGACCTCACCCCGCACCGGCCTCCTGGGGGCTGCATGTGGACCCCCAGGTGGCCCGGGGGACCCCGCCCGGATCCAGGGGCCGTGGACGGTGTACAACAGAGCTACCCACTCCTTTCCTTTTGGAAGCAAGAAGAAATATGTGAAAACGGAAATTAAAGATTAAAAATTTTTTTTAAAAAAAACACAATGTTTATTAATATACTCCAAAGTTGTGTTCTTTTTTTTTTTTTTTTTTTTTGAAATGGAGTCTCACTCTGTCGCCCAGGCTGGAGTGCAGTGGCGCGATCTCAGCTTACTGCAACCTCCACCTCCCAGGTTCAAGCGATTCTCCTGCCTCAGCCTCCCGAGTAGCTGGGACTACAGGCGCGTGCCACCATGCCCAGCTAATTTTTTGTATTTTTAGTAGTTACGGGGTTTCACCGTGTTAGCCAGGATGGTCTCCATCTCCCGACCTCGTGATCTGCCCTCCTCGGCCTCCCAAAGTGCTAGGATTACAGGCGTGAGCCACCGTGCCCGGCCGTTTTGCACAGATTTTTTAATGCAGAATCATGTTGGCAATGGGTAATGGCTACCAAGGTGCCATCGTTCCACATTCCTGTTATTCAGTCATCACATCTACTATGTGTGAGCCATAATATCTTCTAAAATGAATTATAACTATGTTCGAATTGTTATTTCACTAAGTAATCTCTGCTAATTTAGTCTCTATTTCATCTCAACGGAATGCCTTCTGAGTTCCTATAATTGTGACTAATTCTCTGAGACAACATCAGCAGTATCACTATAAACTATGAAACCTACAAAGGGAATTTCCTCTTTTTCCTTTTTATTATAGAGATGCTTTTTTGTTTGTTTTCTGCAAGCAAGCACAGTCTTAATCAATTTTGTATGCCCATACCTAGGAGAGCCCCTGATTCATAATAAGACCTCAATAAGATTTGTTGAATAAAGTGAAAATAGGATTTTCAGCTTTCCCTCACCACTTTCTTCAAAACAGACTAGTTCATAACTGAAATAGGCATTGTTTCTAGAAAACGGTCACTCCAGCTGATCCCTTCGTTTAATCATTTTTGTACTCCCTGAATCTATGATGATACCTGGCACATAGTGGGTAAGTAATCAATATTTGTTCACTGAACTAATGGAAGGATGAGTGAATGAAACAATACAGGCATTTTAAAATTATAATTCAAAATTAACATATTACTTGTTATTAGAGTGATTTTAAACAGTTAAGTATATGATAATTAGGAAGATTTACTTTCCTGCTTCATTTAAATTTTAAATATAGTGATCAAGGTAATCATGATTTTCATTCATTTATGCAATAAATGCATATTTAATATTTTTTATCTCACATGATAGATTGCTGCTGGTCAAAGACATTACGATGGTATTATACATAAAGATTTGTTTTAAATTTACAGTATCTTGAAATTTTTCTCTTGTTAATCCACAAAGTATATTTATACATTGGGAAATATACTTTTTAAAATGTCAGTTAATGATATTTTTATTTTCTATTTTATCTTATTATTATTGATACAAGATCTCACTATGTCACCCACTGCTGGAATGCAGTGGCATAATCATGGCTCACCACAACCTCAACCTCCCAGGCCCAGGTGATCCTCCTACCTCAGCCTCCTCAGTTGCTAGGACTACAGGTGCCCGCCACCTTGCCCGGCTAACTTTTTCCTTTTTTTTTTTTTTTTTTTGGTAGAGATGAGTTTTCACCATGTTGCCCAGGCTGGTCTTGAACTCCTGGGCTCAAGCAATCTGCCAGCCTCAGCCTCCCAAAGTGTTAGGATTACAGGCATGAGCCACCACTATGGGGCAGATAATGATATTTTTTCAGGAATCGGTAAAACATTGTCCTTCAATGAATTAGTGCAGAAGCATGAAAAAATCTATTCTGAGCAAATCTGTGAAACAGACATTGAAATTAGTATTCTAATAAGGCTTTTGTGCTTTTTGATGATATAAAATAATTTTGCTATGACAATACAGTTACTTAAATGAGAAGTATGAATAACTTGCTTTGATATGTTTGTGGTATGTTTCACTTATTTTTTAAGAAGGGAAATTATTAAATTTAAACTCTCTATATATGTAAAGAGTGCACATCAAATATTTTAAAGCCCTGAAGAATTAGGTCTTCATTTCAAGAATTATTAAGTGTCTTAAGAACATATTTATTTTCTAGAAATGTTGAGCCTCTTCTTGGGTAATGTGATTCTTTTAAAAATTTTGAAAGGATTTTCTTATTACATTAAAAATGAATGTATGCAATAGGAAGTTACTAGGATAGAGTGAATTTAGCAGCTATCTTGCTTTGTTACATATGTCTTATAAATTAAAATTATATTTTCATAATTAAAAGCCAACAAGCTCATTTGCTTTTATAAGACTAAGAGAAAAGGAGTATTAAATGAAGTTAAATTAGATTTTACCATCTTTTTAATAAGTTTCAGGCCTGGTTTGATAATATATTCCCAGATACATAATTTAAAAATGATCTTTTGGCTGGGCGCGGTGGCTCACGCCTGTAATCCCAGCACTTTGGGAGGCCGAGGCGGGCGGATCACGAGGTCAGGAGATCCAGACCATCCTGGCTAACACGGGGAAACCCCGTCTCTACTAAAAATACAAAAAATGAGCTGGGCGTGGTGGCGGGCGCCTGTAGTCCCAGCTACTCAGGAGGCTGGGGCAGGAGGATGGCGTGAACCCGGGAGGCGGAGCTTGCGGTGAGCCGAGATCCGGCCACTGCACTCCAGCCTGGGTGACAGAGAAAGACTCCGTCTCAAAATAAATAAATAAATAAGAATTTAGTGAGAGCTGGTTATAGTTTGGAACCTCATTTGTGAAATAAACCATGTTTCAAAATATTTTAAGCAGAAATACATTTAAGTTGTAGCCTACAAATTACCAGAATTTGTCCTAGTCACCTAAATAAAAAATGTAAAAGTTCTACATTTTAACGTCCTTTCAACATTTTATGAACAGAAAACCCGGCAGGTAAACAGCTCAAGTCTGAATGGGAAATGATAACATATAAGATCAGCAGCATCCGCGCAAATAAAAAGTCAAATTTTTATCCAACACAAAACAATTACATACGCGTTAATCAAAAAGAAATTAGCAACGGCCAACCCCAATCCCATTACTTTCAAAAAAAGTCCTCTAACTTTCCTTTCCAGTTGAATGTACACTGATTGAAATGGTTGTTTTATGCGGACAATTGATTTTTTTAAATGAAATGTCTAATAGGGAAGTCAGTACATTACACTACCCATTCCAGAAAGCAGCCTTCCATTGAATTTACTCAAACTAATTGCTGAATTAGATGACCATGGAAAGTTACTGAGGGCATATCCAGCACTTTCTTCTGAACCAAAACTAAATCTGTTTTGGTCACTACTGCATTGCTATTCAAAATCAAGGACTGTTCGTCTCTCTGGAATATTAGTATCGTAAGCCTGGGGAGGTGACAATATCATGTAAGGGAGTTGTGGGGAAAGGAGTCAGAGTGTTGTGGCAATTCCCGGACCAAGGGAAAGAGTCTGTAGAAGTTCATAGAATCAGCTGACATGCTACGGTCAAAGAATTTGCAATTAGCAATTGACCAATCAATTTTGATTAACTCATTCTGTATGACTATCATAGGCTATTAAAAATAGGAAAGCGTGTTTCTAAAATGGGTTTCATAACAAGTGATTTAATGATAAAAGCTTGGACAGTTTTCAGAATTCAAAAATTCCGAGATACTAATATCTTTAAAAACTCCTGTCATTGTGTGTGTGTGTGTGTGTGTGTGTAAACACTACCTGTGTAATCATCTATTGAGATTTAAATTAGAACATTTTCTCAGTGTATCCCCGTTCTAAAGTTACTATTTATTATATTGCTATCCTAGGAACAGAGTGAGAAAAGGCAAAGAGGTAATTTAACACAGTCTTTTTCTGCTAAAATCAGAGTGTCTCTCATCTCTGCCTGAATCCAATACATTGTGATTACTGAAATACATATTATAGAATATCTACTTATTTTGTGGATTTAGGCAACGATTATGATTGTTGCTTTTCTCACATCTAAAAATCAAATTTATATTATACATGAAGACATTTTCTAAAGAACTTTTGGTCTGTATAAAAATGAATACTTAATAGAAACGTAATATTATTTTATGTTATTTGAATTGTTAAGTTTAAGAAAATAAAATGTTTTTAAATCTATTACTTTTAACAACACTGTAACATTTATTGGTTTTGGAATAAAATAGATCCAGAAAATTGCTGTGATATTACTTTTTATGTTTCTTATTGAAAGTAGGTCAATTAATTTCTAAGCAATGGGGCATTATAATTGTCAACTAACAGTGCTCAAGCAGTTAGGATTTTAACTGCTGACATTATTTTCTTTGAAAAATGATAGATGTCATTTAGTGTTTAAAGATAAATTGCTGCATAACAGTGACTTTTTTGCTGATAACTTTGCCATAAGCAAACATAACATGACCAAGAAGTTTCAAAGTGAGTTTTCTAGGCGAGCAAATCTAAATTAAAAAGGCTCTCATATTTCCTCAATCAGATATACTAACATCAACCAAGTGTTGTTTTCAATCTATAATATGAAAGGGCAATTGAGTCTGACTCAAACATCTGAAAAAGTTAATGTTAACACTTAGGAATATGTCTCCGTGTAGGAAAATTTTCACTGGCCATGGGCTATACCACATTTATCACAGGTGATTTTCAAGGGGACAAATATTGCCCATTTCAGAAACAGGTTTGGAATGCAGGAAACTGCCAGAAAGTAACTGTGAGAGTTTGCACCATGGCTGACCTGGAGGAAGATGTCAGAGTCACAGATGGAAAAGGGAGGTGCATGACTCCCCTCTGTTGCCAAGGTTCCCATTCTCAATTCAGAAGGGTTTGCGGAGGGGGTGAAGGAACATTGAAGTTTCTGAGATATTCCTTAAGGACCAAGCTATAATTCACAGCTATCTATTTACATCAGATCTCAGCTTTTTTTTTTTTTTTTTTTTTTTTTTTTTTTTTTTTGAGGAGGGTGCAGGAGGAGATGTGCGCAGAACATATGTATATGGCTTGCCCTAAAGGATGAAATAAAATTGTGTATGCTATGACCTCTCTAGGAAGCCTCTAAACTTTTCTTATAAATTGTCTTCTAACTAAAATATTTCTTTTGGCCGTCCTTGGAGTACTCCCAGGTGACACATAGCTCGGGCTAACATTTCTACAGGACTGCTACCTTGATCTCTAGAGAGTCCAATGATGTTCCATACCAATATGTCTCAGCGTCACTGCCGAGCTTCCACCCACACCCTTAACACACAGAGAAAGCTGACACTTTCTGTTAGCTATAATTTTCCTTGAGAAAAACGTGGCAATATGTAGCAAAATACAATTATTAGTTTCAATATGTAGAACGTATTACAAGAAAAAAAAGATGCCAAAAACATCTTGTGTCTACTGCTGTTCCTATTAGTCTTTATTATCATGAAAAACTGGTCGCATCCTAAATATCCAACTTTCGGTGACTGGGTGGAGGAAAACTGTAATTTTTCCATATGATAGAATAGTATGCCAGCACTAACAACCAGAGAGCAGACTATTTAATGTCATGGTAAAGTATTTGTTTTGTGTGGTCAGGTGAGCAGTTCAGATCATAAAATCAAATGTACCCTATGATCTTATTTTTTGAAGTAAAGTACTGATGTATTTATATGTATAATTAAGTATAGAGAAAAGCCTAGATGGCTTCTCTTATAAGTCTTTTCATTGTTTTATAAATGGTATCAATATTTATTTTTCACTTTTTCCATCAGATTTCCTAGAATAATAAAATTCAATTCCCTCTGATGAGCATTCATTATTCTTTTTTTTTTTTTTTTTTTGAGACGGAGTCTCACTCTGTCTGCTAGAGCTAGTGTGCAGTGGCCTGATCTCAGCTCACTGCAGCCTCCGCCTCCTGGGTCATTATTCTTACAGTAAGAAAAAATGAATGTTACTATCTTCTCTGTCCTAGATCAACTAAGTATATACAAGGTGCCAAATACATTTAATGAAATGTTTTATTCATTCATAGCTTTTTGCAGTACAATTTTTTTTGTATGATTCCCTTGTCCTATCATCTCCACCAATAGTTTTGGTGTGAATTTATACTCTAAAGGAAAGGTGACAACCTTATACAATCTCAGGGCTTAAATACTATCCACGTGCTGATGCTTACAAACATACACCTCCAGTTGTGTGGTCTCCCTGAGTTCTGCACATCCCTCTTGGGCATCTAACAAGCATCTCACAGTTAACAAAACCACTGATTTCTAATCAATCCCAGGGACCCTCCGCCAGGCCTGCTCCTCTCTCAGAATTCCTTTTCTCACTTAGTGACACTATCATCCCACCAAACCTCGCTATCATCTTTCTTCCGTCTCCCAAATTTCCAATCCATTAACAAATCCTAAAAACCCCGCTTCCAATATTTGTCTAAATCTATGCACTTCTCAGCTTATCCACTCTTATTATTCTAGCTCCAATTATGTGGCCTTCTGTCTGTGTTACTTTCTTTTTTCCATTCTTGTACGCAGGGTCCAGTTTTCATAGTGAAGTCCTCATAAAACATGTATTAAATTGTATCAGCTTCTGCTTACAGTTATTTATTTATTTATTAAATTTGTGATGTATTTTTATTTATTTATTTATTTTGAGAAGGAGTCTTGCTCTGTCATCCAGGCTGGAGTGCAGTGGCGCGATCTTGGCTCACTGCAGGCTCCGACTCCTGGGTTCAAGCGATTCTCCTTCCTCAGCCTCCTCAGTAGCTGGCATTACAGGCACGCTCCACCGTGCTCAGCTAATTTTTGTATTTTTAGAAGAGATGGGGTTTCACCATGTTGGCCAGGCTGGTCTCAAACTCCTGACTTAAGGTGATCCACCCACCTCAGCCTCCCAAAGTGCTGAGATTACAGGTATGAGCCACTGCGCGCAGCTAGTTTCTGCTTACAGTTTTAAAATGACTTCTTAGTCTATTTAGGAGAAAATATAAACTCTTTACCAGAGCCTACTGGACTCCCCAAAACATGATGTATGTTTATCTCCTCCCTTTAACTCACTCTGTTTTAGCCACCTGGCCTTCTGTTCTCTGAATAAAATAAACTTATTCCTGCCACAGGGCCTTTACACCTACTTTGCCTTCTGCCCCAGACACAGTTCTCACAGGTTTTCCCATGACTCCTTTCTTCTCCTTATTCAGCATCAACCCAAACATCTGCCCCTGAGTGGCCTTCACCAGCACACTCTTCTTAAATATCTTTCCTTACCTCACCTTGTTTGGTTTTGTGCATAACATGTGTCAGCTACAATACTGGTTTCATTGGTTTGTTTATTTACTTTTTTCTTACAATGGAAAGCCCATGAGAGCAGGGTTGTGTCTGCTTTATTCACAACTTTAACCTCAGTGCCTGTACAGAACCAGGACCGTACTAGAAACTCAGTGAGCATTTGTTGAGTATCTTGAACGAATTAATTATTAAAACATTAAAAAGTGACATTTTCCAAGTAAAAATCTTTATCTACTTCCTTAGTGACTCTAATTGCAGACAATGCAAGGTAGAAATGAGGTTCAGATCAATGGCAGGCCAAGAAAGGCATTTTTGGGTGAGTCCATGCAGGCAATGTTTGCTATTGTGGCTGATTTACTTCCATATACTTTAACACAGGTATGTCCCTATTGTGAGACACGGCATTTTTCATAGTATAAAGGTGGAAAGCGAACTTCATGTTATAATAAAAAATAAAGTAAATTTTATACAAACACTAAGAAGTGATCATCTAAATCTACAGTTTAGAATCTGAAACCTATTCCTATGTTGACATCTTCCATGGCCCTACTCCTTAATTAATAAATTCTGACTTACAGAAGGCTATTTTCTGAATCCTTTCATAGCTGACATTGTGGTGGGTGCTGTTAGCCATCCCTTGATACTGACAGCACAATGGCCATCCCTGCCAGGGCACGCGTACACCATCAGTAGTCAAAAGTTTGGCAAAGTAGGCCGGGCGCCGTGGCTCACGCCTGTAATCGGCACTTTGGGAGGCCGAGGCAGGTGGATCACCTGAGGTCGGGAGTTCGAGACCAGCCTGAGCAACATGGAGAAACCCTGTCTCTACTAAAAATACAAAAAAAATTAGCCGGGCTGTGGTGGCACGTGCCTGTAATCCCAGCTGCTCTGGAGGCTGAGGCAGGAGAATCTCTTGAATCCAGGAGGCGGAGGTTGCAGCGAGCCGAGATCGCGCCATTGCACTCCAGCCTGGGCAACAAGAGGGAAACTCTGTCTCAAAAAAAAAAAAAAAAAAAAAAAAAAAAAAAATTGGCAAAGTAAAACACTTCTCTTCATCTCCAGGAGAGCAGTTCATGAAAGAGCATATTCTTAGATATTAAAGGTAAATTTTCAGTGACACCTGTGCAAGATATGACTTTCCGCTGTCCTCTATAAAAATCTACATTTCTATCATATAAATCTAGCAGATCTTAAAATGATAGACCTCAAAGGTAGCACTGCATTTTATATTCTCTTGCAACCCCAGAATGAAACTTAAGCATGAATAATTGGAGATCTGCACACTCCTATAAAGAATAAAGAATGGGACTCAAGTTCACACAGAAGCTAAAAAAGAAAGGCAGGATGACTTCCCTCTGCCACCTTGAAAAGGCTTTGAAACCTACGAAACAAGAAATGGGGAGGGGGGTTGCTGAATGGGTAATAAATATATGAGCCCTCCTCCTAAGGGTTTTTATAATCCTTTCTATCTTGGGTATCTATGTGTTCCTCTGTGAATGTGTTTTCTTATAACGGCACTTCTCATGGAACAGCTCTATCCTTATTATCTGTAACAGGGTCTCTGTTCTGCTTTCATCATGTATATATCTTAGAAAAACAATCTGAACAAATGTCCAGTTAATATGTATATTTATGTATTTATAAATTATATGTATATGCTATTGCACTAATATATTACATATTTTATATACCTTACTACAACCAAAGAAATATAAAAGAATGAGATGGAATAAATATATATTTAAGTTCTAGTTTTTCTTCCTCCATCCTCTGTGGAATGCTTACC
Source organism: Homo sapiens (assembly GCF_000001405.40). Lineage (NCBI taxonomy): Eukaryota > Metazoa > Chordata > Mammalia > Primates > Hominidae > Homo > Homo sapiens. Next base: position 317,181 of record NT_187603.1, on the reverse strand, counting down.
CCACTTAAGAAACCCCTAAGATTTCACTGTGTCCTCACAGTGAGATTGTACTCACTCCTCAATGAGAGAACATTAATATTAAAGCTCTTTTGGTTTTATTATCAATTATGCGGTCGAATTTTCAAATAATCTAGCTGTACATATTATACTACAGTGGACGATACTGTGAGGTACCAACTGGACCAGCTCAGCAGAGGCTGGAAGGTTTAACTCATCAGTAGTCATGATACCACTTTTCTCTTAGACTTTTCCAATAGAATTTATTTTTGGTTTTGCCAGCCAGGGTGAGAGCTGTTTTCTATAGGTATCAATGGTAGAATAAGCATTGTTGCCTCACAGAAGGGAGAAGTCTACGGTATTGGACACCAACCCCCAAGTCCTTCTTACATATCCTCTCCTTGAGAGATAGGGACTCGTGAAAAATGGAAACCCAGGAATTGGCTCTGCATAAACTTAAGCTTTGTCTTTGCAGAACAATTATGAGAAGCCTACTACTGGCTCTGGAATATGTTGTATGCAATAAAAACTCTGTACTATTTAGGTATTGTTTCTGATGCACGATACTAGAAATAAGCATCAGCTAGCCATGCAAAGTTCTGCTTAGGAAAAATGAAAGTATATTCAAATATAAATTTTTATAAAATGACTATTAACTAAAAAAAAAAAATAGCCTTTCTTTCCCCAAACATCAATAGATGCAGAATGCAGAGTAATATTTACAACATGCAACATCATGTTTGGTTCTAATTAATAGACTATTTCAATGAAATATTATTTTGATAAATATGTTCATGCTTCATTTGTCATGTATTAAAAACAGCAATACACACTCACTTGATGAAAAATATTATTGAAGATAAAAGAGAAGTATTTCATAAACAACCATTAGGTAGATTATAAGATAACATATAAAAGGTGATATAGGAAATAAATATTAGAAGTACATATTATTCATCTATGACCTAATTTGTATTGAAATGCTGCAAAAACCTTCATAGCAACATTCAGAGAATTACCTGAAAGAAAACTCTGGCATCTTCTATGGTCTTCTATGTGTTTTCTTTAATGGTCACAGTGATTCCCACGTTCAAACTTATTCACTGAAGACAATGCATGTCCTGAGATTCTCATTATTGAAATGCTGAGGCTGAGGCTTGCTTTTCACATATACAGATTGTCCAACATTAAAATACCACTGCATATTGACTGCATACAAAAATCATTAAACTAAATATTCCCAAAAGTCCTGATACAAATAATGTGTTACAATATTTTAGGCAGGATTATCTGATAGGGTTAACAAATTTATCAAGTATAACAGAAAGTGACCACTTATTATTTATTATTGGCTATACCAAAAAATATAGGATCAGGACTTACCTGAATAACATGCTTCAGTTTATCAATAATCTGATTTATCACAGGATCAGTTCCTTTGACTTTGACTTCAGGATTTCCAGACTGGGCTTTGATTCCATTTCCAACCACATGCTGAGTATAACTAGCAAAGGGAAATGTGAAAGATATATGACTTAGTACCTGATCAGAGTATTATCTGCCACAGCTATCTGAACATAGTTGAGGTCAGAATTTCCTCCTTTAGAGAATACACCAATGTGTTTTTTTCTTGGAACAGAAACTGGCACAGCTATAATGCTTTTGCAGGTAAAATGCTAAAATGCTTATTGTGCCATTAGATCATTCTAAAAATAATGTTATTCTCTCAATGGACCCAACCAAAAATTACTTGTTTTTTAATACTACTTAACAATATGCTACAAAGAGTTGACATATCTCACTTTGTTACCAGTTCTTGCTGAATTATACATATGTCTGTACCCCTATTGTCTGGGTGAGCTTATTTTATGCAGTCCCAATCTTATTTTTTAAATATCAGGCTACTATATATGTGTGTGTGTGTGTGTGTGTCTATATATATATAGAATATGTATAGAGAATATATATAGGATAAACATATAGAATATATATAGACTATATAGAATATATATAGACTATATAGGATATATATAGAATATACATAGACTATATAGGATATATATAGAATATACATAGACTATATAGGATATATATAGAATATACATAGACTATATAGGATATATATAGAATATACATAGACTATATAGGATATATATAGAATATACATAGACTATATAGGATATATATAGAATATACATAGACTATATAGGATATATAGAGTATATAGACTATATATAGGATATAGATAGAAAATATGTAGACTATATACAGGATATCGATAGAATATATATAGACTATATATAGGATATAGATAGAATATAGATAGACTATATATAGGATATAGATAGAATATAGATAGACTATATATAGGATATAGATAGAATATGTATAGGATATAGATAGAATATAGATAGACTATATATAGAATATATGTAGAATACAGATATAGAATATAGATATAGAATATATATGGAATATAGATATAGGATATATATAGATAGAATATAGATATACACACACATATATATTTCCTAATTAGGTCCTTCAAGAAATAAGTGATTAAACTTTTTAATAATGATAGTATCAATTGGACATGATAACAATAATGTTATTAATAAACTCTTTGATTTTTAAAATAAACTTGAACCCATTTCTTTTCATAGTCATAGAGGGGCTTAGAGATAAGAATTTCAGTATCCATTAGGGATTTGCAGTATACACCAGTAACAAATAGTAGAAAGAAAACAGTTATATCTATTTTGTTAATGTGTAATGATATTCTTTACTTTAGAAAATAAAATTATATATAGTATATCTATATATAATATATAATATCTATTATATGTAAAATATATATAACTGTACAAGTCAATATCATAAATTATAACTGTACAAATTAAAATCATCAAATTTATAAGCAACGAAAATGTGCGAAGTATTTCCTAAGTAGAGGAAACAATCTGCTTTCGCCTAGGTTCACCTAAACAAAGATCTGGTAAATCATGTGGTAGGTAAAAAGGGTCATTTCACAGGTGGTGAAAGCCATTTGAAATTTCACTACCTTCCCCAAATTACAATCATACGTCAACTTAGAATTAATAAAAATATTTAAATTCATTAGTCGCAAAGATGTCTTAAGTGAATGCTATATTCCAAGTCCTGTACTAGGTCTTTAGGATTATAAGAAGGTGTAAGACTCAATTTTTGTCCTCATAATGCTCATTACTTAACCAAGAATATAACAGATTAATTAACTCATTCATTTGTATGCTTATTCATTACATTTTACTACATTTAAAAAATACCGTAGATTTCAGCCATATAAATACCCTTGTTTGCCTGACAGAAGAGTGTAATATAAACACAACTGAACCGTTAAAATACAACATTATGAAAGTAGATGGAAGGAACTGCACGTGCCACGTGTGAGGAAAGATAAGACAGGTGGTAGATATTCTGGATATAGAGAAGCCCATTTGAACTCAGACACTAGGGAAAAACTAAAGGAGAAGTTATAACTTGAGGTAGCCTTGGATGTATTGAGGTAAGAAGAGGACATCTATGGTATGGTTAATGAGAACTTCAGGGCAAAGGATGTCATCCCAGCAAGGAAAACGGCAAAGGTACTTGAACAAGGCAGACAGGGAGAACAGGCCTCTATTCACAAAGCAGAGAGTACAAACGTTGGAAAGCAATGGATAGAGGGCCACACCCTGAAGATTCCACCCTGAATGTTGAAGACTCTCCACTGAGTGATATAATGGGCTCTGGAGATTCATAAGGGGGAAGTTGGCAGGTGGGTGTGGAATAAAAAAGCTACATGTTTGGTACAATGTACACTACTCAGGTGACAGGTGCAATAAAATCTCAGACTTCACCACTATACAAATTATCCATGTTACCTAAACCACTTGTGCTCCAAAAGCTATTGAAGTAAGACATTTATTTATTTATTTATTTTTATTTATTTATTTTTTTGAGACGGAGTCTGGCTCTGTCGCCCAGGCTGGAGTGCAGTGGCGCAATCTCGGCTCACTGCAAGCTCCGCCTCCCGGGTTCACGCCATTCTCCTGCCTTAGCCTCCCGAGTAGCTGGGACTACAGGCTCCCGCCAGTACGCCCGGCTAATTTTTGTATTTTTAGTAGAGACGGGGTTTCACTGTGTTAGCCAGGATGGTCTCGATCTCCTGACCTCATGATCCGCCCGCCTTGGCCTCCCAAAGTGCTGGGATTACACGCTTGAGCCACCGCGCCCGGCCAAGACATTTAAAAAATGAAAACAAAACACTATCACCTGAGTCATTTGTTTGCTTACATTAAATATCATAATACTTTTCAGCAAAAAATATTATCATTTTAATGTAACTTTCGTTCCCTGTATTTGAGCGGAGTACTGCACTATCCATAAACACCCTCTGAATTTTCTACAGTAATGGAAAAAAATCTTTGAAAAAAATAAAAGAAGGTTCTATGTTTGAGAATATGGCTATATGAAAGGGGTTTCAAGAAATATCCAGTTCTTCCCAAGACGATGTACTTCCAGTGACCAGTTTTAAGAAGTGGAACAGGCCAGGCGCGGTGGCTCACGCCCGTAATCCCAGCACTTTGGGAGTCCGAGGCGGGCAGATCACGAGGTCAGGAGATGGAGACCATCCTGGCTAACACGGTGAAACCCCGTCTCTACTAAAAATACAAAAAATTAGCCGGGCGTGGTGGCGGGCGCCTGTAGTCCCAGCTACTCGGGAGGCTGAGGCAGGAGAATGGCGTGAACCCGGGAGGCAGAGCTTGCAGTGAGCCGAGATCACCTCACTGCACTCCAGCCTGGGTGACAGAATGAGACTCTGTCTCAAAAAAAAAAAAAAAAACCAAAAAAAGGGGATCGAATATTTCCTAACGAGGTCCTTCAAGTAATAATAAGTGATTAAACTTTTTGATAATGATAATATCAATTGGACATGATAAAAATACTATTAATAAATCTTTTGATTTAAAAAATAACCTTGTACCCACTTCTTTTGTAGGCGTGGGGGGAGCTTAGAGTTAAGTATTCCAGTATCCGTTAGGGATTTGGCAGTATACATCAATAACAAATAGTAGAAGGAAAATAATTATACCTGTGTCTCATATATATATATATATATATATATATATATATATATATATATATATATATATACACACAGAGAGAGAGAGAGAGAGAGAGAGAGAAACCATCTCTTAAATTACCTGTAGCACCACTATGTTATTCTTTACTCTCCCAATACCCCAAGTAGATTGCACATGTGACTCTTTTATTAATGTGTTGAATATTCATAACGATAATGAATAATATGAATAAATAAATTGATAAGTGCGTAACTATGAATTAGGCATTGCTTTACTCTTATCTGGAGATTTCAATTCATGATAAACATCTTTTAGTGACCATGAATAAGAAACTCATAGACCTGCATTAGAGAAATGCAAATCTAAACCACAATGAGATACCATCTCACTCCAGTTAGAATGGCAGTCCTTAAAAAGTCAGGAAACAACAGATGCTGGAGAGGTTGTGGAAAAATAGGAATGCTTTTACACTATTGGTGGGAGTGTAATTTACTTCAACCATTGTGGAAGACAGTGTGTGAATTCCTCAAGGATCTAGAACTAGAAATACCATTTGACCCAGCAATCCCATTACTGGGCATATACTCAAAAGATTATAAGTCATTCTACGATAAAGACACATGCACACGTATGTTTATTGTGGCACTATTCACAATAGCAAAGACTTGGAACCAACCCAAATGTCCATCAATGATAGACTGGATTAAGAAAATGTGGCACATATATACCATGGAATACTATGCAGCCATAAAAAAGGACATGAGTTCATGTCCTTTGCAGGGACATGCATGAAGCTGGAAACCATCATTCTCAGCAAACTATCACAAGATCAGAGAACCAAACGCCGCATGTTCTCACTCATAAAGCAGGAGTTGAACAATGAGAACACATGGACACAGGGAGGGGATCATCACACACTGGGGCCTGTGGGGTGTGGGGGTGTAGGGGAGGGATAACATTAGGAGAAATACCTAATGTAGGTGACGGGTTGATGGGTGCAGCAAACCACCATGGCATGTGTATACCTATGAAACAAAACTGCAAGTTCTGCACATGTAACCCAGAGCTTAAAGTATAATTTAAATAAATAAATAATAAATAAATAAATAAACTCATAGACCTCAAAGTATGGGAAGCCTAACTGCCTACGGCCACTTGCTGCTTCACTCTAAAATCTGTTTCTGCATCTGCCCCTCAGTCAATGACTGAGGGCCACAGGGTGGCTAATGCAGATCCCTCTTTAGGAGACACAGGGCTTCTCTGAGGACCAGTCTTGGCTCAGGATTCCCTGAAGCCTTTTCTCACCCTTCCTTAGACTGTACATTACGCTCCAATGCTTCCACTCAACCTTCCTTTCCTCTTTCCTTCATTCTAGGTCAGACTTGCCTCATAGCTGAGACCTCTTCCAGGCTTACTCAGCTTCCTCTCCATTTTCTCTCACAGGGATTTCCCTTAATAAAATCCTCTTGTGTTTAACTCGTTTTCAACATCTACCTCTTGGAGGACCTGGACTAACCCACCACATAATGTTTGTATTATAATTACTTCCATTCTACAGGTTGAGAATCTGGGATCTGGAGAAGTTAAGCAACTTAAGTTACTCAAGTAAGGCCACACAATGTATATAAAGTGTGCTGCAAGGAGTTAAACCCAGGGAACGCACACTCCAAAACAGAACCATCAACAAGTACCAATCCTGAAACCAACTAATAAAAGGTAAAGATACAATTAGCTTGGTGCAAAATGTTATTTTTCTCTCTAATTACATTTTCTAAGGTTTCACTGTTTGTGATTAAGAAGGGAAGAATGATTTTCATCAAAACTCTGCTCAACAAGCCGGGTGTCGTGGCATGCACCTGTAGTCCCAGCTACTGAGGAAGCAGAGGCAGGGGGATCACGTGAGCCCAGGAGATTAAGGCTGCAGTGAGCTGTGATTACATCTCGTTGACCATGTGACCCTGAGTGTAACTCATAGACCTCAAGCCTGGGCAACAGAGCAAGACTCTGCCTTAAAAAGTAAAACTAAGCAAAACAAAACAATCCTGAACAAATGGTTGCACATAACCAGCTAAACAGTAATATAACAGTTGTTGGCAGGGTGAGAAGAAACTAGCAGACTGTAGGTTTGTCATACTGTTTTTTTGTTTCTCCAGAAACACAGATATAATATAGGCAATGAAAGCTGAGACTCATCTCTTAATTTCAGTTAAGCTATTAATTGATTTACATCATTTACTCACAGGTCAGAAAAGTTTCTTTCAAAAGGCAGGAATGTTGTTTCATGTTAATCTAAGGACTTGCTTACCTTTTGTTTCTGTTCTTAATGATCACAGTTACTAATACAGTTAAATAATATTTAGATAAAATACATTACAATTATAGCTGATCAAAAATCTCATTCCAAGCTGTTATATTGTTGACTATCTCATGATCACTCTTCTTATGAATCATGTAAATAGGGAAAAATACTGCAAAGTAGACCCACGTTACTTCAAATGAAATATGATTTAATAAAATCAGTTATTCTTTGCCAATTTTGTAATCTTCAAAATAACCACAATTGAAATAGTGATACATACACATCAGAACAGTTCAAATGAAAGAGAGAAATGATACCAAGTGTTGGCAAAGATGCGGAGCAACTAGAACTCTCTCCCATTGTGGATGGAAATGTAAACTGATGGACACCACCATTTTCCATGTATGCTAAATCTGACCATATTCTATGACCCTGAGCATATACCCAGCAATATTTACCAAAAGACAAATACATGAATGCTCAGAGAGGCACCATTCAAAATAACCACAAATTGAACTTATATTTGTATAATGATATAGTATATAGCAATGAGAACCTAACAAATTACAACTATATGCAAAAAGATTAACAAATCTTATAAACTAAATATTGAATGAAAGAAGCAAGATACAGAACATATACTACGATCTAATTCACTAAAAATTGTAAAACTCATCAGTTATGTTCCAAATCACCATAAGAGCTATCCTATGAAATAGTGTCTAGAAGAAGTAATAATATAAAATTTCCTGATTTGAGTACTGGATACACAGAAGGGCTAAGTTTGTTTAAAAACAAAAGAAGTATTGAGCTGTACAGTTAAGATTTGGGTATTTTACTGTTTGTATGTATTTTCAGCGTTAGAAAATTATGTTAAAAAGTCTTTATGCTCTTTTTCTTAATATATTTACAATAGACAAATTTTCATTAAGCCACAGTATAAATAAAAAAGACCCACACAGGTATTTTTAACATGGATGAAGTGGTTCTGTCATCATTAAATGAGTACTTTAGGATGCAAGTCTGATATAAAAACTTACTTCCCTGAAGACTTTAATTTTGCATGCAAAATACACGGTTTCTAAATTAAATTTTTTTGTAACAAAGCGTTTTTGAGTTCCCCTCATGAAATTTTAATAAATCATTAATTTCTTCTTTTTCTCTTTCATGCACAAGCAGTGGATAAACATTTCAAAGATCCCTACAGAAGTTTCTTCCCTTGAAATACTGTTCACATGACAATGAGAAGGATGGAATAAAACACAAAAAAGGTAAGCAATTTTTTTTTTTTTTTGAGGCGGAGTCTTGCTCTGTCGCCCAGGCTGGAGTGCAGTGGCGCGATCTCTGCTCACTGCAAGCTCCGCCTCCCGGGTTCCCGTCATTCTCCTGCCTCAGCCTTCGAAGTAGCTGGGACTACAGGCGTCCGCCACCGTGCCCAGCTAATTTTTTGTATTTTTAGTGGAGACGGGGTTTCACCGTGTTAGCCAGGATGGTCTCCATCTCCTGACCTTGTGATCTGCCCGCCTCGGTCTCCCAAAGTGCTGGGATTACAGGCTTGAGCCACTGCGCCCGGCCAACAGGCAAATTTTTCGTTGGGGAAGTAGTAGACCAACCATCTGTGCTTATTTCTTCTAAACAGAGCTGGGAATGAGTGACAGCAGTTGAACAGGAACACTTGCTCCCCAAGCACTACTTGTTTTTCATGAAGAAGGAAAAAAGGCAAAAGCCCTGCTACATTTACATTCGCAAAATTGTTTTCAAATGAGGATTAACAAGATGTTAGTTCCCTCTCTGTTGAACACATAAAATATTAAAAGGCAGTGCTAATACATCTATATACAGCACATCAGGAGGAAGGAGGAAGTCATTTCTCCTGACTTTACCAACTTGTCTTATTTGAAACTGATACCGTGCCCTATTGGCTGATAGGAGTTTCACTTTATTTAGAATACAATAGAATTTGGCTCAGATTCACACCAAAAGTATAGTATTTTGAGGTGCACTTACACGACTTCAGGGGAAAACAATATCTGGAATGTGACCCTGGAATTCATTACAAGTCAGTTAAAGGGATCTCTCTTAGAATTTTTTGATAATTGGACTGGGACAGGATGTAAGAATAAATCATTAACAGTAGATGAGGAAAACACTTGACGAGAGCTTTCTCGTCTTACCATTACTGCTCTTTCTATCAGAGGTTAAAGACAGAATGGGGACCATGTTGTGGTTGTTATTCTTGTTGTTTGATTGGTTTGTTTATTATGTTCTTGCATGACTTGGTTATGTGGCTGGATATGAAAATTCTTTCCATTTCCAGAGTCATAAATCTCCTAATTTCTAGGAGATTAAATACTGGTTTTATCTTTGGCTCCAGTAAAAATGTTGCTATCTTGGATTAAAAGAAGGTTGGGAAATACGTTGTGTCTATTCACCAGTGAATGGGAACCCCTTCTACAACAACAAATTTTCCATTCAAACCATTTCTAGGCCTCCCTTCCTGGTTCTGATAGCAAATGTGAAAGCAAGTACTAGAGATTTGGGTTTTGTAAGTTTCCTCAAATACTTGGGAAATACTGGATTCCGTTGCCAAGTGTTGCCTTTTGTACATTCAGCTTCTACACAGCACGTTTTCTCTATGTTGAAAGTCCTAATCCTTGAAATCTCAGAATGGAAAAGAGTTATATGACTAATTTTATGTGCCAGGATTATGGGAATAAACTTTCATGGAAGATAGGAAGCTTACAGGGCATTTAGAGAAAGGAGACATCTGTAGAATCAATTCAGAATGATTAAGCCCCTTGTGATCTCACTATCTCACTTCAATTGTTAAGCCACAAAACTCTTTTTAAGTTAATCTCTAACATTTATTTGGCTTTATAATTACATATAAATAATGTCTAAATTTGACACCTATGTTTCCAAACTTAATAATGAAGTCAAAATAAACAGAATTAAGGAGAGCTTATTACGATCTTTATTGTTATTTATATATAACAAATTTCCTATTAAGAATATAATATTTTATGATATCTTATGGATGTCATTAACATTGCTTTAATAAAGGTATTATCATGCTTTGTACAGCAACCAACACGAAAATGTTAGTATACCACTGCAATAAATAGAATAAAAACATGTTCAGAAAGACTTAGAAACTCATTAAAGAACGGACGTTAATCACTTTTCACCCTAACTCCTCATTTGGCAAGGCATGAATCTATGCATTCCAGTTTAGACAGGTGGCAAGTAAGTAGTCCCATTGCATTTCATAAAATAAGCAGCTGCGTGAATTTGAAAGATACTATTTCCACATGAAAAGCTAATGACTGCACATGTAAAATCAGTAGTGTTTAGGAAGCTGTCATTTAAAAAACAACAAACTACCTAATTAAAAAGTAGCACAAATGAACTTTTGCCTATGTAAAAAATAGAACATTGCTTAGCCTTTTCTTAAACCCCTCCCCAATTCTTACCAAGAAAGGATAAATACCTTTATTATAGTCAAAGCTCTGTTTTTATGGTTTTTGAATTTTTTAATCTAAAATTCAAAGCAAATAATCAATCTTTAATTTATATTTATCCCAGTTTGATTCAAAGTGACGGTCCAAAAGTAAAATGATCAATTATAACTATAATCAATCACAAATAATGCTATGTGAGTTTGAAATGTTAATCTAAGTTGCCTTTTCCAGGTATGCGTTTTAAAATTAAACTCTTCTCAGTAAGATCAAGGCTATCCTTCATGGATTTATGATGTTTGATAATCACCACGTTGTACTGATTTGCTGTCTCACTTCACTGTTTGATATCAACATATGAAAGTAAAAATGCTATTTAGGGGATAACTATTATCTGAGCACTAATAAATTAAATGCTATTTTAAGCCAACAACAAAATTGTTTAGGGTACAATTTTTATTTAACCAACTGTCCATTATAAACATTATAAAATTCTGAAAGATCCTAGAATCTTATATAGCTTTTTTGTATTTTTTCAAATGTAGTTGACACCAGCATGAATTAAATTTCATATTTAAAAAGCTTCTGACTACATTACAACATACTTTAAAATTACTTGCAAGATATGATAATTCTAAGATTACCCACATATCATGCAAATGAAACAGCCAGGTACTTCCTACCAACACATGATACAATAAAATCCAGAAGAACTTCTGAATTAGAGTGTAGTAGTTGCCTAGGGCCATCATACCTAATTATCACACACTTGGTGGGTTAAGAGGACAGAAATATATTCTCTCATAGTTCGGAAGCCTGGACCTCTGAAATCAAGATGTTGGCGGGGCCACACTCCCCCTGAAGACCCTAGGGAAGAATTCTCCCTCGCTTCTTCCTGGCTTCCAGTGGCTCCTGGCAATCCTTGACCTTCTTTGATTTATGACTGCATAACTCCAATTTCTGTCTCCATCTTCACATGACCTTGTGTGTGTCTTTTCCTGTATGTTATAAGGACATTTACACTGGATTTAGGGCCCACCTTCACCCAGGATGACCTCATCTCAATCACTGGGTTAATTATATCTGCAAAGACCCTACTTCCAAATAAAATCACATTCTAAAGTTCCTAATGGACATAAATTTTGGAGGTACGGTATTTAAATCACTACACAGAACATGTAAAGACAAAAATCTGGAAGCTACCTGAATGAAAATGGATATTCCCTTGAACTTCGACAAAATCATATTCTATTTTTCCATGAGAAACATTTTATTACTCTAAAACAATATTCATATTTCACAAGTACGCCTCTTAAATTATAGCTTGGACTTAAGAAAAATAATTAGCTTTGGAAATTATCAGTACATGATATCTAGTATTTCCTATATTTTTAAGAACTTCTACCTCCTAGCAAAAATAAACAATGCAATGGATAATTTCTGTGTTCTAAATTCACACACACAAACAGGAAAGGGACGTTAAAAATGATTTGTTCTCTTTTAAAGCAGAAGCCCAACCACCTGCTCTGAATCAAAAAGTTTCCTGAAAGCAATGAAGGGCTAGTTTATTATGAAGGTGTTGATAGCTGATTCTGTGGAGACTCACACAGAAACAAAGAATAAATTTTAATCACACTTAATGCTAATGTGGTAGTAAGGTTGTGACAATATTCAAATATGACTAATTTCATTGAATTAACTACACTCGGGCTTAGCTTAGTTGTCCAAATTTATTACAAATAGCTCAAACTAAATAATTCAACTCTTCTGTTTTCTATTTATTTTTTGTTGATGCTTAAGAGTAAAAAGATATTTCAACTGAATTTTTTTTTTTTTTTTTAGCAATCAGTTCTCTTGTTTTATCACCATAAGACTGTAAACGGCCGTAACAGGTCACTGAATCTAGCACTGCCTTCAACAAGAAATGCACCTAGAGCAGGAATATAGTACTTGGCACTCATCTCTAGACCTATAACCTAACAGATTTTTTTTTTGTCTGTCTTTGGTGAAAGTAACGTAAATTTAGAGCTGGAAAGGACCTTAGAGGTCATCTAGTCCCACCCAAGCATCTTTGAAAACAAAATAAAGACGTGTGTTGGCCTGATGCGGTGGCTCACGCCTGTAATCCCAGCACTTTGGGAGGCCAAGGCGGGCAGATCACAAGGTCAGGAGATCGAGACCATCCTGCCTAACATGGTGAAACCCCGTCTCTACTAAAAATACAAAAAATTAGCCGGACATGGTGGCAGGTGCCTGTAGTCCCAGCTACTCGCGAGGCTGAGGCCGGAGAATGGAGTGAACCCAGGAGGCAGAGCTTGCAGTGAGCCGAGATCGTGCCACTGCACTCCAGTCTGGGCAATAGAGTGAGACTCCGTCTTAAAAAAAAAAAAAAAAAAAAAGAAGCATGTTTATTTCATCATTTTGTACTTATACACTGTGTATTTCCAGAAAAGCCCCTGAGACAGCTTAGAATGAAAGGCACAGACACTATAAAACAAGCGCAAAATGACAGAATAATGAAGAGAAAGAGGTGACAATTACATGGGACAACCTAGGGAAGGAAACACTACCCTTCAGCCTAAAATTTAGTCCTAAGCCCCTTGTTCTTAAAGGCCAAAAGGAAAACCAGAATTCAAATAGGTATTGTTAGTTAATAAAATAGTATCTGGATATATCAGCAACTATTTTTTGGTAACTCTAAACTCAAGCAAAATATATGTCTTTAAGCAACAGACAATGGACAATATAATAAAAATAATCTTCCATAGCAATTTCCAAACTTTTAAAGATGTAAGAACAAATGATCTTTTCTTACAGGATGCTTAGTTGAAAGCTGCCCGCATGATGGTATTTTAAACTACATGATGTTAAATTCCCTGCATGATGGTATTTTATTGGGACCTGGTTATATGATTTGGTGAAGAATGTAACCTTTGAGAACTTAGAAGAGTGAATGGTTAATATTTCTCTGAATTTTTTTGTTTTTAATTGATATTTTATTTTATCCCTCATAGACAATATATGTCTGGGAAATACACTGAAGTATAGTAAAAAAGAATCTAAGGGTTAAAGTGTTGAGGTAAATGAGAAAGCAGAGGTTGTGTCTGAAGAACCGTGTGGTCGCACTGCACCACACAGCAAACAGAAATATGGGTGAGCACAGGCCGGGCGCGGTGGCTCAGGCCTGTAATCCCAGCACTTTGGGAGGCCGAGGAGGGCGGATCACGAGGTCAGGAGATCGAGACCATCCTGGCTAACACGGTGAAACCCCGTCTCTACTAAAAATACAAAAAATTAGCCGGGCCTGGTGGTGGGCGCCTGTAGTCCCAGCTACTCGGGAGGCTGAGGCAGGAGAATGGCGTGAACCCGGGAGGCGGAGCTTGCAGTGAGCCGAGATCGGGCCACACCACTCCAGCCTGGGGGACAGTGAGACTCCGTCTAAAAAAAAAAAAAAAAGAAGTTCACCCTATGCAGGCACTATAACTACGAGTCCCTCCCATCTGAGCCTTGCCTTCCAGACAACCCCACCAATACATAAGACAGAAAAAAAGCACCTTGCACCTTCCAGACTGACTTGTTTGCCAGCCGCATAGCACTGAGTCACCCTAGTTAATGATATGAGAGAGGAAGAATCACTCAGACGAATCCTGCTGGAATTTCTCACCTATAGGATCCATGAGATACAATGAAGTGGTCGTTGTTTTACCTTATTAAATTTGGGGTAGTTTCTTTTTTCTTTTTTTTTTCTTTTTTCTTTTTTTTTTTTGAGACGGAGTCTCACTCTGTGGCCCAAGCTGGAGTGCAGTGGCGCAATCTCGGCTCACCGCAAGCTCCGCCTCCCGGGTTCACACCATTCTCCTGCCTCAGCCACCCGAGTAGCTGGGACTACAGTCACCCACCACCACGCCCGGCTAACTTTTGTATTTTTAGTAGAGACGGGGTTTCACCGTGTTAGGCAGGATGGTCTCGATCTCCTGAACTCGTGATCCGCCCGTCTCAGCCTCCCAAAGTGCTGGGATTACAGGCGTGAGCCACAGCGCCCGGGCCATTTGGGGTAGTTTCTTAAGCAGCAATAGTAACTGTAACACTGACTCACTTCTACTGCCACCAATCACTATCCTCCTTTCCTGATTTACTTCCTCGTATGTACCATCTTTTAAAAAACAAATAATTAGGCCGGGTGCAGTGGCTCACGCCTGTAATCCCAGCACTTTGGGAGGCTGAGGCGGGCGGATCACGAGGTCAGGAGATCGAGACCATCCTAGCTAATATGGTGAAACGCCATCTCCGCTAAAAATACAAAAAATTAGCCAGGCGTGGTGACCGGGGCCTGCAGTCCCAGCTACTCGGGAGGCTGAGGCAAGAAAATGGCGTGAACCCGGGAGGCGGAGCTTGCAGTGAGCTGAGATCGCGCCACTGCACTCCAGCCTGGGCGACAGAGGGAGAGTCCGCCTCAAAATAATAATAATAATAATAATTAGTGAAAACTTCAATAACTTTTGCACCGGCCTAATAGTTGTAAAGAAACTATAAGCAAGTTCACAAAAGTTAAAACAAAAAATCAGCTATGAGAAGCAAATATGAATTATACCACTAACTGCTGAAAAGAAAGACTCTAAGACTGAAATTACCAAAAAAAAAAACCCTCAGCTGAAAACAAAACAAATAATCAAACTCTATTACTCTACTCTATTTCCATGAAGCGTACAAACTGTTCCTGTAAGTTTAACGATATTAAAATGTACAAAGATTAATAAAGTAAAAATCAAAGACTATTTATAACATCATCGATTTCACATAAAGTAGAATTTTAAAGGAAAAGGTATCCCATGGAAAACAATAAAATATTTAATATTACAAAGCAAAACACTAAATGAACGTCACATTTAATTGTGAAATCATTAGCATGTTTCTCCGTTATGACTTATTAAAGGATAAAATTTGAGCAATATAATGTATAAGACTTTTTGGCCGGGCGCGGTGGCTCACGCCTGTAGTCCCAGCACTTTGAGAGGCTGAGGCGGGCGGATCACGAGGTCAGCAAATCCAGACCATCCTGGCTAACACGGTGAAACCCTGTCTCTACTAAAAAAATACAAAAAAATTAGCCAGGCGTGGTGGCGGGCACCTGTAGTCCCAGCTACTTGGGAGGCTGAGGAATGGCGTGAACCTGGGAGGCGGAGCTTGCAGTGAGCCCAGATTGCGGCACTGCACTCCAGCCTGGGCAAGAGAGTGAGACTCCCAATCCAAAAAAAAAAGAAAAGAAAAGAAAAGAAAAACCGACTTTCATTAAAGCCTCCTGCAGAAATTTGCATAAGTAACAAGGAGCCAAATGTAATCACCAAGACAATGGGGAAAATGTCTCCAGAACATTAAAGACCTTAACACCTTCACGGCAGCTCTTTCCATCACAGGCTCAAAAGCCTAGTATGGAAAAATGATTTCCTGGAGCAGGTCCAGGTCCCCCTGCTGTGTGCAGCCTTGAGACTTGGTGCCCGGCATTCCAGCCACTCCAGCCATGGCTGGGGTGGGAGACACCAGGCTACAGCTCAGGCCATGTCTTCGGAGGTTGCAGCCCCAAGCCTTGGCAGCTTCCACAAGATGTTGAGCCTGCAGGCGCACAGAAGTCAAGAATTGAGGTTTGGGACCCTCCACCTAGATTTCAGAGAATGTATGGAAACACTTGGATGTTCAGGCAGAAGTTTGCTCTGGTGGGGTGCGGGGGCAGGAGCAGGGGCTCATGAAGAACCTCTTCCAGGGTAGTAGAGAATTGAAATGTGGGCTCTGTCTCCCATACAGAGTCCCTACTGGGGCAATGCCTAGTGGAGCTATGAGAAGAGGGCCGCTGCCCTCCAAACCCCCAATTGGTAGATCCACAAACAGTTTACACTGTGTACCTGGAAAAGCCACAGACAATGCCAGCCAGTGAAAGCAGCCAGGAGGGAGGCTGTACCCTGCAAAGCCACAGAGGCAGAGCTGCCCAAGGCCATGGGAGACCACCACTTGCGTCAGTGTGACCTGCATGTGAGACACGGAGTCAAAGGAGATCATTTTGGAACTTTAACGTTTAATGACTGCCCTATTGGATTTCAGACTTGCATGGAGCCTGTAGCCCCTTTGTTTTGACCAATGTCTCCCATCTGGAACAGGTGTAGATACACTGGGGGTACCCAATGCCTGTACCCCCATTGTATGTAGGAAGTAACTAACTTGCTTTTAGTTTTACAGGCTCATAGGTGGAAGGGACTTGTCTCAGATGAGACCTTGGACTGTGGACTTTTCAGTTAATGTTGAAACGAGTTAAAACTTTGGGGGACTGTTGGGAAGGCATGATTGATTTTGAAATGTGAGAACATGAGATTCAGGAGGCGCCAGGGGAAGAATGATATGGTTTGGCTATGTCCCTACCCAAATCTCATCTTGAATTGTAGCTCCCATAATCCCCATATGTCATGAAAGGGACCCAGTGGGAGGTAACTGAATCATGGGGATGGGTTTCTCCCTGTGTTGTTCTTGTGAAACCGAATAAGTCTCACAAGATCTGATGGTTTTATAAAGGGGAGTTCCCCTGCACATGCTCTCTCTCTTGCCTGCCACCATGTAAGACATGTCTTTGCTCCTCCTTTGCCTTCTGCCATGATTGTGAGGCTTCCCCAGCCACGTGGAACTGAGTCCATTAAACCTTTTTTTCTTTATAAATTACCCAGTCTCAGGTATTTCTTCATAGCAGTATGAAAGTGGACTAACACAGTATCAAACCCTGGTTTGGGGTAATAATCACTACCTTCTAGGTAACCAGAATGGAAAAAATATAACAGAAAAAAAATCCTAAAAATCATCCTGCGTACAAGAAAAATGAAACTGTATGCTGAATTCTCAGGGGGAGAAAACGTATTTAAAAATATATGACTTTCAAACCACAAGAAACTATAGACCATTGCTTTAAACTATTTGTCTATGAACAGTATGTAGAAACACATGGAATTTAGGAAATAGGAGATGAAGGCTACAATAACAAAAGAGGCTCATATCACAAAATGGGAGATAGCTGAGATGAGGCTTCTATGAAAACTAAAGTGCAAGGGCAGATTTTCCATCCACAGGGAAATCCGTGGAGAAAGAAACTGACACACTGAAAAGTTCAAGCAGCAATTGAATCAGAGCTCTGGAGGGCAAAGGAAGAGATGAACTAATGACAGAGAAGAAGGCGGATGGGTATGCCAGAGACCACAGGTTCCACCTCGAGAATAGTTTGTGTACTGGGGAAAGACACAAGGGCAAGGAGATCTGAAACAATAATCAAAGCTATCACTGAAGTACGAATAATAAAAGCACCAACCAGCTTCTAGGCAGGGAGGGGGAAGAAACAAGGAAGAGTTCTCCATATTTAAATAACAACTAGCCAAACTCCTGAATTTTACAAATAAATAAAAAAACTTCCTTAAAAATAAAAAGTCAGGCTTAGATAAGACTTTTTTTCTTCTCTGTTAACATTATTAGAAGACATAAAGATTTTAAGAGAATAAAAATATGATCAAGAGGATCATAAATATCAGGTTGTCTTTACCTGAGTACGAAGCAATGGCATCTGTATATCCAGCACTGATTTGTCCTTCCAATAAAAATTTACTCAAAGACATATGGGTACATATTAGAAAAATAATCAAAATTAATATTTCAAGGATTAGGAAGTTGTGAAGCCAAAATCCTGCAAGGGGACAATTGATTCAGTTAATGGAAAGATTTATTTTTCATATTTTATGATTATTTACCAAAATAATATTTTTAAAGTATAATTATAAAATAAAAATAAAATATTTAACAATACTATAATTATAATCATGTTCCAAGTTATAAAACAAGATAGTGAGAATTGTCAGTAAGATAGTAAGAATTCTAATACTATCTCAAAATAAAGGATACAGAAGGTTTCAGGGCAAGAGAAAGGGAAAACCTTCTATATCCTTTAGTTTGAGATAGTATTAAAGCTTTCTGTAGGCTCACTCAAAATGTCCGGATTCTGACCACATTTGAATGAGCACTCCCAACCTGACGATTCCTAGTCTAAGCCACACATATTTCCTCTTATGGTTATTGCAAAAGCTCCCTAACTGGTCTCCCAGCTTCTGCCGTTGATTCCTTTCAGCTATTTTTTACACAAGTGCCAGAGAAATCTCAGAAATGCAATTCAGATGATATCACTTCTTTGCTTATATCTTTCAATGTTGTTCCCCTCTACGTGTTCATGTATTCTCCCCTTTGACTCTCGCTTCTAAGTGGGAACATTTGGTTTTCTGTTCCTGCATTAGTTGGCTAAGGATAATGGCTTCCAGCTCCATCCATGTTCCTACAAAGGGCGTGATCTCATCTTTTATGGTGGCATAATATGCCATGGTGTATATATACCACATTTTCTTTATCCAGTCTACCATTGATGGGCATTTATGTTGATTCCATGCCTTTGCTACTGTGAATAGCGCTGCAATAAACATATGCATGCATGTGTCTTTATGACAGAACAATTTATATTCCTTTGGGTGTATACCCAGTAATAGGATTGCCGGGTCGAATGGTAGTTCTTTTAGGTCTTTGAGGAATCACCACACTGTCTTCCACAATGGCTGAACTAATTTACACTCCCACCAACAGTGTAGAAATGTTGCCTTTTCTCCACAATATTGCCAGCATGTTATTTTTTGGCTTTTTAATAATAACCATTCTGAATGGTGTGAGATAGTATCTCATTGTACTTCTGATGTGCATTTCTTTAATGATCAGTGATGCTGAGCTTTTTTTCTATGTTTGTTGGCTGCATGTATGTCTTATTTTGAAAAGGAGGGTGAAAGCTGGGAGGAGGGAGAGGATCAGGAAAGACAACTAGTGGGTAGCAGGTTTACCATGTGGGTAACAGAATAATCCGTACAACAAACCCCCATGACACAAGTTTACCTACATAACAAACCTGCACGTGTACCACTGAACTTAAAAGTTAAATTTAAAAAATAAAAAATAAAAAAATCTTTCAATGGTCCCATGTCAGTTTGAGGAACAGCCAAAGTCCTTAAAATGACGTACAAGGTGCTCGTTCCATCATCCGTCTTCTCATGTTTATTTCTCTGCCACCATCTACTAATACTCTTCCCCCTTCTCATTCTACTCCAGCTATAATGGCTTCCTCGATGCTGTTCTAAGAATAAGTCCACATGATTCCGACTCAGGGCTTTTGCCCAAGCTGTGGTCTCTCTTTGGAATGCTCTTTTTTCAGCAGAGCACGATTCCTCCTCATTTCCTTCAAGAAGTCTGTCGCCAAATGCCTTCTACCTGGTGTGTAATTGTCATGTGTGGCAGTTTTAAACATAGTCCAAAAACAGGTTGATATTCTTCTCATCAAAAAATAGGTCTATGTCTCCCTTCCCTAAATCTGGACGTGCTTGTGACTGCTACAATCAATAGAGTATGACAAATAATTCTACCTGACCTTTAAGGTGAGATAAAAAGAGACCAGGCCTTTTCCACCTGGTTCCCTTGGAGTGTTTGATCTGCGGAAAGCCAGCAGCCATATAAGAAGTTTACCCTGTGCAGGCCGGGCGCGGTGGCTCAGGCCTGTAATCCCAGCACTTTGGGAGGCCAAGGCGGGTGGATCACGAGGTCAGGAGATCGAGACCATCCTGGCTAACACGGTGAAACCCCGTCTCTACTAAAAATACAAAAAAATAGCTGGGCCTGGTGGTGGGCGCCTGTAGTCCCAGCTACTCGGGAGGCTGAGGCAGGAGAATGGCGTGAACCCGGGAGGCGGAGCTTGCAGTTAGCCGAGATCGGGCCACACCACTCCAGCCTGGGGGACAGTGAGACTCCGTCTCAAAAAAAAAAGAAAAAAAAAAAGTTTACCCTGTGCAGGCACTATAACTAAGAGTCCTTCCCATCTGAGCCTTGCCTTCCAGACAACTCCACCAATTTATAAGACAGAAAAAAAGCACCTTGCACCTTCCAGACTGACTTGTTTGCCAGCCGACTAGCACTGAGTCACCCTAGTTAATGATGTGAGAGAGGAAGAATCACTCAGATGAATCCTGCTGGAATTTCTCACCTATAGGATCCATGAGATATAATGAAGTGGTCGTTGTTTTACCTTATTAAATTTAGGGTAGTTTCTTTTTTCTTTTTCTTTTTTTTAATTTTTTTTTTTTTGAGACGGAGTCTCCCTCTGTCGCCCAGGCTGGACTGCAGTGGCGCGATCTCGGCTCACAGCAAGCTCCGCCTCCCGGGTTCACGCCATTCTCCTGCCTCAGCCTCCCGAGTAGCTGGGACTTAAGGCGCCCACCACCACCAGGCCAGGCTAACTTTTGTATTTTTAGTAGAGACAGAGTTTCACCGTATTAGGCAGGATGGTCTCGATCTCCTGAACTCATGATCCGCCCGTCTCAGCCTCCCAAACTGCTGGGATTACAGGCGTGAGCCACGGCACCCAGGCCATTTGGGTTAGTTTCTTAAGCAGCAATAGTAACTGTAACACTGACTCACTTCTACTGCCACCAATCACTATCCACTTTTCCTGATTTACTTCTTCCTATGTACCATCTTTTAAAAAACAAATAATTAGGCCGGGCTAAGTGGCTCACGCCTGTAATCCCAGCACTTTGGGAGGCTGAGGCGGGCGGATCACGAGGTCAGGAAATCGAGACCATCCTGGCTAACACGGTGAAACTCTGTCTCCACTAAAAATACAAAAAATTAGCTGGGCGTGGTGGTGGGTGCCTGCAGTCCCAGCTACTCGGGAGGCTGAGGCAGGAGAATGGCGTGAACCCAGGAGGCGGAGCTTGCAGTGAGCCCAGATGGCGCCACTGCACTCCAGCCTGGGCGACAGAGCGAGACTCCGTCTCAAAAAAAAAATAAAAATAAAAAATAAATAAAAAAAGATTTTTAATATATATATACAAGAATATGTGAAACAGTATGTTTTCAAGTTTCCATTGAATATTTTAAAAATAGATTATATAAAACCTCAATATATTTTTTAAAATAAAAACCACACAGGTCACATTACCTACTCAAAATTTAATTACATTAGAAATTAAGACAAAGTTAAAACAGGACAACCAGCACCCCTAGTATCACCCTCCTCAGAGTATTTAAAAATAGATTCCTTTAAATTATCTCTTTTTTTACAAGAATAAAATCTAATCAATTATTAGAAAGATAATCTCAAACTGAACTCAAAAGAAGAAGCAAAGCATCTTCAAAGTCAATAAGGGTGCTATAAATGCTTCTTGGACTCTGAAACTCTCTGACTTCCCATTCTACTCTCAGTTGTAGAAAACTCCCTGATTGTTAGGTTTTGGTGTGATTAGGTTAGGTTTACCCAGGTACTCCCCCCGTCTTAAGGCTGACGGATTATTAGCCTTAGTGACATGTGCAAGACTCCTTTGCCGTGTGAGGTATCAACAGGGTAACATGAGGAAATGAAGGTCATAGGGGCTATCTTAGACTTCTTCCTGCTACAACCTCTATTCACTTATTTTGAATCCTCAGAGTTTAATGAGCTCCTACTATGTTCTAGGTCCTTGCAATAGGAGTACAGCAGTGAACAAGACAAACATGGTTCTGGTCCTTGGAGTACAAAGTAAATGCTGAAAATTTAATAAATGGGTCAGTAGATAGATAGATGTATAAAGGTCTAAATGCACATTCAGAAAATAGCAGGAGAAGACTGAGACTCAGTATTATTGAATATGCTTTAAAGGCCCATGTGTCGTCTTGAATGAAAATGTTGCTCAATTTCTGATGAGGAGACTAATTCATCAATATCTGTTATCATTGACTGATGACCTCACATAATAAAAGATCTTGACTTGAGTGTACGTTAATAATCAACATAATGGGTAATGTATCAAAAGAGTATATGGAAGATAATAAAAAGATATAAATTGAAATCTTAAACAGTTTTGTGCTAAAATATGTTTAGAATTGCTTGAACCCAGGAGGCGGAGGTTGCAGTGAGCTGAGATTATGCCACTACACTCCAGCCTGGGCAACAAGATCCAACCTCCGTCTCAAACAAACAAACAAACAAACAAACAGAAACAACCCAAACAAACACAAAAAATTACTATAATTGTATCTCTTTTGACTATAGCCTGGAAGAAATCACTCTCTCCCCAACTTAAGGAAGGGGAGACTTATCTCTAGCCAAGCTTTGAGTATAAACATATAAAAAGTAATTTTCATTTTCTTGAAACTGACTGCATGAAAAGGCATATGGTGTTCCCAAAAAATGTCTGATGAGTGAGAATATTAAAATGACTAAACTGATGGGACATATTTAATTTAATATTTAAACTTGATAAAAAATAGTTAAGCATTTAACTCAAGAATTTCAAAATGGTACAGCAAAGCATACAAGCAAAATTAAAAGGAATGCTAATTACATATTAAGTTAGAAGGCAATAAATTATAAACAAAAACAGTAACAATTTATAAACATACACAAGTTCATTCTTTAACAAATAACCCATGATACAGAAAAATACAGCAAATGTGATAAAACAAAAACTGAGAAAACATAAAATTTAAAGTGAAAAAAAAAACAAAACATGCAGAAATTGTTTTAAAGACAAAAAATACTATCTTAGAAAATTAAATACGTGTTTCACTAAAATAAACATGTACTGCTTAAATGAATCTTAATTTAATTTTAAAAATAGTAAATAGGTTGCAGGCATCAATGTTTGCAAGAAATGTAAAACATTATTTTAAAAATTTTTATTAAAGTCCCTATAACCAGTGTTTTTAATAAGCATCTGTTTAAAACATCTTGTAAAATGGACCCCAGACTAGGAAATATGGATAAAGTTATAAAAAGTGGCTTCCTTTCAGTTCATTTTACAAAGCAAATATAACTATTACTAACTCTTGATGAAGTGAATACAAAAAGAATAAAATTACTAAACAGTATCCCTTATAAACATAGTTAAAATATTCTTAACTGAAAGAAAAAGGAACTGAATTCTACACTTACTAAGAAATCACCCACCCCAGTGATTTGGCATACAAAGATTTAATACTAGAAAATATGTATTAATATAATGCAACACAACAATAAAGCTATTTACCTTATATTGTACATTTACTGCTACAGACTAAATGTTTACATCCCTCTCAAATTCATATGTTGAAATGCTAACCGCCAGTGTGAGGGTTTTTGAAGGTGGGGCTTTTGGGAACTAATTAAGTCATGAGAGAGCAGCCCTCATTAATGGGTTTAGCACCCTTCTAAAGCAGCCCCCTGAACTCCCTTGCTCCTTCCCCAACTGAGGTTATAGAGAAAGGGCAGCCTTCTTTGAACTAGAACAAAAGTTTTTCCCAGACACCAGATTGGCTAGTACCTTGGTCTTAGATTTCCCAGACCCCAGAACTGTGAGAAATTCCTTTCTGTTGTTTATAAGCCACCAAGTCTATGGTATTCTGGTACAGCAGCCCATTTTTGATATTTATTTAATGATATTTAACATGCATGACTGATGAAATTTAACAAAGTAGTTATAGATATGTCCTTACCATGATTAAAAATAACTCTTAAATTGATGCATACTTTTATTATCTAGTTCTAGCCAAAGCCATAAGATGAAAACACAAATAAGAAACCACCTATATGGCACATGTATACCTATATAACAAACCTGCATGTTCCGTGCATGTATCCCAGAACTGAAAATCATATTTTAAAAAAATTTATTTATATAGAAAAAAAGAGAGCAAATGATATTTTTCAAAAACTGATAATTTAATTATGGTAAGTTCTGTGTGATATGTGCCTGATATGTGTGATATGTGTCTGATGTGATATGTGTGAGATGAAAAACACTAAGGGGGTATGTGATTTTGGGCATTCATGTGCCCATAAATCCTTGTTAGAATTAAAATATCACATTAAACCTCTCTCTTTCTTTTAATGTCCATGGTTTCTTTTATATGTTTTAGTAAGTGACACAGAGGAAAATACCGAGCGGACACCGTTTCTAAATTGGTAAACTGCCCTGAACTGCCACTTTACTCTTTTCTACAGCAAGTGTGGAAGATTAGAGTTCAGGCAAACATGTCATGTAAGTGGTGAAGATTCCCTTTTTCCACTGGGACAGCAGTAGAACTGAAGGGAAATCAGACAACAGCTACCTCAGCAGGAGAGCCTCAATGATGACACTTTTGCCTCAACAGTGGAAGCTGGTAGTTTCCAAAAATAGAGCTAAAAAGTGAATCAAGTTTTAAAGCACATTGAAAGTCACACGTAAAATTCATTATTACAGAAAAGCTATAAACCAATCACAGTAAATGAGTGAATTTAGAAATTAAATTTTAATATGAAAGGTTCATGTTGTCAAAACTGACTATGTTAGTCCATCTCAATGCTATAAAGGAATACCTGAGACTGGGTAATTTATAAAGAAAAGAGGAGTATTTGGCTGATGGTTTGCAGGCTGTACAAACAGGCCACCAGTATCTGCTCAGCTTCTGCTGAGGCCCGGGAAGCTGACAATCATGGCTTAAGGCAAAGGGGGAGCTGGCATATTACATGGGGAGAGAGGGAGCAAGGGAGATGCCAGGCTCTTTTAAACAACAAGATCTCTCGTGAATTCATAGAGCAAGAACTCACTCATTACCGGGAGGACAGCACAAAACCATTCATGGGGATCCACCCTTGGGAAACAAACACCTATTACTAGGCCCACCTCCAACACTGGAGGTCGCATTTCAACATGAGATTTGGAGGGGACAAACCATCCAAACCATATCACTAACGGAAAGTGATTGTTTAAATTGCTGTATTCAGTCCCTTGGCCTTTTTGAGAAATGCCATTCATTTCAGCCATCAAGCAAATTATTATTTGAGACATTTATACCTCTTCATCCTTTAAAAGTTTCAGAAGCATGAATTTAAAAAGTATTCATTGTAAATTTGAGGCTAGTCAAATTGATGTGGCATCTAAGTAGCACGGTGACGGGATGAGGAGACAAAGTCACGAGGGGAGGTAGGAAGAAGCAGAGAGAAAAAGAGAAATAGGAAGAGAGAAAAAGAAATGAGAGAGTATAAGAAAAATGAAGAAAGAGGAAAAGAAAAATGGTTTAAATGAGAGGCAAATGTCATCTGATGTTTTACCATGGGGCCATAGGGTATTTGAAGTTTCAGAAAATTCATAAGTTATTAAAAAATGTGACTCTAGGGTAGTGAGGTTATAACTTGTAAGAAAACAAGAAGTGATTCCTTTTAAGAGAACCTTCTTGGCCGGGTGCTGTGGCTCACGCCTGTAATCCCAGCACTTTGGGAGGCCGAGGCGGGTGGATCACGAGGTCAGGAGATCGAGACCATCCTGGTTAACACAGTGAAACCCCGTCTCTACTAAAGATACAAAAAATTAGCTGGGCGCCGTAGCGGGCACTTGTAGTCCCGGCTGCACGGGAGGCTGAGGCAGGAGAATGGCGTGAACCCGGGAGGCGGAGTTTGCACTGAGCAGAAATCGCGCCGCTGCACTCCAGCCTGGGGAACAATGGGGAACAAAGCAAGACTCCGTCTCAAAAAAAAAAAAGAAAAAAAAGAAAAAAGAAAAAGAGGAACTTCTTAAAGATGCGGTTGTCTTTCTTATGCTTCCTTTAGCTCTTTTTTACCTCTCCACGGATACAGATTTTTATACCAAATAGCTGGCATTAGCTAAACCAATGTCTAGGAGAACTGATCCTCACGAAGGAAAATCATAATTTATTATTTTTTTAATTCATGGCATTTATTTGTACAAGAAATATATTTCTATTTAAGAGAAAGTAGAAAACAAAGGAGAACAGAAACAACTTTTTTTTTTTTTTTTTTTTGAGACAGAATCTCGCTCTGTCGCCCAGGCTGGAGTGCAGTGGCACGATCTCAGCTCACTGCAAGCTCTGCCTCCCGGGTTCACGCCGTTCTCCTGCCTCAGCCTCCCGAGTAGCTGGGACTACAGGCGCCCGCCACCACGTCCGGCTAATTCTTTTGTATTTTTAGTAGAGACGGGGTTTCACTGTGTTAGCCAGGATGGTCTTGACCTCCTGACCTCGTGATCCGCCCGCCTCAGCCTCCCAAAGTGCTGGGATTGCAGGCGTGAGCCACAGCGCCCGGCCGAAAAAACTTTTTAAAATTTGTTTGGGGATCTCCCATATTTGCCAAAGTAATCCCACAAAAACAATTAACATTTGACTTTGAAAATTAAGACAAAAAATACAATGATGAATATTTTCTTGTAAAAGCAAAGACAGTAAAAATATTCAGATTTAAAATAAGCCTGAGAAAAAGCATGATTTCCTTGAGCTTACCTAAGTAAACTTATTTACAAGTGACTGTATCAATAATTAGCAAAAGTAAAAGTCATTATGAAATCCTCCAAATCTTTCAAAGTAAAGTACTATCTTACATTCAAGCATTGAGTTTGCCCATAAAATTATTTAAGCTCAACCTTTTCCTCAATCTCCAAAACTCTGGCGTGTAACTACACAAACACTTCAATAGGGGACAGAATCTCCTTTTATCATTCATTCTACCAAACATCAACTTCATAAGAATTAGAATCAAGTGTAATAAGAATGAACTATATAGAATCATTGATATAAATTTATAGGTGTTCAGACATAACCTTTAGACATATTTGTCAGTGTACATGTAAACAATACTCAATAACTTCTTTAATAGAGTTCTCCAGAGAAACAGAACCAATTGGATGTGGGTATATAACTCAGTTATATATTTCATCAGCTTCCTTTTTATGTAATAGAAACTAACTACAGCTAATGATGAATTTTTTTCATTCATTCATCATTAAAAGGGGAGAGAGAAATCCAGGCTGGGTTTGTGCCATTTTTCTTCCCTCACAGTTCTCTTCTTGCTGCATGATTCTTCCTTTCAGATATTAACCAGAAGGAATGGTTAGCCTGACTATAGCTCTAGAGGAGCAACACAGGCTCTGGATAATGAGGATGCACAGGCTTTAATCAGTCCTAGCAGGAGGTCTTGGCTTAGACAACTATGTAGTTGATGGTATCCCTATAGGAAAAAAAAAAATATATATATATATGTTTTTGTGGTAGCAGGACAGAGTCAGTTTCAGACATTTGTTCAACAACTGTTGGTGTTCAACATATATTAGTATTTTGCACTAGGTACTATGTGCTAAAAGTATAGTAAGGAATAAAAATAGGGAAATAAACAAAAACAAAATAAAGAAACAGAGAAAATTCCTATTACCCTTTAGGAAAAACAACATAAAATAAAGTAACAGAATCTAGAAATAGAGAATAACAAGATAGAAGCCTACTATATACCACCATTATCAACCTGTCAAAATAAACATTGTCAGTAATGAGACAAAATGGAATCATGTACCACCTGATAGGATGCAATGAAAAAAACGCAGCATCAATTCTGTGATATTCTTGCCAAAATGCATTGCCTGACTCTAGTCACAAGGAAACCTCAGAAAACCTAAAGGGAGCCATTCAAAAAAGAAGGAAGGGAAAAGGAAAAAGTAAGGGAAAGAGGAGAGGAGAAGGAAGGGGAGGGGGAAGGGAAGGGGAGAGGGAAGAGAAAAAGGAAGGGGAAAGCGAAGGAGAAAGGAAAGGAGAAAAGGAAGGAGAAGCAAAGCAAAGGAAAAAAAGAAGAAAATATGGGCCAGAAATCTTGGTTAAGTTAGGTCTAAAGATCTATTCTTGATACAAGGACATTAAAAAGACATGACAATGAAAGGCAATGCATGATTCTGAACTTGATCCTTTTGCTATGAAACATTATTGGGACTATTGGTGAATTTTTTTTTTTTTTTGAGACGGGGTCTCCGTCTGTCGCCCAGCCTGGAGTGCAGTGGCGCGGTCTGGGCTCACTGCAAGCCTGGCCTCCTGGGTTCACGCCATTCTCCTGCCTCAGCCTCCCGAGTAGCTGGGACTACAGGCACCCACCACCACGCCCGGCTAATTTTTTCCTTTTTTTTTTTTGTATTTTTAGTAGAGACGGGGTTTCACCGTGTTAGCCAGGATGGTCTTGATCGCCTGACCTCGTGACCCATCCGCCTCGGCCTCCCAAAGTGCTGGGATTACAGGCGTGAGCCACCGTGCCCGGCTGACTATTGGTGAAATTTTAATGCGGACTTGATAATTAGATGTAGCAATATATTAATATTAATTTTCTGGTTTTGTTCGTTGTACTGTGCACGTATTGCATTTGGGGGGGCACATATATTACTGTAATAGATTTGTAATATATAGAATTATATATATGTATATACATATATAGACACAATTGTGTTTGTAGAAAATATATATGAAAGCAAGGTTTTTCAACTTTGGCACTATCGCTTCTGACATTTGGGCCACATAATTCTTTGTTGGGGGCATTTCCTGTGAATTGCAGGATGTTTAGCGACTTGGTTTGCCTTTAATAACTAAATGACAGTAGCATCCTCCTCACACCTTTCCCCAGGCTAACAACTAAAAATATCTTGAGATATTATCAGATGTTTCCTGGAGGGCAAAACTCCCCCTGGTTGAGAATCAGTCTACTAAAGTATTTGGAGATGACAGAGCATCAGGTTCGTTTCTATATATTATTAAAGTATCTTTCAAAGTTGAAGGTAAAATTAAGACATTTTCGGAAAAATTAAATGGGCCAATTTGTCACCAGCAAATCTGTACTACAAAACATGCTAGCAGAAGTTTTTTGGCCTGAAGGGAAATAACATCGAATCTAAACTCCAGATTAGAGGAAATGAAAAGCATAGAAATGGTAAGTATATGAGTAACAGGAAATACTTTTTTTTAATCTGTCGATTTTGTTGAAGGGAAACTGACTATTTAAATTTAAAAAGATATCATTTTATTGTGGGGTTTATGATGTGGATAGAAAAACTTATACTAAAAAAAATCACAAAAGACAGAGGGGGAATAAAGGAAATGTTACCGTCATCAGTTTTTGTTGTTGTTGTTTTGGGTTTTTTTAATAGACTTTATTTTTAGGGCAGTTGTAAGTTCACAGCAAAATTGAAAGAAAGATACAAAGATTTCTCATACATCATTGTGTCCACACAGGCACAGCCTGACCCCTTGCTGTCATTCTCCTCTGGAGTGGCACATTACTTACCGCTGATGAACCTGCACTGGCACATCCTTATCACCAAGGTCCATAGTTATATTAGGGTCCACGCTTGCTGTCATACATTCTATGAGTTTAGGCAAATTCATATACCAGTATAGTATCATGCAGAATAGTTTTCTGCCCTGAAAGTCTTCTGTGCATATGAATAGGATAGGTGGAGCACAGATCACTTTTTAGGAAAATGTTGCCTTGTTTTGATTTGACAAAGTAGGCAACACTATCAATCACTGGAGAGAATGTAAAAATAGAACAGATGTCATCAGTTTTTTACATTATATATGAAGTTGTCAAAAATTACCTCGAAGTAAAATTTAGATTAGTTAAGTATAAATTGATGATTATTGTAATACAAATAACTCAATACAAAAAAGCGTTGCAACTAACTCATCTATGCAATTTAAAATGAATACTTAAAATACAATTAAACAAAAATACGAGAAGAGAAACAAGAGATTGTACAGTTTTTAAAAGTGGCAACACATTTCATTTAACATATTTATGAACTAAATTATTCAATTACAAGGTAGAGACTGTCATATTAGACAAAAGAATGAGACCCAACTAATGTTGTCTACCAGAAACATATATTAAACATAAAGACACAGATAGATGAAAAGTAAACCTACAAGAAAAGATAAACCATATACACAGCAAGCATTAGGAAGCTTGTGTGGCTATATTAGCAAAATGCAATGTAGACTGGAAAAGAGGGTGCATTATAAGAGAAAATGGGGGCATTTCATAATTATGAAATAACCAATTCATCGGAGGACAATAATATAAGCAATATTATTGTCCTCCGATGAATTGGTTATTATATTATTGTCCTAATATGACATATATGTCCATAATTATGAAATGCCCCCATTTCATAATTATGAAAGGGACACCAACTTAATAATAAAGCCTCATAATTCATGAAGGAAAAAGCAGAATTGAAGGGAGAAATGGATAAATGACAATAATAATTAAAGATTTTAACATCCCTCTGTTCATCACTGATTGAACAGTAAGACAAACCATTCGTATGGCTATAGAACATTTCAACTTCATTATAAATCACCTTGATCTTATTGACATTTATAAAAACTACATTTCAAATGCTGAATATACGTTGTTTTCTTGTGTATTGAAAGCACCACCAACATAGGCCAAATGCTGAATCAAAGAGTAAGTTTAAATGAATTTAAGCTTTAGATTTTATAGAATATATTCTCTGATCACAATAAAATTTAATTTGAAATCGATGACATAAGAGATTCCTAGGAAACCCCCAAATAGTTGTAAATAACATGAAACACTATTTAACTCATAGTTCATAAAAGAAATCAAAAGATAATTTAGAAAAAATATGAAATAAGGAAAACAGTATATTAAATAAACATCTGCACCTAGATGTTTATTGCAGCACTATTCACAATAGGCAAGATATGGAATCAACCTAAGGGTCCAGCAACAGATGATGGTTAAAGAAAATGTGGTATATAGGCCGGGCACGGTGGCTCACGCCTGCAATCCCAGCACTTTGGAAGGCCAAGATGGGTGGATCACTGGAGGTCAGGAGTTCGAGACTAGCCTGGCCACCATGGTGAAACCCCATCTCTACTACAAATATAAAAATTAGCTGGGCATGGTGGCACGTCCCCAGCTACTCGGGAGGCTGAGGTGGAAGATCACTTGAATCCGAGAGGCAGAGGTTACAGTGAGCCAAGATCACACCATTGCACTCCAGAGCAAGACTCCATCTCAAGAAGGGAAAGGAAGGAGAGGGGAGGGGAGAGGAGGGGAAGGGAGGGGACAGGAGGGGAAAAGGAATAGATACACAATGAAGTACTATTCGGCCATAAAAGCAACGTGCATAGAAATGGAGTGTATTATGTGAGTGAAATGAGCCAAGAAGAGAAAGTTAAACATTACAGCTTCTCACTCATATGTGGAAGCTAAAATATTTTGATCTTATAGAAGTTAAAACAGAGGATGCTAGAGGCTGGAAAGTATAAGAGGGAGGGAGGGATAGGGAGAGATTTGTTAAAAGATTCAAAATTAAAGCTAGATAGGAGGAATAAGTTCTAATGCTCTATACCATTATGGTATGACAATAGTTAACAATAATATATAGCTTCAAATAGTTAGGAAAGGATATTGAATGTTCCCAAAACAAAGAAATGATAAATGTTTGCAATGATGGATATGCTAATTACCATCACCTCATCAGGGTAATTAAATATATACACTA
Organism: Homo sapiens; assembly: GCF_000001405.40. NCBI lineage: Eukaryota > Metazoa > Chordata > Mammalia > Primates > Hominidae > Homo > Homo sapiens. The sequence goes on along the minus strand of NT_187603.1, from coordinate 284,930 downwards.
TGAGTACTGAAACATCACTATGTACCCATAAATATGCACAATTATTATGTGCCAATTAAAAAAATAAAATAAAACAAAATTATGATAATAAAAGCTTCATATTTGTGGTGTAGAGTTAAATTGAGAGGGTAATTTATTATTTGAAATTCTTCTATTAGAAAAATACATAGGTTTAAAAGTCAATGAAAAAATAAACAAATAAAACGTAATTTGAAAAAATAAAATAACAGGTAATGAAAGAAATAAATGAAATTGAAAGTAAATAAATTCACAAAGTGAAAAGTTCCTTTGAAAAAATCAGTAAAGTTGTTACATACTAGTAAGACTAAGAAAAAAGGACTGATAAAAGAAGAAATATCATTACAGAACCTCTATATTTAAATGATAATAACTATTATGAACAATTCCATACTCAAGAATTTGGCAGCTTAAAGTTCTTTAAAGAGACAAATTACCAAAGCTTATTTAAGAACAAATTCATAATGTGAATTTTTCTGTATCTATATGTATCCATATAGTCTAGGTTTTCTAATTTCTGGCCTATGGTTGCTCATAGTAGCCTCTAATGATCCTTACAATTTCAACAAAGAAATTCAGAAGAAATTGAAAAATTTATTGAAGCAGATAAAAACGGCAACACAACATACCAAAACCTATGGGATACAGCAAACAGCAGTAGTAAGAGGGAAATTTATACCTATAATTTCCAAGATCAAAAAAGTGAAAAACCTCAAATAAATAACCTGATGATACATCTTTTTTTAAGGTCACTATAAATTTTAATCTATGATATAAAATATTACCTACAGATATAATTGAACATCAGGTATCAGAAAATAAAACATAACAATGAAATGCAATTTTGTAAATACTTCTATGGTACAAGCATTATTTTCCTCAGATTCAACCTTTTAATTGTGTTTTGTTTGCTTTCTGAAAATCACACTTTATAAAGAACACAAGTAGAGCTTGTTAAAATGATTGTCACAGATGTACTGTTTACTAATTCAAAAAATACTACATTCATTCGCTCATATCAATTTTATTCATTAATTATGAAGAAGAAAATATAATATTCCATGCTTGTCATGAAATAGCGGTTTCTTCTTCCAGTCTAATCAGGGAACTAATAAATGCTTAGTTCATGGCAAAACTTCCATTTGATTTACATTGACTTAATTACCTCTTAGGGTCTAGCCTCATCAATGGAGAAAAAGCACTTTTTCTTGAGGCAACAGCACATTAACAGCACTGAATACAAAATATGGCAAATTCAATGGCTGTCAGCATTGCTTTAGGAATTTTGAGACTATAAAAAAACTATAACCATGAATAAAAGAAAAGGGCTTATTAATATCTTCTTTTTGGGAGAGTGATACATTCTGAAGGTTTCTTGTTATTCTGTTGAATAGCAAGGACTTCCAAACTTAAGTGTCTTAAGGCTGAAAATTAGTTACATTCCTCAGATTTTAGCCTTATTAATGAAATTCCAAAAGTATTATAAGATTTAGTATGTCTTGAAATTATAAATTTGTAACAGATATTTTTCAAAATACATGCCTTCAAACAACTTAAATGCAAAAATCATTCATTCTTAATAATACCTAGCAGTTCATCCCTTGCTTCCCAGAAGTACTCATACAAACATGTGAATTTAAAAAATAGATTTTTCTGTTCAAAAAATAAAGCTTCTGCCCTTTTAAAAACTTGTCAGGCTTTCATTTGCCAAAATGTTGAAAACTGCACATATTCAAACATAGTTCCCGTAGGAACACATATTCCTCAACTCTCACACCTTTGAAGACACAGGAGACGGGCAATATAAATGTTCCCTTCTTTCCAGCTGATGTTAAATAGTTAGGTTTGCTTCATGAGATTATCGGAATAAAGGGTTAAATTTTCATTTTCCATTACTCTATCTAGTAAAATTAGACTTAAAGTAGGTAGAATACTACCAGAGGAATTACACAGTGATTGGCAAACTGGCCTAAAATAATCAGGCTTTTTATTTATACTTCCCTTTTTAAAGTTGTCATTTGACAACAGCTTCCATCTTTAACAGCAGGCAAAAGAAAATGAGGTGCCATGCTATATTAATTAAAATATTCCACAATGAAAGAAAATACAAAACCTGAAAATAACTTCAGTGCTATAGACATTTAAAAAGTTACAATGGTTAAAACTCTGAATAAAAAGATCTTGAGAACAGGTACATTTCAAAGCAATATTTTACACGCTTTGGAAAAAATAGCTATTTTTCAAATAACTTGATATATGGTTTACATATTTCATGCAGTCTCTGAGGTTTTTTTTCTCTACAATACTGTTTTGCATTAAAGTCTCTCATGTTGTTTACCAGTAATTGTTTCCTTAGGCTGAAATAAAACTTTGCTTGTTCATTAGTTTTCTGTATATCCCATTTGGTTTTGAAAGCAGCTCTTCGTGTTTTCCATATTCAGTAATTTTTCCTTGGTCAAGAACAGCAACCATATTAGCATTCTTAATGGTGGAGAGATGATGGGCAATAACTAACGCTGTTCTTCCATCCATCAGTGGATCTAGAGCTTCTTGAACAAGGTACTCATTTTCAGCATCCAGCGCACTGGTTGCTTCATCTAGGAGAAGAATTTTGGGATTCTTCAGCAGAGCACGGGCAATTGCAATCCGCTGTTTCTGCCCACCTGAGAGGAGAACACCCTTTTCTCCAACCACAGTGTTGAACCCTTGGGGGAAATTCCGGATCAAGACCACTGCATTGGCCACTTCAGCCACTCTCTGGACTTGCTCAGCGGTCACAGAGGAAGGCCATCAGCACCATAAGCAATGTTCTCAGTGATAGAGCAAGAAAACAAAATGGGTTTCCTGTCTCACTGTCCCAATCTTGGATCTCAGCCACACTGGGTTTAGCTGACGGATGTCATGGCCATCAAGACTGATAGTTCCAGAAGCAGGGTCGAACAACCTCAGCAGGAGCGAAAGCACTGTTGATTTGCCAGAACCACCTGGGCCAACCAGTGCCGTGACAGATCCTGACGGAATGGAAAGGCTGAAATCCTGAAATATGGGCGCCTCTGGGCAAGCGGGATCGGCAAAATGCACGTTCTTAAACTCCAAAGCACCCTGGAAGCTTTTCTCATTTAAGATAACCCTTCCCCCTCCTTAAAAGGCAGATTGGGCTCTCTCTCCAGGAGCTCCCAGAGGCGCCCCCCGGCACCCAGTCCTTTCATCAGCTCCGAGTAGAAAAAGCTCAGACCTCCAATGCTTATTCCAACCCCGAAAGCATACATAGGAAGGAAGAGAGTTCACCCATGGTCATGTGGGCACTGCCCATCAGCAGCCCCCCTTTGTACAGGACAGAAAGCACAATCAGGTTTCCGGACAGCCTAGTTCTCCAAAGAAGCCAGCCTGAGCGAATGCCGCTTTCCTTGCTGACTACATCACATGGTCCACTTTGCTGGCCTATTTTTCTATTTCAGTCATTTCTTTCCCAAAAGCTCGAACAGTTCTTAACATTTCCAATACGTTCCTCCTGAGTGGCTTGTGCCAGCGAATCCTGGGTGACTTTGGTCAGTTTCCGTAGATATCGTCCATAAATTACATCAATGATTGACACTAGAGGCACCACACTCACAACAAAGGTGGCCCGATTAGGTGAGACACAAAACATCGTCCTGATGCCTACAGAAGCCCGGGCCCCGGCCCTGAGCCCATCTGAGAGGTTTTCAGTCACTGAGCGCCCCAGGAGTGCAGTGTCCGATGAGAGGCGGTTAATCAATTCCCCTGTGCCAGCCTTGTCAGAGAAAGCAACCTCCTGCCCCAGAATGGAGGAGAATAACGAAGTTCTCAGCCTCTTCACAACGCGCTGACGTGAAGTTTGCATGAGGTAGACACGAATGGCATTGGCGGCAGCACCACACAGAAACACGCCACTGAGGCCAAGGCAGAGGCGGGTCAGGTTGTCGCTGTAGTCCACAGTGGGGTTGGTATAGATGGCATCGATGATCTTCCCCAGGAAGAAAGGGGCAGACATGGAGATAACACCGGACATCGGAGAAATCCAACCGCAGCTGCCAGCCTCTGGCGCTCAGGGAACTCCAGCCCCAGGAGCTTCCCGGCCTCCGAGAGTCCGGGCGCCATGGGTCGTAGCCGCTGGTCGTCCCGGGAAGGCGCCGCCCGCCCGCTCCGCCAGGCCTCCTCCCCTGCCCAGGCAGTGGCGGTGGGACCGCCCGGGAACCCGGCGCGCGGGAGCCGAGGAGCGCCCGGCCGGCAAGAGCCCCGCACCTGCAGCTGCCGGGCCCAAGCCCACAGCCCCGGGAGCCGTCCGAGGCCCGCGTGGCCCCCCGAGCCGCCCAGACCCCCGCCCCGGCAGCAGCTCCTCCAGCGGCGCGCGGCTCCAACGCCCCAGAGCAGCGCCGGCCCCGCGCCCCATAGCCGCGCCAGCCTCGGGGCAGTGAAGGGCGATATGGACTGGGGGCGCGGCTGGCCGGGGCCCACACACAGGCTACCGGCAGGAGCCGCCCTGGCTCTGCGGGGCCCGTGGCGCCGATACATCTTAAAAGAACTAGAAAAGCAAGAATAAACCAGACCCAAAATAAGTATAGAAGAAAGGAAAGAATAAAGATAAGAGCAAAAATTAATGAAATTGAAATGAAAAAATACAAAATATGAACAAAACGAAAAGTTCGTTTTTTAAAAAAGATAAACCAAACCAGTAACCTTTAGCCACACTAAAAAAAAAACAAAAAACCCTAAATAAATAAAATCAAGATGAAAACGGGGACATTTTCATTGATACTGTAGAAATTCTAAGGATCATTAGAGGCTAGTATGAGCAACTATAGACCAATAAATTAGAAAATCTAGAATAAATGGATACTTTCCTAGATACATACAACCTAGCAAGAATGAACCACAAAGAAATCCAAAACCTGAAAAGACCAATAAGTAGTGAGACGGAAACAATTTTCCCAGGAAAAGCCGGGTGCAGTGGCTCACGCGTGTAATCCCAGCACTTTGGGAAGCCGAGGCGGGCGGATCACGAGGTCAGGAGATGGAGACCATCCTGGCTAACACGGTCAAACCCCGTCTCTACTAAAAAAAATACAAAAAAAAAAAAAAAATTAGCTGGGCATGGTGGCGGGTGCCTCTAGTCCCAGCTACTCAGGAGGCTGAGGTAGGAGAATGGCGTGAACCTGAGGGGCGGAGCCTGCAGTGAGTCGAGATCAGGCCACTGCACTCCAGCCTGGGCGACAGAGCGAGACGCCCTCTCAAAAAATAAAAAAAAGTTTCCCGGGAAAGAAAAGCCCAAGACCCGACGGCTTTACTCCTGAATTTTACCAAATATTTTTAAAAGTAGCACAAAATGCAGCAGCAGGATTCTCCTGCCCCAGCCTCCTAAGTAGCTGGGGCTACAGGTATGCACCACCACGCCTGACTAATTTAAAACTGTTTTTGTAGAGACAAGATCTCACTATGTTGCCCAGGCTGGTCTCAAACTCCTAGGTAAAATGATCCTCCCACCTCTGCCTCCCAAAGTGTTAAAATTGCAGGCATAAGCCAATTTTTTTTTTTTTTTTTTTTTAGTAGAGACGGGTTTGACCGTGTTAGGCAGGATGGCCTCGATCTCCTGACCTTGTGATTTTCAAAGCTGTTCGAGGGCATTTATCAGGCTTTTAACTCTAGGTACTCTTTCCCACAGTGTGAAGGCCAAGAGAAGGGATCCTGGGCTCTCTTCCCTGGCCCCAGGATGGGAATTCAGGGGGAAAAGGTCACCTATTCTCCTATTCTTATCCCACAAAAGAAAACTTATGCATCAGTTGTCAAGCTAAGGAGCTTCAGAGTCCACAAATAGGGAAATTGCTAAGAGCTTATCAGTAGTGTCCACTACCCATCCCCACCTGGGGTCACGTGGAGAATGATGGTGGGGGCGACGATCTTGTCCTACTTCAGGTGAAAAGCAGGGGTGTGGGGGGGTTTCATTGTGAAGGGCTCCTTTGTTAAAATTCCTTCCAATTCCAGGAAAAACATGCACTCGAAAGCCATTATCTCTTTTACTTCTTACTAGGGAACTTCCAGGAAAGAGACGGGGGGGGGGTGGGGGGTGGGGGGTGGGGAAGAAGAGGGCAAAACAGCTGCAGTGAATGTAGTCACCTCTCCGATTGCTTTTCTTGTTGCAGAATATTTCACATGCCAGGATTTTCCTTCTTGTCCTCCGGACTGTTGATACACCCAACATCTTAATACGCTTTCAATCACAAGTTAAAGACATCCAGAGCCAGATTGCTTGAGCCTAGGAGTTCCAGACCGGCCTGGACAACATGGTGAAACCCAGTCATATATATTTTTTTTTAGGGGGAAATTTGCTCTTGCTGTCCAGGCTGGAGTGCAGTGGCGAGGTCTCAGCTTGCCAGACCTCCGTCTCCGGGGTTTGGGTGGTTCTCCTGCCAAAGCCTCCCGAGTGGCTGGGATTGCGGTGTGAGCCACCATGCCCGACTAATTCCTTAACTGTGCAACTACAAGGTCACTAAACAAATAAACTCAAGTCACAAAACATATTTTTCCTTAAATAGTAAAAAATAATATAATGCATGTTTCAATTAAATAACAATCTTTGTTTCTCGCTTCTATAATATACTTCTCCCTGCACAGATCTCCCCCTTCGCCCCACATAATGCTTGAAAGGTAACTCTTGGTTCAGTGCTCAATCCTTTAAATGTTAATCCGACTGGGCCGGTGCACCTAAATAATTAATAAATGTCCTCCTAAACCCCATGAGTCTATCTAATTCCTTAAAAATCCCTCTACAGGACTGCAGGTGTGAGCCACTGCACCCCGCCTAATTTATTAATCAGAGAGGAATAGATCGGCCTGGCGTGGTGGCTCACGCTTGTGATCCAGGGACTTTGGATGATGGAGCACTGGGGATCACTTGAGCCTAGGAGATCCAGACTGGCCTGGGCAACATGGTGGAACTCGGTCTCTCTCTTTTTTTTGTTTTTTTGGAGGCAGAGTTTTGCTCTTGTTGCCCAGGCTGGAGTGCAGTGGTGCAGTCTCGGCTCCCTGCCACCTCCACCTCTTGGGTTTGGGTGGTTCTCCTGCCTCAGCCTCCCTAGTGGCTGAGATTGCAGGTGTGAGCCACCATGCCCGGCTAATTTTCTTTTTTTTTTTCTTTTGGTACACACAGGGTTTCTCCCTGTTGGTCAGGCTGGTCTCAAACTCAGGACCTCAGGTTATCCGCCTGCCTTGGCTTCCGGGGATGCTGGGATTGCAGGCGTGAGCCAGCGCGCAAGGCCCAATTGATTAATCAGAAAAAAATAAATCAGCCTGGCGTGGTGGTTCACGCTTGTGATCCCAGGACGTCGGACGGCCGAGCGCTGGGGATCACTTGAGCCTAGGAGTTCCACACCGGCTTGGGCAACATGGTGAAACCCGGTCTCTCTTTTTTTTGGCGGGGGGGGTACAGGCAGGGTTTCTCCATATTCATCAGGCTGGTCTCAAACTCCCGACCTCAGGTTATCTGCCCACCTCCTCGGCCTCTGGGGATGCTGGGATTGCAGGCGTGAGCCAGCGCGCCCGGTCCAGTTTATTAATCATAAAGGACTAGATCGGCCTGGCATGGTGGCTCACGCTTGTGATCCCAGGAATTTGGACGGCAAGCGCGGCGGATCACTTGAGCCTAGGAGTTCCAGACCTGCCTGGGTAACATGGTGAAACCTGGTCACTTTTTGTTTGTTTTGAGGCGGAGATTCGCTCTTGTTGCCCAGCCTGGAGTGCAGTGGTGAGGTCTTGGCTCAACGGGCCTCCGCCTCCAGGGTTTGGGTGGTTCTCCTGCCACAGCCTCCCGAGTGGCTGGGATTGCACGCGTGAGCCACCATGCCCAGCTCATTTTGTTTTTTGTTTGTTTTTGTTTTTATTGTTGGAGATGGGGTTTCTCCATGTTCATAAGGCTGGTCTCAAACTTCCCACCTCAGGTTATCCGCCCGCCTCGGCGTCCGGAGGTGCTGGGATTGCAAGCGTGAGCCAGCGCGCAAGGCCTAATCTATAAATCAGAAAGGAATAGGGCCGGGGATCCCTTGAGCCTAGGAATTCCAGACAGGCCGGGGCAACACGGTGAAACCCGCTCTCTCTTTTTTTTTTTTTTTTTTTTTTTTTTTTTTGCGGCAGTTTCACTCTTGTTGCCCGGTTGGAGTGCAGTGGCGCGGTCTCAGCTCCCCGCAGCCTCCGCTTCCCGGATTTGGGTGGTTCTCCTGCCTCAGCTTACCAAGTAGCTGAGATTGCAGGCATGAGCCAACATGCCCAGCTCTTTTTGTATTTTTTTTTTTTTTTTTTTTTTTGGTATAGACGGGGTTTCTCCCTTCGTCAGGGTAGTCTCAAACTCCTGACCTCAGATTACCCGTCTGCTTCGACCTCCCGGGGTGGTGGGATTGCAGGCGTGAGCCACCATGCCCAGCTTATTTTTTTTTCTTTTTTGGTAGAGACGGGTTTCTCCATGTTGGTCAGGCTGGTCTCAAACTCCCGACCTCAGGTGATCCGCCCGCCTCGGCCTCCCAGGGTGGTGGGGTTGCAGGAGGGAGCCACCGCGCCGGGCGCAATTTATTAATGAGAAAGGAACAGATGGGCCTGGCGTGGCGGCTCATGCTTGTGATCCCAGGACTTCCGATGGCCGAGCGCTGCGGATCGCTTGAGCCTAGGAGTTACACGCCGGCCTGGGCAACATGGTGAAACTCAGTCTCTCTCTCTCTCTCTCTTTTTTTTTTTTTGAGAGGGAGTTTCACTCTTGTTGCCCAGGCTGGAGTGCAGTGGCAGGGTCTCAGCTCCCCGCAGCCTCAGCCTCCCGGGTTTGGGTGGTTCTCCTGGCTCAGCCTCCCGAGTGGCTGGGATTGCAAGCGTGAGCCACCATGCCCTGCTAATTTTTTTTTTTTTTTTTTTTTTTTTTTGGTAGAGATGGGGTTTCTCCATGTTACTCAGGCTGGCCTCAATCTGACCTCAGGTTATCCGCCCGCCTCAGCCTCCCGGGGTGCTGGGATCGCAGGCGTGAACCACCGCAACCGGCCCAATTTTTAATCAGACAGGAATAGATCGGCCTGGCGTCATGGCTCACGCTTGTGATCCTAGGATTTTGGACGGCTGAGTGTGGCAAATCGCTTGAGCCTAGGAGATCCAGACCCGCTTGGGCAACATGGTGAAACCTGTTTTTTTTTTTTCTGAGACGGAGTTTCCCTCTTGTTGCCCAGGCTGGAGTGCAGTGGCGCGGTCTCGGCTCGCCGGGCCTCCGCCTCCCGGGTTTGGGTGATTCTCCTGCTTCAGCCTCCTGAGTGGCTGGGATCAAGGGCGTGAGCCACCAAGCCTGGCTACTTTTATTTATTTATTTATTTATTTATTTATTTATTTATTTAGGTTGAGATGGGGTTTCTCCATGTTGGTCGGGCTGGTCTCCTGCTCCTCACCTGGGGAGATCCGCCGGCCTCGGCCTCCAGGGGTGGTGCGATTGCAGGCGTGAGTCACTGTGCCTGGCCGGAAACCCAGTCCCTTAACGGAAAAACAAAACAAAAACCACAAAGATTAGCCAGACCTGGTGGGCCCCCCTGGGTACTCCCAGCTACCCTGAAGGCTGATGCAGGAGGATTGCTTGAGCCCGGGGTGGAGGTGGCAGTGAGCCATGATGGCGCTGCTGCAGTCCAGACTGGGTGATAGAGCAGGACTGTGTCTCAGGAAAAGGGAAAGGAAAAAAAGAATAATAAAGAAAAAGAAGTATATAAAATTGCTAAATCCAGGAACAGCTTCACAGTATATTGAGAGAAATAGAGGCAAAGGTTAGCAGACACCAATGTTCACTTAGTGGAACTGCAGTTGTCCCCAGACAGGAGGCTGCTACTTTTACAAAAGAAATCTATTATTGACAAAAAAAAAAAAAGGTGGTTTGTTACAATACACAAATAGCTAAACTTTATATAGCCACGACCCTCTTCTAGCACTGCTCTAAGCCTTTTCCTGCTCTGGAATAGCTACTATTGTTACCTCCATTGTAGAGAAAACAGATGGGGGAGGTTGTTGTGGAAGGACCAGGGAAACTGACTATGAAATTGACTTGTAAGTTGAGGACTTAAAGGTTCTTCCTGCTTTGCTCCTTACATTGCCACATTTTAGTTAACATACCTCTTAAAATACTGGTCCTTTCTGTATTTGGAGGGACTCCTCTTGCAGTTTGAAGTTTTTTCTTACACTAAGCATCTGGTTAGAAGATCATCTCCATTTTATGTCAGTTTAAGTTTAGACATTGTTCAGTAAGGAATGTAAATATGAGCAAACAGTTATCTGATTGAAATAGATAAACTAGAAAAAAAGTCACCTATGAGAAAGTCAACAAAATGTCAACTCTGGATTTGTGGCTATTTTCAGAATATTAATTTTTTGATATTTAATGGCATTGTGAATATATTTATTTTTAAGAATTCCTTGTCTTCTACAGATACATATAAGGTAATTAAAAATGATAGGATGTATAGGTTTTACTTCAAAATCATTCAGAGGAAGAAGGAATGTATATAAATGAAGTGGGAATATAAATGAAACAAAACTGGCTGTGGCCAGGTGTGGTGGCTCACGCCTGTAGTCTCAGCACTTTGGGAGACCGAGGCAGGTGGATCACCTGAGGTCAGGAGTTCAAGACCAGCCTGGCCAACGTGGTGAAACACCATCTCTACTAAAAATACAACAATTAGCCGGATGTGGTGCCGGGTGCCTGTAATCCCAGCTACTCGGGAAGCTGAGGCAGGAGAATCGCTTGAACCTGGGAGGTGGAAGTTGCAGTGAGCCAAGATCATGCCACTGCACTCCAGCCTGGGCAACCACAGCAAAATCCCACCTTTAAAAACAAACAAACAAACAAAAAACAACCAAAAAAAAAAAAAAACTGTCCATACCATGAATGAAAAATTGTTGATGATGTGTATATGTAGGGCAATTATATCATTTATTATATATAATATATATATTATTTTTCTCAACTTTTTTTTACATCTGAAACTTTCTATTGAACACATGGACATGTCCCTTGATAACTGGGGCTGCTTCCCCATTATTCTCTCAGCAGCCCTTCTGATTTTCACTCCATCTTCATTCTTAGAGATTCTGGATTTTATTTTTTTTTGGGGGAAGTTCAAGTATGTCTTTGCAAGGATTATCCAGCATGTCTACCTACTCAATCATATTATCAGAAACAGAAAAAGTGTCCAGATTCTTGTCTTGTCCTGTTCAGATTTTTTAAATTCCAAGAACAGTCACCTTCTACCAGACACTCTGATGTTGGAAGACAAAGCATATTTGGTAAGTGGCATGATTTCTGGGCTCCGATTTAGAACAGTCACAGCTTTCAACAATCCAAAAATAGCTGACTGTGACTCACCATATTTAGAAAGATGGAGATTATTAAAAAAAGAAAACCTTAATTTATTATGTGACCGCTAAGTGTCTCGGCTGAAAATTGTAAAGATAGAAAGGTAAATCAAAAGATACAGAGACTGTAATCATGCAGTTAATAAAGCGCTAAATCAAAATGTATTTGGCATATGTGAAAGAGTTTAATTTTATCCCATTTTCTACTGGCACTATAGGTATTTGTAAGTACATATAAAACTACAGTGTTACATATAAACTACCAAAAAGGAACTTAAGAAACGAGACTAATCTAGCAACTTTATTTAAAAGTTTATCTTAAGGGAATAATTAAGGATGTCCATACAAAAGGATTTAGCCATGACACGAGAATGTTCTTCCTGGCAAATCAATGGAAATTATTAAATGTGCAAAAGGGAACTGTTGGAATAAATTCTAATGCCTTCATATGATCGTATGTCGTAACCTTTTAAAATGATATTAAAGAGTTGCATACATTGACTTAAACAGATATTCATAACACATCACTGAATAGGAGAAATACGGGCCAGCAAAGAACATAGAGTTGGTCCAATTTCTACAAAAAAAAGTAGACTAATAGCATGACAGCAGGGAAGGGGGAATATGTCAATGTATGTGTGTATATATATGTATGCATAGCAAGTATGAACTTGAAAGGATATATATCAAATTGTTTACACAGATTACCTCAGAGAGGTAAATAACTGGCCTTTGGTGTTCTGTGTTCCATAGATTCTGAATTTTCTTTTTTTATTTAAATAGAGATGGGATCTTAGCCAGGAGCAGTGGCTCACACCTGTAATCCCAGCACTTTGGGAGGCTGAGGAGGGCGGATTGCTTAAGGCCAGGAGTTCAAGACCAATCTGGCCAACATGGCAAAACTCTGTCTCTACTAAAAATCCAAAAATTAGCCAGGCGCAGTGGCTTATGCCTATAACCCCAGGTACTCGGGAGGCTGAGGCATAAGAATTGCTTGAACCAGGAGGCGGAGGTTGCAGTGAGCAGAGATTGCACCACTGCACTCCAGCTTAGGCAACAGACCGAGACTCTGTCAAAAAATAAAAACAAAACAAAACACCACCACCAACAACAAAACAGTAATAAAGAGAAAATCTTATGGACAGGAGCAATGTCTCATGCCTGTAACCCCAGTGCTTTGGGAGGCCAAGATGGGAGAATCGCTTGAGCCCAGGAGTTCAAGACCAGCATGGGCAACATAGCAAGACCTTTTCTCTACAAAAAATTTAAAAATTAGCCAGGCATAGTAGTGCATGCTTATACTCCCAGCTACCTGGGAGGCTGAGGTGGGAGGATCACTTGAGCATGAGAGTTGGAGGTTGCAGTGAACTGTGATCACACCACTGGGAAGCCATGACCCCATCCCTGCCTTCTTCCTCTGTCCTATGCTAGCAATAAGTAAGTTTCCCAGCCACAAATAATTATTAGAACCTCCTCCCCATGTGCCACCTCCAACCACCGCTAGGTATGATACAGGGGTGGCCCTACCCTCTGGAATATACAAAACCTTACACAGACACAATATATACACCGGGGAAGGGGGGCCACCCCAGCAGCCCATGCCTTCGCCTGGTCCACAGTTAGCCCCACTGTCCTGCCTCAGCTACCTCTCTGAATAAGAAGATTGGAGCCCCCACTGAGGGAAAAGTTGCTATGGTGAGAGTAAGGAGGCCATGAGGCCTCCTCCAAACAAACCAACTCCACCAGCCTCTGGCTCTTAAATAACAATATCATCCAGAAATTTAAGGACTCAGCTCTGGTCAAGGTGGCAAAGGGTCTGTTTGTCTTTCCTCGTTAGACAGTGGTCTTGTCTTGCTACCCTAATTGTAAAGGGGTGACTGGGAAGGGGAGATAGGGACAGTGTGGTGGTGGAGAGACCCCAGCCCCACTTCTCCAGGCTTTGCTGACAGGGGCCTGCTTTTAATTTTTATTTTTATTTTTATCCCATGCCTTTTTTTTTAAATCCCATAACTTCTTTTTCATAACTTTTTTTGGTAACTTTTCATAAAACTTTCTTCTACTTTTTGGTCACAAGATTTTTTTGCCACAACTTTTTTACATTTTTTATCCCATAACTTTTTCACCCCATAACTTTTGTTAATCCCATAACTTTTTTATTTTGTGTTCTTTTAATAAACCCTTGCATAGTTATATTACAATTTTGTAAAAATGAAACATTATCTCATGCCAAGCATGCTCAGCATTTGCACAGTATCAATACCTTTAATACTATATTTTTCAAGACACACAGAATAAAATTTTAAGGCAAAAACAGCACTTTGCAACAACTTAATAATTTATTACATTACAGTAGCATCACACCAGCAGTCAATAATGCCACTTTAGGCAAAAGTCTTTCAGTATTTCCGTTTTACATTCCGCTTACAAGAATTCATAAATTGGTAAAATTCATTCTAAGAAAACTTGGCAAATAAAGCTTTGGACTGGAATTGGCATTTCTTTCTCTACTTTTCCTTCCCACCATTTATTTCCTTTACAGTATTCATATTTTAAAATGTTTTAACTTATTTCAGAACATTAAGATAGCAGTTACATTGTTTAATAGTTATTTTAAAATGACTCTTTCAGATAAAGTTTTAGAGAAACTATAGTATGGATAGGGCTGATTTACATTTTCAAATTTTCTAAAAATCAGCTTTGGTTTTAGAGCTGATTTTTGTTCATTTCTGGAAAACCTATCAGATTTAATCCAATACTTTAAAAATGATTATTATATATTGCACTCTTTAAATCGGTGATTTGATTCTTCCTACAGAAATTCAAATTTATTGAATTGAACTCACATTTTAGAATTCTGTTTCTGATGAACTCTAACCTTCCAATGTTGCCTTCTAAGCAAATTGAAAGCTGCCTTATACCGAATGAGGAAGAATACCAATACTTGGCTGAATGAGGTATCGCAAAAGACTGCAATGCACTTTGAAGAAAGACTTAAGTTATAGTCATGCGATTTCCATTCTTTTTAGCTTTTTCTTAAATATACGACAAATATCTACACAAAGAGTGGTATTTCTGTTAATACAGTCAATTTATTTTCCAGATTGACATTCAGCTTAAATATGCCAGTATGTGATTTAATCCATAGGCACCTGATGAACACATTATTGTCAGATTGGTTACAGATGCTCGTAGTTGTCTTTAAACTGAACTCAAAGAATGCAAAAACATCAAGTTCAGAAAATAAAAGGCAAGGACAGGACTTTAAGTGCATTTTAAAGCCACGGGCTAGAAATCGTACCACTGTTAACTAGCCGCATTATTTGGTCTAACATTTTTTCTTTATCATTCTGAAACTGGGTTTATCTAATACATTGATACATTCATACAATTTGGAAGAGTCCGTTGAAGTCACAAGGACCCGATATTTGCACTCTTTCAGTGATTGCCGGCAAATCTGTTATTCCATCGGCAAAATCGTACTGCTGCTCTCCTGTTAATGTCGTATTTATAAAAGTATCATGAGGATGCCAACTGCTAAAAATGGAGATGGTCTAGTAACTAGAAATCCCCACCCCAGGGAGCACACATACATATCTCCCTACATCCTAATAATGTGATGTGTTTTGGAACACAGACATTAGAACTTCATGAAGTTTTAACTGTTGAGTCTTTCCCAAGCATCATCAAGTTATGATTTAGGCAATGTACAACTGAAATTCATTCATTCATCATGCATAGGCACAATCACATAAATACTGCACAAAATATGCCCGTAAGTGAAACCCAGAGGTACAGAAACACATTTCACTCTTCACAAAGAAGTTTGTGAGGAAATATAACTCTGTGATTGTATAGACATGTTTCCTGATAATACACTGACATTCACCAACAGTAGATTGCACTGCAGTTTGTACACATTTTAAGTTGCATAAACTTCTCCTTGATTTTCAAAGATAGTATAATACTGTCTACTAAAACTCCTTTTTGTTTCAACTAAGCACTCTCACATATATTAGTTTATAACAATGTTTATTATTATTTCAAAGTGTTTTCCATTCAAGGAAAAGAAGTCAATTCCTATGTCAAAGTAACCAAGGTGGTTGAAGAATAGGCAGAGTGGTCTAGATGGTAAAATCAATCTTCAAGCCTCAAAGAAGCTCCATGAACAGAGGAATGCCAGGTGTCACACAGCTTTCCTTCACTCTAATTCATTCTTGACTAGAGCCTGTATGCGTGTTCCAGGGACATTTAAACTCTTAAAGGATTTCTTCTGATCTTTACTAAATACATTAAGAAGAATGCCAACCAGTGCCCTTTTGTGTACTGGGACATGCAGTCATGTGATTAAAACAGGTAACATGAACTCTGACTTTAAAATATAGATACAAATGCTCTAAGCTAGGAAAGGTTTTCCACATCCATAGTCAATGATGGGAACCTTTCATTCCTCAGAAATAAGCCCTTTTTAGGTCATCAAAAAAGAGTACAACTGCTGCAGCTCATGATGCAATATCTTCATGAGCCCAGAGCACATACAAATCCTAAAGGAACTACAATAGTACAGCACTAATTCTTGGCAACAGAACAAATGAAACACACTCTATCTTGCACATACCTGCCAGAGCAGGCAACTTTCCTCTTCTGTGAAATTTAAAAAGCTCCCCCAAAATGTTATTACTCCCATCACCAATACACAGAAAATGAGGGAAAGGCTGTTTCCAGTTCTCGGCCTTTAAACAACTCTAAATGTCAGTACTCTTGGTGGCATATTACAAAGTATTAAATAGTGCAAACTTGGGGCAAACCACATATTGTGCTAATGAAGAGCTCACTGTGATTAAGATTAGATCAAACAATAGCAGAACATAGGCAAATTTTATCTGAATTCTGTAATGAATATACATGCTTCAATAACATTAAAAACACATGGCAGCCTATTCCAAACCAGCAAGAATAGTTTTGTGCAAATAGTGGGTCTTTGTGTGTTTGAACTCCCACCACGTAAGGGCAAACTCAATATGCATGCTAATGACCTACAATCATGAAATTGAAAAAGAAAATTGCGAAAGTATGCCAGAGTGAACATCAGTGAAAGCCACAGAGACCCACTCTCTTTTAACTATTTACAAATAAACTTAAACTATAAATTAGAAACACAAATAATCATAAGTGGCTATAACATTCAAACGAAGTAAATGAATTGTGTAGGAGATTAACCCCATAACTTTGTTTCTTTTTTAAAAATTTCTTGAGCAGCTCTTTGACGATGGTCATGTTTATCTCCTTCTTCTTGGCAGCCAAGCCCAGCAAAAGAATGGCACACAGCAGTTGCTGCCCAAGCCTGGGTGCTCCTGGTGGTCCTGCACGATCGGCTGTGCAGTAGGGTTGTCGTGGGGAGAACCCTCCCTGGCCTCTCCTTGCACAGGCTCCACGCTGTCAGTGAGGCTCACCTCACAAAGATCTTTGGAGAGAGGGAGGCGGGGATCTGAGCTCAGTGAGAGCCCCCCTGCTCCTGCCTGCCCACCCCGCCTGAGGGCTCTACTCACCACCATGCTTGTGGGCAGCCCCAAGCTCCTGGGGGGCTGGGGCTCCTGGACTGGGCTCATGAGCAGGGTTCTGGGCAGTCACCAAGAATTTGCTGTGTCCCTTGTAGTCGCCACCAGCTGCAACACCATCTCCTGCAGCTCCAGCAGCTTCACCTGGAGGGAGGGGTGCTCAGCTGTCACGCTGCTGCCAGCGCTCACCGTCACAGCCACCCCCACCCCCGCAGAGATGTTGCACACTCTACCTTCATCTCCTCCCTGTCCAGGGCCAGCCTGATGGTGTCCTCCTCCCGGTGCTGCATCTTTGGCACTGCCCCCTGGCTTTGTTATAGGGTGATAAACTTTCCTGCGGGAGGACAGGGCTCAGACGCTGGGGCCCCTCCAACAGCCCTGCAGCTCCCCCTGCCATGCCCTGGCCTCCCACTCACTGATGGCATCCCTCTCTGTAGTACTGGAAGAATCCAAGTTCTTCTTTCTCCACCAGCTCACTCAGGTCTGCCTTCTCCTCCAGGTGGTCCATAAAGCCGCTCTGGAGCCAAAATAATGGGGTCACATCTCGCCAGCGACCTGCCCTCAGGTGGCATTTTCAAGTCATGGAGAAGGCGGAGGTGAGTTCCGGCATGGGCCAGCTTCTCCATGACTTCCTGCAGGGCCCGGTGGGTCTCCCCACTCACAGACTCGCCCCCAGGCCCTGGGGCTGGGACCGCTGCCTCTGGCTCCTTCTGGGCCGAGGCCACCGGGTGAGCCAGGCGCTGGCAGCACACCCTCTGCTCTTTCACCTGCTCTTGTAACTGTGCCTGCTTCTCCTGGGCACTAGCTCCAGCGGACTTGAAAAATGCCACCTGAGGGCAAGATGTGAGCATTCTTCTAGGGGCATACACAGAAGAAATGGGGCAGAGAGGTGGAGCGCAGCCCCTTCCCTTGGGGCCCCAGAGACTGCACATGTTGGTCACAGGTGAAATGGTGTCTGACCACTGGCTCTCGGAAGGGGTGAGGGTCCAGAGAAATCAGAAGGCAGGGAAACGAAGAGCATAAAGGGGTCTTGGAGGGACCACAGAGAAAGGTGGCAAAATGGGTGCAGGGGGAGTCAGGCTCACCATGGCCTCCCTGCTCTCCAGGTCCTCTGGGACACTCGGCATGGGCCGAGGTGCCTCCTCCCCCTCACTGTCCAGATGTTCTCCTCCGTGTCCTGTGGGGGGTGGCCAGAGGGGTCTTCAGACAACTCAACAAGGGAAGTATTGTGGGCCCACCTCTGCCTCCACCCTCATTGTGTAACCCTGAGCCAGGCCCTCCCCAGAGAGGAATGAGCTGCTGTTATTTATTTTTACTTTGAAGAACCAAGATCTTGCTATACTGCCCAGGCACATTCCCACTACTGGTCGGTGCGGGAGTTCTGACCTGCTCCCTTTCTGACCTCGGCCAGTTCAGCCATCCTTAGGCAACTTGGTGGCCCCCCGCTCACAGGAGGTCACCATATTGATGCTGAACTTAGTGCAGGCACCCGGTTAGTATAATGACCAGCTGTTCTAAAGGTCTCTTCCAACTCCTCAATCCTATGCTGCTAGCAGTCCCCCCTTCCTCCTGGGGCTCTCTCCTCTTCCTCTGAGCGGTCTCCCGTACCTTCCCCAGGGAGAGCCATGAGGCTCAACTGGGCCGTTAGCTGCTGTTTCTGCTGGCTGGCAGCTTCCAGACGCTCCTAAGGGGCCAGGAAAGAGTGAGAAGGCACAGAGTTTGCCAGGTCGTCCCCCTCACGGCCCCATCCTCGGCAGCTCCCTCCCCTGGGCCTCCTGCAACTTTTGGCAGGCCATCTCGGCCACCGCTTTGCCCCAAGCTTCCTGCTGCTGCAGCTGGTTCATTAGCTGGGTCTGCTGCAGTCACTGCCTGTACAGCGCCTCCTTCTCACAGGTCAGCTGCTGATAGGCGGCCACCTGCTGCTGATAGGTGGCCACGTACTGCTGCAGGTGACCCAGGTAATGGTCTGGCTGCTGCTGCAGACTCTGAGCCTCTTGGCTCTTCAGCTCCACCTGCAGGAAGACCCTGGGTGTGAGGGCACGTGGTGGCTGGTTTCCAGATTCTGGGCCCATTAATAGGGTAGCGAGGGCACTGTGGGGCTCTGTCGCCTGCCCAGGCCCCTGGCCCCTTACTCCAGGCCTAAGTGACTGCCTCCCTTTCCTAGAACCCCATGCCTCCTTCCCCAGCCTCAAATCTCATGTCCTCTTCCCACCATTTCAACTGTAGGCCACAGAATGGTAGAAAAGTAGTGGGAGCCAACCACCATCTGCTAAATGTGCTACAGGCCTAATGCTTCCCATGTATTATCTCATTTAATCCTCAGCACCTCTGTAAGGAAAATGCTAACTTCCTTTTGAAGTTAAAGAAACAGAGACTTAGAGATGTGAAGTACTTGAATGGTGACCAGTGGAACTGAGGCTGGAATCCAGTTTTAATCTAAGGAGTCTTTTTGTTTTGTTTTGAGACAGAGTGTCACTCTGTGGCCCAGGCCGGAGTGCAGTGGTGCAATCTCAGCTCACTGCAACCTCCACCTCCTGGGCTCAAGCAATTCTCGTGCCTCAGCCTCCTGAGTAGGTGGGATTACAGGCATGCGCCACCACCATGCCCCACTAATTTTTCTTTCTTTTTTTGTTTTTTGTTTTTGTAATTTTAGTAGAGATGAGGTTTTACCATGTTGGCCAGGCTGATCTCAAACTCCAAACCTCAAGTGATTCTCCTGCCTCAGCCTCCCAAAGTGTTGGCACTATAGGCGTAAGCCACCGCGTCTGGCATAAGAAGACTGTTATACCACTCTGTCTCTTCCCCTGTGATTGGGGGTGCTCCATGTCTCTAGCTGGAATGATGATGTCCAGACCTGGGAGGAGCCCAGGGCTACCCACCTCTAAAATCAGAGGGCAGGAAGCAAGAAACAGCCACAGGACTGCCCTGGAGGGTGCTGGGGTCACCTGCCCCCGGGCTGGAGCTGCCTCTGGCCTGGCACCTCCCCTCCCCAGAGGCTGGTGCCCACCTCCCAGACCTTCTTGGATGGGGTGGAGGTTACCGTCTCCTTCACCTTGCCTAGCTTCTCCTGCAGCTCCTTTACTTGCTGCTCCAACTGTAGTACGCTCTTGTTCTCATTGTTCTGGACAGAGAGAAGCAATCAGCAGCCACCCACTGCAGCTGGAGACCCCAGAACTTGGTGACTGCCTCCCATGGCACCGGGAAGGGTGGAGGCAGGTTAGAAAAATCATCCCCTGTCTCCCACAGCCACCAGAGCAGGGCTCTGGCTCACAGGTGCCTTTAGGAGTAACATTTCACTTGAGGGCTACACTGCCCCATTTTATAGGTGGGGAAACAAAGGCCTGGAGGGCTAGGGAGGAGGGCAGGCTCCCCAGCTGGGGCAACGCACCAGCTCCTTGAAGCTGTTCTGTGGCTCGGCCAGCTGCCGAAGCCTCTCCTCCTGCTCTGGAAGCCTCTCCTGCTGCTCCTGAAGCCTCTCCTCCTGCTCCCGAAGCCTCTCCTTTTGCCCCTCATTCAGGAGACTTATGCGCTGATTGTACTCCACCTGGGCCTGGAGCGCTCCTGCCACTCTCTCTAGTTCCTTCCTCAGGTGCTGCAGCTCCACCTCAGAGGGCACTGCTGGGGGCTCCGGGGGCAGAGGTTCAGCTGAGAAAGGAAGCAGATAATAAGAGCCTCTGGATTCCAAAAAAAAAAGAAAAGAAAAGAAAAGAAAAAACCCTCCTCTTGGCGCACAGCTCCTCTCCGGCTCCTCAAACTTAGCCTCACTGCTAATGATTCCTCGCACCCAGATGGGTAGCCAGTCTTCCAAAGCACTTTCAGAGAAAGAGCACTGCGGGTGGCTGACAACGGGCCCTCTTTGCTGATGGGGACACTGAGGCTCATTGAGATGACAAGACTTGCCGTCTCCTGGCACAGACCTCTTTCCCTCTGCCTCAAAGCCCTTCCATCCACCCACCTCGCTGGGGCACTCCAAGACACCCTCACAGCCCTCTGATGCCAGTCCTGCTGCCAGGTCACGCCAGCCCCATCTTACCCATCTGGTTTTTGAGTTTGGACAAGCTCCTCTCCAGCTTCTCTACCCGATATTTATCATGCTTCTTCTCCTTCTTCAACGAGCAAACCTGCCCAAAGCACAGGGGGAAAGGGCCCTGGAGAGAGGGGCTGGAGGCTGGACATGCTACCATCTCTCTCTCTGCCCCCACCTCCACAAAGCCCAGACCCATGACCACCTCTGGCTGTACTATTCCCATTTTACAGGTGCCCAGAAAGATCCAGTGACCTATCTAATGTGGGGGGGGCTGAAGGGTCAGATCTCACCTCCTGCGACATTTTTCTCATCCTCTGCTGCCACCGGGCCCTCTCTCCTTTTAGATGTTCAGCATATTCATCCCTCTCTAGCTGGACTTCTTTAAGTGACTCCTTCAACTGCAAGAATGGGCACAGAAATTAGGAAGGGCTGTCACTGGTCCTCACCTGCTCCTGGTTACCTGGGGTCATCTTCCTTCCACATCCCTCCCTCTGAACACCTCACCTGTGTCAGCTGCGCTTTCAGCAGTGCCTGCTCCCGCATGGACTGCTCTAACTTCCACTCCATACGTGCTTTACTGCGGCTGGAGAACTGCTGAAGAGTGAGAAGTTTCAATCTGGGGAGGCCGGGCCATTCCACACAGTGCCCCTTAAAAGGGCCAGGGCTAGGCCCAATATACAACTCGGTCAGTAAAGATCAAGGCATTTCCAAGCCCGTGGTTTGGTTTTTAAAGAACTCAGTAAAGTTGGAAGGGACAGGGAAAGAGATCGAATTTATAGCTGGCTAACAGAGGCCCAGAGAGATCAGATAATATTGCTATTGTTATTACTGTTATTATTACCACTGTTTGAACTTTTATGGAGTGCTTCACCAGATACCATGCTAGCAATCCCATTTAATCCTCGCAACCACCATGGGAGACAGTTACTATGATGACCTCTATTGTGTAGATGAAAAAACATGGAGTATTTGAGGTTAAGTGCTTGCCTAAGATCACTTAGGCAGAGCTGGGATTTAAACACCCAGATCTATCCAATTCTCTAAGCCCATTTTTCTTGCTGGGGGTGGGGGCACAGCTAGGAAGGGGAAAATTAATCTTTTGTTCACTTTTTGAAAGGATAATACATTCACATAGTCCCAGACTCAGAAGGTACAGAAGGGAAGTATCTCCCAGCCACCCTGTTGCTCTCTCCTGAGTTTTTATGAACACTTGCAAACATATTTTATGTATATTATCATAATATGTACACACACACACACGTTTCCTCTCTCTACAGAAATGGTAACATACTAAAGGTACTCTTCTGTACCTTCACAGTACAAGTAGCCAATACCCCACTTAGGACTTGGCCAAGACCACAGCCAGGTAAAGGCATGGCAGGCACTTGGCCTCCAAGCTCTACGTCCTGTGTTCTCTCCCCAGAGTGCCCCCCAACTCACCCACAGCAGCTGACTCAGTCCCAAGCTGCCGCTAACAACCATACAAAAAAGCAGTGAGAAATGGCCATGCTGCCTTCTGGGCAGGACACTCCATCCTGCAGAAGGGACCTTTAGGCTCACTCCTCTGTCTGTGAAGCCAGGCTACCAGGGGACGGGGCAGGTGGTTGGACTCACCCTCTCCGCCTTCTTCTTCTGTGTGGCGGTGACAGCAGAGAGAGCCCGCTCTAACTCTCCTTTACGCTGCAATGAATGTTGCAGACGGACGGCCAGATCCTTGGACTCTTCTGTAATGAGAGAGTTGAGATGGGGCCCAAAGGACTCCCCCTGAAGACCTGTCAAAGTCCCAGGTTGAAGGATGACAGGGTACCCAGATTCCCACCTTCAAAGTATCTGAGAGAATGTTTCGTGTGGTACAGGTCCGTATTTAGTTTCCCTTTCTGTATGTTCAATCTCTGGATTTGAACCTTTGGGAGAAAAGCCAAGCAAGTGCTGAAAGAGAAGGAAAGAAACATTCTCCGGAGGACAGGAGAAAACTGCACACCGTCCACTCACCTCTAGCTCCCTTTCGGCTTTCTGTTTCTCGTTGTTTGCTTTCTTTTCCTGTAGGAAGTGGAAGACAGAGATCTAACCAGGCGGAGGCAGAGATGGTACTGCAAGAGACATGTCCCCAGAATGCCACCACTGCCCCTGCCCCGGGACAGGCCCACCCATGGGACCGGGTTATCAGGGACCCTGTGGGGGATGGGGTGGACTCTGGGGGGTGAGCCTTCTTCCCCAGGCTGGGAGTGGGTGAGACGAGACTCGGGGCCTCTACATCTGAGTGTCCCCCAAACCGAGCAGTCATGTCGCGAGCAAACAAAGAAATCATGTTACTTCTTCCAGCTGATGTTCCACTTGTTTCTTCTGTTGTTTCTGTGGGGAGAGTCACATTAAGGTGATGGAGGGTGGCCCCCTCAACTCTATTCCCCAGAGCAGGAAGTGGTAGGCAGGGACCAGGAATGGATTTTAAAGGCAAAGTTCTCAGACCCAGTGGGAACACGAACTGGTAAACTCTCCTCAAGCTCCCAAGGACAGAGGATTTGGGTCTTTGTTGGCTTTTGTCCACAGCCACAGAACTCAAGGTCTGAATCTGGAATCTCTTGACAGGACAGTAACATAAACCTCTAGAGATGGAGTTTGAGAAAGGCCCCCCCTTCTGCCAGCTTGTGATTTAGAAAAGTGCATTCATTCAATAAACATTTACTGAGCACGTACGGGCCAAGTACGGTTCTTCACAGCAGATTTAGGGCGGAAAAGGACAGACAGGAGCCTTTGGCCCTGAGGTTTCCATTCTAGGAGGCCTTTAAATCTCAGACTCTCAGAGCTAACAGAGACCTATGATACTCACTACTTCCTCTGGAAACACGAGCCCAAAAAGGAGAGGTGGCTTGTCCAGAATCAAAGAGCAAATTAGGGACTGAGTCATGGCAGAAATACAGGGCCCCTGACAACCAGTCAGGCTAGCACTTCCCCAAGAGGCAACAATCCCAGGGCGTGTGTAGCAAGGACTCGAGCAGGGACGTCTGGAGAGGGGAGAGTCAGCAAACAGGGCAGCAAAAAAAGAGCCATGCTGCATGCTCCGGGGTCCCTCCAGGTGAGGCCTGGGCGCCCCAGCTCCCTATTCGCCCTTGGCACCAGGGGCCGCCGTCCCCTTTCTTCAGGGCCCCAAGGGGAAACTAGAGCCCAGGATTGGCAGCGTGGAATCAGGGGACCCCAGTGGACTCTTACCAAAGATTTGATGGTGTTCTTCAGTTGACTGACTTTTACGGACCTCGAGTCTGGGACTACTGCTAGTTCTTGGCACGGGCTCTGAGGCGCATGCAGAGAGGAGGAGGTGGAGGAGGAGTGGGGGGAGAGGTAGAGAGAGCAATCATTAGGGCTGGGGTGTGTGTGGACTGTCTCAGCTGGCAGAGGGGCACCCCGTCCCACCTGGAGGAGGAGGTTGGAGGGCTGCCCTGCAGGGTCACTGCACCTCTGCCCAGAGCCTCTTACCTCCAGATCCTTCAGGGTAGCAGATGATGTAGGGCTCTCCCCGTGGATACCTGTTGCTGACTACAAGAGATGAGAGTGCACATGAAGATGTTCTGTCCCACTCAGTATCTAAGCCCTCTGACTTCTTTTCTTCCCCATCAACTGGCACAATTTTCTTTTCTGCCTATCTTGGACCCTTTGTCCCATAACTCCTTTGTGCCAACTTCTCTCATGGTTCTTATCTCCCCACCACAGCACCCTGCGGCCCTTTCAGTGACTCCTGTGCCAAGTGACTGTTCTCATTGTCCTGGCTTCCCCTTGAGACTGGGGATGAGGAAAATCGAACAGCAATGACCATATCCTGGGTGTTCTGGGTGTTTACAGCAGGCCATGTACTAGGGATTAACATAAAAACAACAATAACAAATCTCATTTAAACTTCACAAATGGAAGTGAAACAATACCACCTCTATTATACAGATGTGAAAAGAGAGGCCCGATGAGGTCAAGCAACTTGCCCTAATTCATATCCCTAGCAGACAAAGAGGCAGGATTCAAACCCAGAATTCTTCACAGGTACCCAACAGTCCATCCACAATCTTAACAATTACCCTCTAGTGCCCCTTGGGTCCCCTGTCCCCAGGAACCTAGTCAGCCAAGACTCACATCTCCAGGTGAGTGGCAACCACCAGAAGTGGCTGTCTCATGGATGCTGCCATTTGTTTTCCTGTTCCTCTTGGCTCCTGCTGGAACACCAGGGCTGTTTCTCTGCCAATATTCTTTTAACTGTCAGAAACAAGAGCAGTAATACTCATGAGAACTATCAGCCCCTGCAGCCACATCCTCCTTTACAGTTTTTATAAAATACTCTTATACACCATCTGATTTAATGACACCAACAACTGTACAAGGTGTTGTCACAATCATTTAGTGACTCAAAGAGATTGATATCATGGCTAGAAAAAAAAAGAAGAAAAGAAAAAGGCGACAGACGAACTTTGAAACTCAGTCTTCTGACTCCAAACTCTGGGGTATTACCAAGAATCAGCAGCTGCCAGGGACCAAAACCAGAGGCAGAGGTAGAAAAGTAAACATTAAGTAGGCAGGAACTGTATGCCATGTGGTTTAGAGTCATACATCCTCACACGTCTGTTAGTGTGAAGAAGTGCACCAGTACCTCTCAAACTCTTATATCAATGTATCCTCATGGCAGAAGGCAGCCTTTCTGTTAAATCTGGGAATTTATCAGAAAGAGGACAACCCAAGCCTCATTTCAGAGAGAGGTCTGGTATACTCTTAGAAACCTATGTGACTGTCATCCCTAAGTACATTAATGTTTTTTCTCTTGATCTCAAGAGAATCAATGGAAACTGATGCTTCAGAAAGATGTCCCATATGTATCCTGTGGCACTCAAAGTACCCCAGGTTTACATAATATGAGGAAGATTCAAGCTGTCAAGTTCAGTTTCCCAAGATCTATTCCACAGAAGATGAGCAAATCTCACTTCACAGACCACTGACTGAAGGGCAGTCTGGTCCCAGAACCATGGAGAATTAGAATGTGAGGTGGAGAACTCACAAAAAATTTGTTAAAATCTCTCTGGAAAGTAGAAGCCTGGGAGAAAACCAAACCAAGTCAAACCCATTCTCCAGTTGCCATCCAGAGGTACTGTCAATGTTTTGAGCTCACAGGGGAAGTGTAGGCTTTTCCCGCTGTCAATGTTTGTGTTAAGGGAGTGAGGCAGCCTGAAACCTCTTGCTCCTAGGTCCCAATCTCCATTCCCCTTCCAGCTGGAAATTTGTGCTGTGACAAGAGGAACCAGAAATGGGGTGGCAATGCTTAGGGGACTGGGTCATAAGATCAAAGGCCAGTCTCGCAGTAATGACAGTTACTGGATGGACCATGACATCACTACATTCCACTCTTCCTGGTGAGGGGGAGGGACCACATCAGCATGATGTCCGAGTCACCGCTCCATGATAGGGGAGGGAAAAACAGAGCTGGGACCCAGGTCCTTGGAGACGCCAGTGCACACAGCCTAGGGAGGTCCACCTTGAGGCAGCAGGAGGGAAGGGAAGAGTCAGCAGCAGGGAGCCCCAGGATTCACCAGCCTAAAGTCACCCAGGGATGACTGGTGAGGGTGGGGTCTGGGGCTGTGGGACCCAGGTCCTTGGAGATGTGAGCCCAAAAAGCCCTGGGAGGTCAAGCTTGGGGTGGCAGGAGATGAGGGCCCAGTAAAGGAGCGGGGAGCCCCAGGATTCACCTGCCCAAAGTCACCCTGGGGTGATTGGTGAGGGCAGAGACTGGGCTGCTTGCTGAAGGGGTGGGGCTGACTGGCAAAACTTTGGTGGGGGTAGCCCAGAGGCACCGGTGTGGGGGTCCCAGTCCGGTGAACCTCGGGATTGGTATGGACTCTGGCAGCAGTCTTGTCGTTGGAGAGGATCTATGGCTGGGTTGGGGGTCCGTGACCTGGTGTGTTTTTACCTTTCTCTTGGCTGCTGCCAATTTACTTTGTCGAGTTTCTTCTGCCATTGCAGGGTGGGGAGGGAGGCGGGCTTGGGGCCACATCAGCAAAATCCCACCAAGCACTGATCAACACCTCCAGTCACCTACCAGGTAGCTGTGCGACTGAGCCAGAGGAGGCGTAACCAGGGATGCAGTAGAAGGCAGAATAGGGGCGTGGCCTTAATGCTCCAAGCCCATTGGTTAATGAGAAAGATGAAAGGGAAAGGGGGCGTGGCCAGGCATCATGTGTCCAGAGGGACCTTTGGCTCACAAGGAAAGCTGCCCATGCAACCACTGTCCCCACCCACTCTAAGAGAGGGGAGAGGCCGCCAACTCTGGGAGAGGGGCAGGGCCGGCTTTTGCTTTAAAAGCTTTTAAAAAATATATATGTGTATACTTTATATATATGTGTGTCTGTGTGTGTGTACCTGTGTGTTCCTCCAGAGCTGTCTTCATGATCCAGCTTCTATGCAAGGTCTATGATTTTGGCCTATATTTTTCATAGAGTACAAAAATTACCAGTATTACCTTAACCGAGATACAGATCCTATGAAAATGGAAAATCCATAGCATGCTTGATGATTACTGAAGCAGACTGTATTATCCAACATTCCAATAAGATAAAATAATCACAATGACTTCTCTTTTTTGGAAAAATGTTTCTCTTATTCTCCTACGTTATTGTGAAGACTTTTTTTCTTAAACAAGAAACATGTGTAATATTTGTAAAAACACAAAGCTTTTGGGCCGGGTGCAGTGGCTTATGCGTATAATTCCAGCACTTTAGGAGCCTGAGGCTGGTGGATCATGAGGTCAGGAGATTGAGACCATCCTGACTAAAAAGGTGAAACCACATCTCTACTAAAAATACAAAAAATTAGCCAGGCGTGGTGGTGGGTGCCTGTAGTCCCAGCTACTTGGGAAGCTGAGGCAGGAGAATGGCGTGAACCCAGGAGGTGGAGCTTGCAGTGAGCTCAGATCGTGCCACTGCACTCGAGCCTGGGCTACAGAGCGAGACTCCTTCTCAAAATAAATAAATAAATAAATAAATAAAACTTCTATTTCTTTCACTTTCTAATATAATTTTAATATCTCCTCCTGGGATTTCACTAAGACACATTTTGGACCTCATTCTGATCTTCCTCTCCCCTCCAAGCCCACCAACTTCTGCCCTATCATCTATCCTCATGTCTCTCTGTGTGACATGCTGACTTACTTTTTGGAGAGAATCGCCTAAACAATTAATTCTTTCTTCTCGTGTCTAATCCATCCACTAGTTTCTTATTTCAACAATTACATTTTTATTTCCTTATTTCATTTTATTCTGCGACTGAGTCTCATTCTGTCACACAGGCTGAATTGCAGTGGTACGAACCTGCAGACTCGGCCTCCTGGGCTCAAGTGATCCTCCCACCTCAGCCTCTTGAGTAGCTGGGACTATAGGCAGGTGCCCCATACCCAGCTAATACCATACCCACACAGCAGAGACATAAAAGATTTCCATCCTCAAAGAAGGTTCCATTGAACAGCACTGCTCTAATTCAATAAAAAATACCACTGAGCACAACATAGTAATAGAAAAGATTGAAGAGGCAGTGCTGATACTTAAAAACCTGGTATTTTCAGCCAGGCATGGTGGCTCATGCCTGTAATCCTGGCACTTTGGGAGGCTGAGGTGGGAAGATCGCTTAAGCCCAGGAGTTCTAGACCAGCCTGGGCAACATGGTGAAACCCTGTCTCTACAAAAAATACAAAAAATTAGCTGGGCATGGTGGCATGTGCCTGTAGTCCCAGCTACTTGGGAGGCTGAGGTGGGAGATCACCCGAGCCTGGGAGGTCAAGGCTGCAATGAGGTGAGATGGCACCATCACACTCCAGCCTGGGTGACAGAGTGAGACCCTGTCTCAAAAACAAAAAACAAAAAACAAAACAAAAACACCTGATATTTATTTTTAAGTACACTATTTTCAAACATTCAGAAGTTATTTCATCCTACCTTCATGGTTTCCATTCTATGCCTGGTTTAGAATTGGGATCTGATAAAATAAACGTGTTCAACAGAACCACTTCTCATGGCTGTATAACAGATGATCAATATGTATTTGCTGAGGAAATCATACAATTTTCTTAAATTTTTTTAACAAAAATTGTGCTTTCAAGGGACCAAACTTGAATACTACACCTTCATGTTCTAAGAATCAGGGGACTTATATAAAACCTCAGTTGCCTGATAAGGACTACATCAAAGTGAAAAGCCATGGGAAAGAACTAGAAAGTATACTTTTGACCCTAGTTCTGTAAAGTTTCCTTATGCCACAGGTAATACACATCGCAATTCCTGCCAAATTCTTTCCCTCACCTCTGTTTATGGTCTCGATTCCATAAATAGGAGAAGGGCATGAATTTGCTTTAGTTAGATAGACAGATAGATGGATAGATAGATAGATGGATGGATGGATGGATGGATGGATAGATAGATAGACAGAGATAAAGATAGAGACAAAGATGGAGACAGAGATGGACATAGAGACAGATTTGCAGAAGATAAGTTCTAGGTGAACTAGTGTCAACATTAAAGTGGTATGCCTACATCTAACTATTCTGGAGAGAAAAACATACCTCAAAGAAATTGACTTAAATATATACAGAGAAAAAGTTTAAGCTGAAAGCTACTGCCTTTTTATATGAGACACTTTAGGAAATTACTTGGGGGGCAAGAGAGAAAATGGGTGGACATAGCTTAGAGGTTACACAGTAGCAGATATGTAGGATGAACAAGCCTAGAAATATAATGTACAACGCGAGAAATATAGGTAATAAAATTGTGCTGTATTGGGATTCACGCTAAATGAGATTTTAAGCTCCTCTTGCCACCAAACAAAAAGAAAACGGGTAACTATCTGAGTTGAAGGATACGTTAATTTGCTTCACTGTAGTAATTTTTTTAACCATCTATATGCATCCCACAAAATCATGTTGTATACCTTAAATACACAGAATACAATTTATTTAACATAAAAAACTACTCCAATATTTTCTGCATTTTTAATATGCTCACCCAAAGAAAGCATTAATTTGCATCTTTGATGTTAAACAGATAGCCTAATCAAGTCACTATCAAGATCAAGACTAAAAGTTACAGCTTTTTTCTTTTGATGCCTTTCAGATATATCTATTTATATATAAAAATATATATACACACACACATACATACACACACACATATATATGTAGTTATGTGTGTGTGTATATATAGTTACAGTTTTGGCCAGGTGCAATGGCTGACACCTGTAATCTCAGCACTTTGGGAGACCAAGGCTGAAGGCTTGCTTGAGGCCAGGAGTTTGAGACCAGCCTGGGCAACGAAGCAAGACCCTATCTCTACAATTTTTTTTTTTAAACAAAATTAGCCAGGGATGATGGCATGCACTTGTAGTCCCAGATACTTGGGAGGCTGAGGCGGAGGATCCCTTGAGCCCAGGAGTTCAAAGCTGCAATGGGCTGTTACTGTGCCACTGGATCCCAGTCTGAGCAACAGAGCAAGACTTTGTCTCAAAAACAAAATTTATAGTTATAGTTTTATGAACCTTGACTGCAACTGAGGGAAAATCCCGTAATTGGCAAAATGAATTCTGCCTGCTTGCAAAACTTCTGACTAATACGGAATGAATAATAGGAAGCCCATATTAGAGGATCCACATCAGTTAAAAAGTTTCCAAATAAGAGTGACTCTGAGTTCTGCAGAGTGAAAAGATTGGGTTCAAACCAAACACTTGCAAGATCTTGAGTAAGATACTTAATCCCTCTGTGACTCACTGTTCTCAAATGTAAGTGAAGATAATTTGTAACTCAAAAAAAATGAAAAAGTTTTCTCTAAGATTGCAAATCCTAAGGATAATTTCATTTTAATATCAGTTATTTAGTCTGGATACACCATAATGCAGACTAATTTTCCCTCTGCTTAAAGACCACACAAAAACATTACCAATAAAATTTACTTGTGTATCAACTTTTACTCCTGAGACTTCATCGTTTGTTTGGTTAAAAAAAAAAAAAAAAAAGCGCACTAGACCGGGCACAGTGGCCCATGTCTGTGATCTCACTTGCGGAGGCCAAGGCAGGTGGATGAGTTTGAGAACAACCTGGGCAACATGGAAAAACCCCGTCTCTACAAAAAAAATATATAAAAATTAGTCAGGTGTGGTGGCACATAACTGTGGTCCCAGCTACTCCAGAGAGTGAGGCGGGAGGATTGCTTGAGCCCAGGCAGAGGTTGCAGTGAACCAAGATGGCACCACTGCACTCCAGCCTGGGTGACAGAGCAAGACCCTGTCTCAAAAAAAAAAAAATCACTATAAAATTGAAATTCACAACAAAATGTGCATACTTAACCTTCTTTTTATTTATTTATTTATTTATTTTTAATATTTTGAGACAACATCTTGCTATGTTGCCTAGGCTGGTCTTGAACTCCTGGGTTCAAACCATCCTCCAGTCTTGACTTCCCAAAGTACTGGGACTACAGGTGTGAGCCACCAGCCCCGCCAGCCCTGTTACACTATTCTTGGCCCCTCAAGTGACTGTATGAATTTTAGGATCAGCCTCTCGAGTTCCACAAAAAAATTCTATTGGGATTTGTGTAGGAATTTCTTGAATTTATAGATTAATTTGTTGAGAAGTAGTATGTTTATAGCATTGAGTCCTACGATTCATAATATATATGGCATATATTTCAGTTTAGTCAGTTCTCCCTTTAAGTCCCTGGGTAATTTTTATATTTGTCTTAGTCCCTTCATAGTGCCATAACAAAACACCTGAGACTGGGTAATTTACACAGAGCAGAAGTTTATTTTCTCAGTTCTGGAGGTTGGGAAGAACAAGATCAAGACTCCAGCAGACACAGTGTCTAGTGAGGGCCTGGTCTCTGCTTCCAAGATGGTACGTTGAATGCTGCTTCCTCTGGAGCAGGCAAATGCTATGTTCTCATGAGGCAGAAGGGACAGATTTACCACCACCCACAAGCCCTTTTATAAGGAAGGCACTAATCTCATGCATGAGGGCTCACCCTTATGTCTTAATCACTTCTTAAAGGCCCCACTTCTTAGTACTATCATCTTGGGAATTAAGTTTTAATACATGAATTTTGGGAGACACATTCAGGCTATGGCAATACTCTTCATGAAAGGCCTGTGTATACTTTGCTAGATATATTCTCAGGGTTTTGTTGCTATTGTGAATAGAATCTCTTTTTTTTTTTTTTTTTTTGCCACGGAGTCTGGCTCCTTTGCCCAGGCTGGAGTGCAGTGGCGTGATCTCGGCTCACTGCAAGCTCTGCCCCTCCAGGTTTAAGCAGCCTGTTGCCCAGGCTGGAATGCAGTAGCATAGTCATAGTTCAATACAGCCTCAAACTCCTGGGCCCAAATGATTCTCTAAGCTAATATTTTTAATTTTTTAGAGATGGAGTTTCATTCAAGGATCACTAAAGGCCAGTGATCCTCCCGCCTCAGCTTCTGAAATTGCTGGGATTACAGGTGTGATTGAGCCATGGAGCCTGGCCAGACATGGGCTATTGATTCTCGCTGTTACTCTTTTCCCTTTCCTTCTAATCCTTGTATTGGGAAGAAAACAGTATGGAAATTTTATTTCTTCATTTTATTGATACGTAGATCTCTGCTTAGAAGACAATTTTAGTTTTAAATTATAAATGTTTCGTTCATTATTCATAGAAAACTAGATTTGCCATGGGATATTTATAAGTGTTGCACGAATGAAGGGTTTTCTAGTCAAATAAGTTGAAACACATTACGTTAAACAAACTTGGACAGTTTTGTTTCCGGTCATTTTTAGAGTTCTAAATTATGATTCTACTCAAGAGGATATTGTATGCGGTATTTTCAAACCAACTCATCCTGCGTCAGGTTGTGGTTACGCTTTGGGAGAGGAAGCTATAATCTTATACTGAGACTGTAATGAATGTATTAAGGTAATTTTCGTAGCTTTCTCTTTTTGGAGTTACCTGAGAAATTATGACACCCTTTTCCAAACAGGCCAACCTGCTTTGCAAACACGATTTCCATAATTTTAACAATGGTGAGGCCAGGCACGGTGGCTCATACCTGTAATTCCTCCCAGCACTTTGGGAAGCCTAGGCAGGAGGATCACTTAAGCCAGGAGTTCAATACCAGCCTGGGCAACATGGCAAAAACTCATCTCTACAAAAAATACACATATTAGCCAGGCGTGGTGGCACACACCTATAGTCTCAGCTACTCAGAGGTTGAGGTGGGAAAATTGCTTCAGCTCAGGAGCTCGAGGCTGCAGTGAACGGTGATCACGCCACTGCACTCCAGCCTGGGTGACAGAGCAAGACCCTGTCTCAAAAACAAACAAAACAAAACACAAACCAAGGGTGAGAGAGATGTTAGATGTTTTTGTCCTTGTTACAGATGTAAATGCTCAGTTGGAAAGAGGGAAGTATTTAGAGTGAAAAAGTTTCGGTGGAACACACACAAAAATAGGAAGATCAGGTATAACTGTTCCAAAAAAAAGAGTATGGCAGTATAGAAGAAAAGGTCTCCATGAAAATGCAGAAGAACAATTTCACAGCTGGTGCTGGCATTTCAGAGACCTTGAGCTGGGAATCAAAAGATGGGAATTTCAGTCTCGGATGTGCCACTCCTTAGAGGTTTAATATCTACTAAACCCGGCGGGCTCCACTTGGTGGTGTTTGCTATTTAAAAAAACAAAAACATGTGGCAATGATCTTCCACGTGATTCTGACTTGAGCCCCACGCGAGTCTGCAGACTTACCCTTCCACTGCTTTGCCCTTCAAGTTTGTGCCCATTAGCAAAGAGAAATTTTCTCTTTGGGATCACTGCTGTGTTGATCTCAGGAATATTTGGCGTTGAATTTAACATATTTTTCATATGTGTGTGCAATAGGGAGGCTGAGAAAGTTGTCTTTTTTTTAAGGTGTTCATTTTTGGGGTACAGGTAGCAGCCTGCTCTACAATCCACACAGAAGCTGGAAATAGCCTCTAGAGAATTTCCACGTTTAGAGAAGATAAATTTATACATTTGTATCTAATCAACATTTTTTAGGTAACATAGTAGTCTAATTATACTATGTATAATTATACTATGTATAATTATGGGTACTGAAATGACACCTGGCATATGCTGTATGCTCTGTTATATATACATATATATTTACACATATACATATATATTACACATATACATATATATTTACACATATATATTTACACATATACATATATATTTACACATATATATTTACACATATACATATATTTACATATTTTACATTTACATTTTACATTTATTTTACATTTTACATTTACATTTGACATTCTACATTTATTTTACATTTACATATTTTACATTTACAAATATTTACATATTTTACATTTATATATACATATATTTACATACATATATTTACGTACATATTTTTACATACATATTTACATGTGTATATATTTACATACATTCACATACATATTTACATATATATTTACATACATACATATTTACATAATATTTACATACACATATTACATACATATATGTACACATATACATATATTTACACATATACATATACTATGTATAATTATACTATGTATAATTATGGGTACTGAAATGACACCTGGCATATGCTGTATTTAAAAATGTGAGGTTCAGTGAGAACACATGGACACAGGAAGGGAAACAACACATACTGGGGCCTGTCAGGGCGGGTGGGGGAGGAGCATCAGGAAAAATAGCTAATGCGTGCTGGGCTTAACACTGAGGTGATGAGTTGATAGGTGGACCAAACCACCATGGCACACGTTTCCCTACGTAACACTCCTGCACATGTACCCTAGAACTTAAAACAAAATTTTAAAAATAATAAAAAATAAAAATGTGAAATTCAGCACATAAACTGTTGGTTTTATTATTCATATTTTCTTAATTCAGAAATTATTTTCTGAACTATGGTTTATTCGATAATTTTGACGTAACAATTTTTTAAGAGGAAATTTAAGTTTTACTTTTTAATTGGGGCTCTTGGTTCTTTTTAAGAAAGACAGAGATAAATCATTTATACATTTAATTAGAAGAGACTGGGCTTGAATTTTTAAAAAGTACTAGAAATCGTAGCCACTATATATGTTATCTTTGAAATGTTTTAGACACTAATTACCTAAACAAGGAGCAAATAAGTTAAACCTCTTGGATTTTAATAAGAACTAAAATGTACAGTTGTATTTTCTGGTTTTTTAAATTGTTACAGTCTAAATTTATTCTTCCTAATGAAGAAATGTATGTGCCGTCAATATCAGGTTCTTTGTGGGTACTCACAGTTCCCTTTGCCTTTTACGCAGTGAATGTGGGCAACATGCGTGGAACAGAAATGATGTCGTTTTCTTTCTTTTGAATATCACTATGAATCTAATAATTCAAAGATTCCTAACTTTCTGAATGCCATTATTAATTGGATTCACAATGACTTACCAGGTACAGAGTTGTCCCGTGTGTCTTGGGGTGAACTACTGAGAGTGGTATGAGGGAAGCGATTCTCAGCTAGCGCTGAGTGGGGCCACTTCCAAAGAGGTGATGGGGTAAGAAGCACACACAATGTGGCATTTTCACTGCAAAGGGAGGTTTGTGCTGCCTCTCCTCCTGTGGCAGGTCTGCTCGCAGGGGAGGCTCCAAAGTTTGGCTTTGCTGGGTTTGGCATGTGAGAACTGATGAAATATCTGTATGTAGTATCTTTCAAGGATTTATATCGGTTGGATTTCTGTGTAAATTTGCATATCCCTTTGACTGCTTTACCCCATAGAAGCTTTGTATGCTTAACAAAATCTGTAACTTTTCTGTCACTTTCTCATTTAGCATCTGCCTTTCTGGCTTTTTACTTTATCTTTTTATTATTGTTTTTAGTTTAATGAGATTATGGTTAGAGAGAAAGATGGGTGCATGATTCCGCTTCTTTGGAATTTGTTGAGATTTTCCTTATGGCTCAGTACATATGTACTTGGGGGGGTGAATGCTGTCACTTTGGAGAGATATGTTTTTTCTGTACATTAAGTCAAGCTTGTTAATTTTCTAGAGAGATGTAAATCTTCTATGTCTATGCTGATTGTTTTTTGTCTCTTTTATCAGACACTGAGATATGTATTTAAATTGCCCTCTGAGGGTTGCAATTTTGTCATATTTTGCTTTCATGTATTTTGAGTGCTAGTTATTAGATACATTAACATTTTAGATTACCTTCTCCCTTGGTTTATTAGAATTTTTATCATTATATTGTGGCCTTAAAAAATCTCCCATATTGCTTTTTGCCCAAAGCCTATTTTATCTGATAATAATATAGCTTCCAACCCTTCTTTGGGTTAGGTACATATGACAGGTGTATCTTTTTTCAATCTCTCTCAGTCTTTCTGTGACTTTATGTTTTAGATGTCTTTTCATACTGTTTATTTTCTGTTTTTTGTGTTTTTTTGTGTGTTTTTTTTTTTTGATACGGAGTCTTGCTCTGTTGCCCAGGCTGGAGTGTAATGGTGTGATCTCGGCACTGCAACCTCTGCCTCCTGGATTCAAGCGATTCTCCTGCCTCAGCCTCCTGAGTAACTGGGATTACAGATGTTCACCACCACGCCGGCTAATTTTTGTATTAGCAGAGATGGGGTTTCACCATGTTGGTCAGGCTGCTCTCGAACTCCTGACCTTGTGATCCCTCCGCCTGCCTCATCCTCCCAAAGTGCTGGGATTACAGGCATGAGCCACCACGCGTGCCCTAATTCTGTTTTATAGTCATTTTCTCTTAATTATTCAGTCTATTTACATTTATTGTGATTGTTGGCATAGTTTCTTTTATAACTTTCATCGTATTTTGTGCTATTTGTTCCATCTGTTTTTATTTCTTCATGTCTTTTTTGTTTCGTTTTTGCTAATTCCTTTTATATTCATGGTTATTCTGCTCTTGAAATGTATGCTATGTGAATATATTTGTGAGTTGACAATACTTTATTAGCAATTAAATATACTATTTCTCTTTTTTTTTAGAACTTGCTCAAATGTTACATAACCTCAATATCCTTAGTATCTAAATTAAACTGACTTTCTGAACAATCATCATTTTAAGGCAGTTACCACGATCTACTAAAAAATAAAAAAAAATTAGCCGGGAGTGGTGGTGGGCGCCTGTAATCCCAGCTACTCAGGAGGCTGAGGCAGGAGAATCCCTTGACCCTGGGAGGCAGAGGCTGCAGTGAGCCGAGATAGCGCCACTGCACTCCAGCCTGGGCGACAGAGAGACTCCGTCTCAAAAAAATAATAATAATAATAATAATAATAAAGGAATTTAAAAAAAGACTGGGTTTAACCATGTTGCCCAGGCCGGTCTGGAACTCCTAGGCTCAAGCAATCCCCCACGCTTGGCCAGTCCAAAGTCCTGGAATCAAAAGCGTGAACCACCACGCCAGGCCGATCACGCCTGTCATCCCAGCACTTGGGGAGGCGGAGGTGGGTGGATCACCGGAGGTCAGGAATTTGAGACCAGCCTGGCCAACATGATGAAAACCCGTCTCTACTAAAAATACAAAAAAAAAAATTAGCCGGGTGTGGCGGCAGGCGCCTGTAATCCCAGCTACTCAGGAGGCTGAGGCAGGAGAACCACCAAAACCCGGGATGCAGAATTTGCCGCGAGCGGAGACCCAGCCACTGCACTCCAGCCTGGGCAACAAGAAGGAAACTCCGCCTCAAAAAAAAAAAAAATAATAATAATAAGAGACAGATTTTCACCATGTTGCCCAGGCAGGTCTGGAACTCTTAGGCTCAAGCAATTCCCCACGCTCGGTTGTCCAAAGTCCTGGGATCGAAAGCGTGAGCCACCACGCCAGGCTGATCTATTTCTTTCTGATTAATAAATTGGGCCGGGAGCGGTGGCTCACGCCTGCAGTCCCAGCACCCCGGGAGGCCGTGGCGGGCGGATCACCTGAGGTCGGGAGTTTGAGACCAGCCTGACCAACATGGAGAGACCTGTCTCTACCAGAAAAAAAAAAAAAAAAAAAAAAGAGCCGGGCATGGTGGCTCCCGCCTGCAATCCCAGTCACTCGGAGGCTGAGGCAGGAGAACCACCCAAACCCAGAGGCAGAGGCCGCGGGGAGCCGACACCGCACCACTGCACTCCAGCCCTGCAACAAGAGGGAAACTACGCCTCAAAAAAAAAAAAGAGAGAGAGAGAGAGACCGGTTTTCACCATGTTGCCCAGGCTGGTCTAGAACTCCTAGGATCAAGGGATCCGCCACGCTCGGCCGGTCCAAACTCCTGGGATCAAAAGCGTGAGCCACCACGCCAGGCCGATCCTTCCTGTCATCCCAGCACTTTGGGAGGCCGAGGTGGGTTTACCTGAGGTCCGGAGTTCGAGACCAGCCTGGCCAACATGATGAAAACCCATCTCTACTAAAAATCCAAAAAAAAAAAAAAAAAAAAAAAAAAATTAGATGGGTGTGCTAGCGGGTGCCTGTAATCTCAGCTACTCAGGCGGCTGAGGCAGGAGAATCGCTTGAACCTGGGAGGCAGAGGTTGCAGTGAGCCGAGACAGCGCACCACTGCACTCCAGCCTGGGTGACAAAGTGAGACTCCGTCTCAAAAGTATATATATATAAAAATAAAAAATGAAATAAAAATAAATTGGGTGTGTGCGCTGGCTCACGCCTGCAATTCCAGCATCCCCGGAGGCCGAGGTGGGCGGATAACCTGAGGTCTGGAGTTTGAGATCAGCTTGCCCAGCATGGAGAAACCCCGTCTCTACCAAAAACAAATAAAAAAAAATTAGCAGAGCAATGTTGGTCAGGCCTGCAATCCCAGCCACTCCGGAGACTGAGGCAGGAGAACTACTAAAACCCTGGAGGCAGAAGTCGCTGCGAGCGGAGACCCAGCCACTGCACTCCACCCTGGGCAACAAGAGCGAAACTCCGCCTCAAAAAAAAAAAGAGAGAGAGAGAGAGAGAGAGACCGGGTTTCACCATGTTGCCCAGGCAGGTCTGGAACTCCTAGGCTCAAGGGATACCCCGCGCTGGGCCATCCGAAGTACTGGGATCACAAGCGTGAGCCACCACACCAGGACGATCTATTCCTTTCTGATTAATAAGTTGGGCCGGGAGCGGTGGCTCAAGCCTGCAATCCTAGCACCTCGGGAGGCCTAGGCAGGTGGATCACCTGAGGTCGGGAGTTTGAGACCAGCCTGACCAACAGGGAGAAACCCCATCTGTACCAAAATAAAAATAAAAAAAAAATACAAAATTAGCCGGGCTTGGTGGCTTATGCCTGCAATCCCAGCCACTCTGGAGGCTGATGCAGGACAACGACCGAAACCCGGGAGGCGGAAGTCGCGGCAAGCAGAGACCCAGCCACTGCATTCCAGCCTGGGCAACAAGAGCGAAACTCCGTCTCAAAACAAGACAAAACAAAAAGACCAGGTTTCACCATGTTGCCCAGGCCTGTCTGGAACTCCAAGGCACAAGCGATCCACCCTACTTGGCCGTCCAAAGTCCTGGGATCACAAGAGTGAGCCACCACGCCAGGCAGATCAAAGCGTTGAGCTGAATAAAGAGTTATCTTTTAGCATTTTGTGGAGCCCGGGTAGATCTGTGCAGGGGGAAGCATATTACAGAAGCGAGAAACAGAGAGTTATTTAATTGAAGCACGCATTATGTTTTTTTTTTTTTTACGTTTTTAGGAAAAATATGTTTTGTGACTTGCATTTGTTTGTTTAGTGACCTTGCAGTTGCACAGTTAGGGAATTAGGGTTTTGATAATGCCTGGGAAGGGAGCGATAAGGCTCACTAGCCATAGGAAAACAGGTAGTTTTTTTAAAGGACTAAGGCTCTTTCTCATTCTCAGGGGGAATTGGGTTTTTTTTACATACAGCTGAGTTTTTGCTTACACATTTTTTCATTTCTTTTAATTCCTGTTCCAATCCCAGCATCCTTGCGGTGCGGTTTCCCAGCGGCTCTCTTGCCTTGCAGCTTGTGTCGGGAGTTGCAGACAGCCATGGCCCATGGGCCTGGCGCTGACGGACCCTGGAGCGGTGTCTGAGGGAGGTGGGCAAAGCCACTGGCTGGCCCGAGTGCATCCTCACGTAAGTGCACAGATCCCGGGCTCGGGTGCGACTGCGGTCGCACGTGGACACGGGTTGCAGACCCCTGGCAAATTGTGGAGCTGGGGGAAGGTAAGGGGAAATGTAAATCACTTTTCCCCACATTTCAGAGGACCTAGGCTATCAAAATTTTAAAAATTGTTAAAACTTTTACAGTATGGATCTCTCAGTTGAATGTTATTGAAATCAACCTAACCTCAGTTATTCACGCCTATAAGCTCCCCTTGAGGCTTATTACGGCCCCCATCCCCCTACACACAACTGTGTTGGTTTCTCCTTCCGCCTGTGCTCCTAAAGCACTCAGTGTTTACCTGCCATCATACTTTATTGAAAGCACAAACTTGTCACTTGTCTGTCTACCCCACTAAGCTTCTTGAGAATTAGAACTTTCATGTCTCTTCCCAACACAAACGTTTTATGTGTATTTTGTTGAAGAACTTCAAATATGACCTATAAAATTATGACTCATTTATGTTTCAAACTCCAACCTCTCCCTTGAGTTCCTTGCTCACAAGCAACTCCAGACTGAGCTTAGTTGGAATTCAGTAGCGCACAACTGGGATATCCGCACCGTACGGCTTTTAACAATTTTTTAAATTTTGGTCCTCTCAGCATCACAAATTCACCGTGTCCAAAATACAGTAGAATGTTGTTTCTACCCACCTACACTCTGCCATCCGCTGAAGTCCTTTCCCCTTGCTCCACCACTCAAGCCTTGCCTATCGCAGTAAATGGCAGTTCTGTCTCTCCAGTTGCTCGCACATAAAACTAGGCTGCTATTTTGATGTCTTCACTTTTCTCTATTCTGTATCTAATTCCTTAGCAATCCTGTCAGTTCTACCTCCAAACTGTACTCAGCATATTCACTGCTCTAACTCCAGCTTAAATCACCATCATCCTTTGCCTGGAATGCTGCATCAACCTTCTAATCACTCTACTTTCCTCCTCCTCCTTCCTCCCTTTCTTCTTCCTTCGTATAAATCATCATTTCATCCTTCTGCTTAAAATCTTCTCACATTTTCTTATTACACTTAAAACGGCAAACTCTTACCCTTGAGCCCTGCAGAATTTGGCTCCCATCAGTCTCTCCGACTTCACCTTCTGCCTCCTTCACGCTATAGCCATGCTCACTTTTTTATTCCTCAGGCTTACCAAGCTCAATTGCATCTTAGAGAATTTGTTCTTGCTGTTTCTTCTGCCTGGAATACATGTTTCCCAATCTTTATAAGACTATACTTGTCTGTAAGTTTCACCTCAGATGTCACATCTAGGAGAGGTTTTCCTTGACCACTGTAAGCCAAAGCAAATGTTGATCATTGAGTGAATAAGGGAATGAATGAATGGAGTGGTATATAATGTAGCAGAGTAGAAAATTTAAGGCTAATTCTCTATACATCTCCAAGCAAATAGATTTGTAATGCTTTTCCTGCCAACAATCTATACAGCTGATTCACAAATACTTGGTTGACAGGTTTTATATATCATTGTGGCTCATCAGCTTATATATTGTTGGGGCCAGAATCTATACTTACACTTTATTCAAATTTGATTTTACAGAAGAGTTGAGGTTTTTATTTTTCTTTTAATTAAGAGGGCTGTGAAATTATTATCTATAATTCTAAATCTCATTTAATTCCTCCCAATAGGTTTCAAGCTGGATTGGAACCAAAGTTCACTTCTTTAACGAAAGTGCTTTATGACTTTAATAAAACAGTAGAGAATGGTAGAATCCATGGCAGCTCTTTACAAAAACTTGTGATAGAAAGTTTTGATGATGAGCAGACTTTGCAACAACTGGAATTGCAAAATGAAGCAATTTTACAGTGCTTCCAGAATGCGGTTAGTGAAAGAAAGATGAAGATATCAGTCTTCTCCCAGAGAGTGAAGAACAGGAGCATGAAGAGGCTGGTTCAGAAACAGAGGCTGATGGCCAGGAGGACTTAGAAGATTTAGAGGAGGAGGAGGACGTGTCAGATATGGGTGGTGACAATCCTGAAATGGGTGAGAGAGCTAAAAACTCAAGCAAATTCAGGGCCAGGCGCGGTGGCTCACGCCTGTAATCCCAGCACTTTGGGAGGCCGAGGCAGGCGGATCACGAGGTCAGGAGATCGAGACCATCCTGGCTAACAAGGTGAAACCCCATCTCCACTAAACATACAAAAAATTAGCCAGGCGTGGTGGCAGGTGCCTGTAGTCCCAGCTACTCGGGAGGCTGAGGCAGGAGAATGCCATGAACCCGGGAGGTGGAGCTTGCAGTGAGCCTAGATCACGCCACTGCAGTCCAGCTGGGCGGCAGAGTGAGAGACTGCATCTCAAAAACAAAAACAACAATTACTTAACTTTAGGATGCTCCAATAATCAAAATTGATAGTGGCTTGTGAACAGATAGATTACTTGAATAGAATAGAGCCCAGAAATAAACCCAAATGCTTCTGGGGGAGTTTGGTACATTATAAACATGACATTTTAAATCAATGAGGAAAAGAAATCATTTGCAGCTCACCCCACCATACACAGCAGGAATAGGAAGTCATTGGCAGAATAAAAAGATGGTAAGAACAGAACAGAATTGTAGAACAGTACATTTCTCGCTTCCCCACTTTTCAAAGTATTTTTTGCTTTTTCACAAATGTAAGTGTAATTTTATTTTCTAAATGTATACTAATTCTTTTCTTCTCTTTCTTAGATGAATGACAAAAATTACATCTTTAGAAAAAGAGTTGTTAGAAAAAAGCCTTGGCTGCATGTGGGGGAAGTGACAGCACAGAAGAGACCAGAGAAGAGCCTCCTGGAGGAGAGCCTGCACTTTGACCATGCTGTCCGGATGGGTGCAGTGCTCTTTTCTGCAAAGTGTTCACTTCTCTGCTTTTTCTGTGGTCCCATTTCATAGAAAGATTTGGGGTGATGTTTCTTTCCCTCAACTTTTATTTTGAAAACTTGCAAACACAGAAAAGTTGATAAAATCATACAGTGAACATCTGTATGCTATTCAACTGGATTCACTAGTTAATGTTTTGTCACACTTGTTTTCTGTCTTCTGCGTATGGAAGATTGTATATGTGCCCTTTTTCCCCCTGAATCATTTCAAAGTAAGTTGGCAGTATCAGAGCATTTCACTGTTAAGTACTTTCGCAGATATCTTCTAGGAACCAGGACTTCTCCTATATAATCACAATACCATTAATCCACCCCCAAAATTTAACATCAATACACTAATGATACCTACTGTATAGATTATAATCAGCTTCCTTGCAGCAATCTGTTTAGAAGGCTTGCATCCTGTCACTGTCCACTGATTAAATTTTGAACTCTAACTTGAAACCCTGGTCATCTCATTGCCTTCTTTCTTATACCCATTAAGTCAAAAGGAGCTCTCATTTTATTTCAACAGAAAAGAGAATGGAAAAGAGGGGAAGAGTCCCTAGTACCTTGGATAAAGTATGAGCACTTACTACCATATGTATTCTAGTTCTGTAGTTTTCAAACTTCAGGGAGCATCTCAAGGCTTATTAAAGCACAGATAGCTGTCCTTCCCCACTTTCTGATTCAGGAGGTGTGGGGCTGGCCCAGGAATTTGCATGTCTAACAAGTTCCCACGTGTTTCTGATGCTGAGGGTGTAAGGACTACAATGCGTGAATCCGTGGTTTAGTGGATCCACCTAATGAATACATGTTGTATTTCCTTTGGCACCCGTGATTACAGAGGAAACACCTTTCAACTGGAAGGTATCATTAAACAGAGGATAAGAGATCAGGTCAGTAAGAATTAAATTTCACTTAATTGAAATGTCACTCAAATGTTTAGAAATAATATGACAGGCCAGGCACAGTGGCTCATGCCTGTAATCCCAGCACTTTGGGAGGCCAAGGCAGACGGATCACTTGAGGTCAGGAGTTCGAGACCAGCCTGTCCAAGATGGTAAAACTTCCTCTCTACTAAAAATACAAAAATTAGCTGGGCATGGTGGTGCATGCCTATAGTCCCAGGTACTCGGGAGGCTGAGGCAGGGGAATCGCTTGATCTCGGGATATGGAGGTTGCAGTGAGCTGAGATGCGCCACCGCACTCCAGCCTGGGCAACAGAGTGAGACTCCATCTCAACATAAAT
Source organism: Homo sapiens (assembly GCF_000001405.40). Lineage (NCBI taxonomy): Eukaryota > Metazoa > Chordata > Mammalia > Primates > Hominidae > Homo > Homo sapiens. The sequence continues at coordinate 240,716 of NT_187603.1, read as the reverse complement.
AAATAAATAAATAAATAAATAAATAAATAAATAAATAAGATAAAAATAAAAATAAAGGGAAGATGGGGCAGCTTTGTGTATTGCATGTCCTGAAAATGGGCTGATTTCTCTCAAGAGGCAGGGATTTAAGCTCTGTAGCCTATGTGGGATACATACAGGAGAAAAAAGAAGAAAAAGAAAAGAAATGTAAATATAAATAAATGAAAATAACACTTTTCCATGATTATAAAGGAAATCACATTGTTTTTGTAATAATTTGGATGACAAAATGTAAAGAAAAATCTTTAATTTTGCCACTCAAAACATTCCGGTTTGTTGCTTTTCACACTTTTTATGCTGTAAACATTTTAAAAAGTAGAATCACAATACATGGTCTTTTGTCACTTACTATATTTTAAGCATGTTTCTATGGAGAAATATACCCTGGCATCATCACTGGATGTATGTTAAGTGAGTCATTGCCACCCCAGAGGTGGATTTCCTTCTATATATATTTTAATGGACTCGAGTCAGGATTTTTGCACTGAATTCATAGAAGTAGAATTTCTAGAGGAAAGTAATATAAAACAGTTTTAGGATTTTTAAAAGAAATGTTCAAATCATCCTACAGGAAAATTGGTTGAGTTTATGCTCCCACCAACAGGGACAGAGCTCCAGGTTCCCCCTTCCATTTGTCATCTTCGCTGGTCTTTAAGCAGAAAATCTCATTGTTTTCATTACCTTTCTTTGATTTCTAGTGCTTTTGAATCTTTTTCATTTGCTCATTGGCCATTTTTATTCTTGTGGGAAGTGCTGGTTTCTCCATTGCCCATTTTCTGCTGCAAATCATTCATTTTTTTTTCTGAGTAATTTTAAAGATTTCTTTATAGGCTAAGGCTACAAACCTTTAATCTGTCATTGAGGTTACAAAGATCTTCTCCCAGTAAGTAATTTGTCACTTCACTTTATTTATTTATTTTTTGCTAGCAAAGCACCAAAGTCAAATTTCACTTAATTTTTATCCTGCTGAATGAACACATTTTAAGTTAGTGATTTTAGTGGAAACAGGAGCAGGACAGAATGTAATAATTAGATCTCGCTCTGTCACCCCAACTGGAGTGCAGTGGCATGATCATAGCTACTGCAGCCTCAAACTTCTGGGCTCAAGTGATTTTCCCACCTCAGCCTCCCAAGTAGCTCTAGGACTACAGGTGTGTGCCGCCAAGCCCAGCTAATTTTTAAATTTTCTTTGTAGAGATATGAATTCGCTATGCTGCCCAGGCTGGTCTTTAACTCCTGACTTACCCCACCTTAGCTTGCCAATATGCTGGGAGTACGGGCGTGAACTACTGCTCCCGGCCAAGAGCTTACTTTGGTTTGCTAGCAAGGTTCTTGGTATCTTTTTATATTTGAGGCTTTCGTGCTAGTGCTGAAGTATTACACTCACCATCTGAGGTTTACAGGACTTTTGTTTTAATATTGAACCGAGGGAACTGTTTAGTTTTGCATCTTTGCAGGTATACAAAATGTGCCTACCAGGACTCTGCTTTATATCCATTGAAAAGCAAGAAGTAATACAGTAAAAGTTTGCCTGGCTACAGGCTTTGGAAGAATGGAGTATTCTGGTTTAATTCTATTAACTTGGAAGGATGAAGGTGGAAAAAATTCAAAACTTTAATTTCCTGTTGAATGCAATTTGAAAATATAGCCAATGAGTCCACTTTTCTTCTCTAGTAAGTTTGGACATTCAGATCTACTTGGTCTTTTATCATAGAACTCCTAGTGCGCCTGAGTCTTACGTTGTGAAAATCCTTTTCTAAAACTTTAGATGTAAGAGGATAGAAATGATATTGGATGAGATCAGGCTGGATGAGAACTGATACCTGTAGATATATTTTTTAGATGAAATCTCTGATTGCCACACGTTTTCTTATTGAACTCATAAAAATAAAACACACTGGCTGGAGGGTGGAAGTAGGAAGGAGATTTATGTCTTTTAATTGCATGTCATTGTTTCATATTGAGACAGAACATATAGTATCCCTGGCTTTGGACCTACAGAAGGAAACACATTTTTCTACCTGCTGTATGGCAGAGGTTCCTGAGCACCTGGAGGGATTATTGCAGCACGGATTGCTGGGCCCTACTGCAGAGTTTCTGATTCATTCGTGTCTAGGGTGGGGCCTGAGAATTTACATTTATAAGAAGTTCCCAGGTGCTCCTGGTCCGGAGACTACATGTTTGAGAGCCACCCTTACATACTAACTGTAAATTGTAGAACTCTAGAAAAAAGCGTAGTTTGGACTGGGAGAAGAAGCACACAGGTAATGGAGCAAATCATGAAAAAGTCAACCCTTGATCCCAGGTAACAAGCAATACACAGTGACATAACACAATTCTTGGTTTTCATGATTGCAAGTCATAGCCAAGTATCGAGTGAGAAATTCAGTTTCATTTTCAGGGCTTAGAGGCCAGGTGATTCTAGAAAAATCGGATTTAGTGATTAACTCATGAGAGTAGGAGTTATTTATGTCCTTTTTCTCTCCCCCATCACTTAGCATTTAGCCTTACTTTAGAAGGGTCCTGTATTTGCTTTAACCTTGTAAAGAACTTTGAGTGCTTATTAAATGGAAAGCCTTGTGTGTGTGTGTGTGTGTGTGTGTGTGTGTGTCTGTGCGTGTGTGTGTGTGTGTGTGTATTTAGAGACAGAGTCACATTCTGTAGCAGCCCAGGCTGAAGTGCAGTGGCATGATTTTGGCTCACTGCAACCTCTGCCTCACAGGTTCAAGGGATTCTCCTGCCTCAGCCTCCCAAGTAGCTAGGATTACAGGCACCTGCCACCATGCCCAGCTACTTTTGTATTTTTAGTAGAGACAGGATTTCATCATGTTGGCCAGGCTGGTCTTGAACTCCTGAATTCGGGTGATCCACCCGCCCCAGCCTCCCAAAGTGCTGGGATTACAGGCATGAGCCATCACGCCTGGCTCAAAGCTTTGTATTTTTAAAGATATTAGACATGTTTCTTGTTTGTTTGTTTTTTTTAAAAAAACTAAACGCTAATGTAGGAGAATAAGAGAAAGTTTTTCCAAAAAAGAGAAAACATTGTGATTATCTTATTGGAATGTTGGATAATAAAGTCTGCTTTATCAATCATCAAGCACACTATAAAATTTCCATTTTAATAGGACTTGTACCTCAATTGAGGTAATAAAGTTTTAAAGTTTTTAAAGTGAAAGCCAGCCCCGCCCCTCTCCTGGAGTGGGCGGGGACAGCGGTTGCATAGGCAGCTTTCCTTGTGACAACACAGGTCCTTGATGACACGCTGCTGTCTGGCCACACCTCCTTTTCCTTTCATCTTTCTCATTGACCAATGGGCTTCAAGCATGAAGGCCACACCCCTATTCTGCATTCTAGTGCAGCCCTGGTTACGCCTCCTCTGGCTCAGTCACACAGCGACGTAGAGGTGACTGGAGGTATATACTTGTCCTCACCTGGATCATGCTGATGTGGCCCCAACCCCACCTCCCTACCCATCCCCACCTCCCTACCCATCCCCACCTCCCTACCCATCCCCACCTCCCTACCCATCCCCACCTCCCTACCCATCCCCACCTCCCTACCCATCCCCACCTCCCTACCCATCCTATGATGTCCAAAGAAACCAGACAGAGCAAATTGGCCGAGGCCAAGGAACAGGTAAACGCACCAACACCCCAACCCAACCCGAGGCCCCCTCTGACAGCCGAACTGCTGCCAGAGTCTGTGCCACTCCTGAGGGACACCAGGCTGGGCCCCCCACCCCAGTGCCTCTGGGCTCCCCACACCAAAATCTTGTCAGCCAGCCCAACCCCCTCATAAGTCCTGCCCCTGCTCTGCCCGGCACACCAGGGTGACTTTGAGCAGGTGACTCCTGGGGCTTCCAACTCCATACTCCGCCCTTACCTCCTGCTACCCCAAACCCGACCTCCCTGGGCTCCTTGAGCTCACATCTCCAAGGACCTGGGTGCCCCAGAACCTGCCCTCACCAGTTGCCACAGGGTGACTTTGGGGATGTGACTCCTGGAGCTCCTTGCTCCTTAATTGGCCCTCACCTCCTGCCGCCCCAAGCCTGACCTCCCGGGGCTCTTTGGGGTCACGTCTCCAAGGACCTGGCTCCCAATTTTGTGACCCCCTCCCCAGTCTCAAAGCGGCAACTTGGGCATTGCACTCATGTGTCCCCCCCAACCACTCCACCGAGGAGTAGAATGTAGTGATGTCACAGTCCCGCTACAAACTGTCATTACTACCACAAGACCGGCCTTTGGTCTTAGGACCCAGTCCCCTAAGTGTTCTTGCCCACTTCTGTTTCCTCTGGTTGCAGCACAGGTTTCCAGCTGGAAGGGGAATGGGGACTGTGGGACCTAGAAGAGAGAGGTTTCAGGCTGCCTGACTTCCTTACCACAGACCTTGACAGTGTGAAAAGCCTACACCTCCCCCATGAGCTCAACACGTTGACAGTGTCTCTGGGTGGCAATGGGAGAACGGGTTTGGTTTGGTTTTCTCCCAGGCTTCTACTCTCCAGAGAGATTTTAACATTTTTTCTCAGTTCTGCACCTCAGATTTGAATTCTCCATTGTTCTGGGACCAGAGTGCCCCTCAGTCACTGGTTCTGGAGTGAGATCTGCTTATCTTCTGTGGAACAGATCTTGGGAAACTGAACTTAGCTTGAGTCTTCCTCATCTCATCTCAACCTGGGGTACTTTGAGTGCCACAGGATAAATATGGGGCATCTTTCTGAAGCATCAGTTTCCCTTGATTCTATTGAGAGGCAAAACATTAATGTACTTAGGGATGAAAGTCACGTAGATTTATAAGCGTATACAAGACTTCTCTCTGAAATGAGGCTTGGGTTGTCCTCTTTCTGTTAAATTCCCAGATTTAGCAGAAAGGCTGCCTTCTGCCATGAGGAGACATTGATGTAAAGGTTTGAGAGGTACTGGTGTACTTTTTAACACTAACAGACGTGTGAGGGTGAATAACCCTAAACCACATAGTGCACAGTTCCTGCCTACTTAATATTTGCTTTTCTACCTCTGCCTCTGGTTTTGGTCCCTGGCAGCTGCTGATTTAGGGCAAAATCCCAGAGCTCAGAGTCAGAAGACTGAGTTTAAGTTCCATTACTGCCTTTTTTTTCAGCCATGGTATCAATCTCTCTCAGTCACTAAGTGATTGTGACAACATTTCCTACAGTTGGTGGCATTAAATCAGATGGTCTATAAGAGTATTTAGTATAAACTGTAAAGCAGGATGTGACTGTAGGAGCTTGTAGTTCTCATGAGTATCACTGCTCTTCCTTTCCACAGTTGACAGACCATCATCCCCAGACCAACCCTAGTGTTGGTACAGCAGCAAGCGACACCAAAAAGAAGAAAATAAATAATGGCACTAACCCTGAGACAACCACTTCTGGTGGTTGCCACTCGCCTGAGGATGTGAGTCTTGGCTGGCCGGGCTCCTGGGGACAGAGGGCCCAAGGGGTGGTGGAGGGTAATTGTTAAGATTGTGGAAGAACTGCCAGGTACTGGCTAAGAATTCTGGGTTTGAATCCTACCCCTCCATCTGCTAGGGACATGATTTAGCGCAAATTGCTTGAGCTCTTTGGGCCTCTCTTTTCACATCCGTAAAATACGAGTGGTATTGTTTTCCTTACGTTTGTGAAGTTTAAATGAGATTTGTCATTGTGTTTTTATGTTAATCCCTCGTCCAGGACCTGCTGTAAACTCTCCTTCTTGGGCTTGCGTTTCCTGAGGTAGAGTTAGAGAGTATCAGAGGTTTCTGTTAGCTCTGAGAGCCCGAGAGTTAAAGGCCCACTAGAATGGAAACCTCGGGGCCAAGGGCTCCTGTCTGCCTTTTCTGACCTCTATTCCCGCTGTGAAGAACCGTCCCTGGCCCGTATGTGCTCAACGTTTGCTGAGTGAATGCACCTTTCTAAATCACAAGCTGGCGGAAGGGTGGGCTTTTCTCGCACTCCACCTCTGAAGGTTTCTGTTACTGTCTTTTCAAGAGAATCTAGTTTCAGACTTTGAGTTCTGTGGCTGTGGGCAAAAACCAAAAAGACCCAAATCCTTCTTCTTTGGGAGTTGAGGAGAGTTGACCAGTTCATGTTCCCATTGGGTCTGAGAACTGTGCCTTTTAAATCCATTCCTGGCCCCTGCCTATCGCTTCCTGGCCTGGGGAATAGAGTCAAGGGGGCCACCCTCAGTCACCTTCCTTTGACTCTCCCCACAGAAACAATAGAACCGAGCTCAGCTGGAAGAAGTAGTGTGATTTCTTTGCTCACGACATGACCGCTGGGTTTGGGGGCACTCAGATGTAGAGGCCCCAGCCTCATCTCACCCACTCCCAGCCTGGGGAAGAAGGCTCACCCCCAAGATTCCACCCCATCCCCACAGGGTCCCTGATAAACTGGTCCCATGGGTGGGCCTGTTCTGGGGCAGTGGTGCCATTCTGGGGGCATGTCTCTTGCTGTGGATCTCTGCCTCCCCCTAGTAAGAGCTCTGTTTTCCTCTTTCTATAGGAACAGAAGGCAAGCCACCAACATCAGGAAGCCCTAAGGAGGGAGCTAGAGGTGAGTGGAGGGTGTGAAGTTCCCTCCTGCCCTCTGGAGAATGTTTCTTTGCTTCTCTTTCAGCATTTGCTTGTCTTTTCTCCCAAAGGCCCAGGTTCATACCATACGAATCCTTACATGTCAGAAAACTGAGCTTCAGATGGCACTCTACTACAGCCAGCATGCTGTCAAGCAGTTGGAAGGTGGGAATCTGGCACCCCATCATCCTTCAACCTGGCACTTTGACAGGCCTTTAGGGGGAGTCCTTTGGGCCACATCTGAATGTCTCTCATTCCAGGAGAGGCCAGGGATCTGATCAGCCGCCTGCATGATTCATGGAAGTTTGCAGGAGAGTTAGAGCAGGCTCTCTCTGCTGTCGCTACACAGAAGAAGAAGGCGGATAGGGTGAGTCCAAACACGGCCCCGTCCCTTGGGAGCCCAGCTTCGCAGATGGAGGAGTGAGCCTAAAGGTCCCTTCTGTAGGATGGAGTGTCCTGCCCAGAAGGCAGCATGGCCATTTCTTGCTGCTTTTGTGTGTGGTTGTTAGAGGCAGACTGGGGCTGAGTCGGCTGTTGTGGGTGAGTTGGGGAGCACTGTGAGGAGCGAGCACTGGACATAGAGCTCAGAGGCCAAGTGCCCGCCCTGCCCATATTTGGCTGTGGCCTTGGCCAAGTCCTAAGTGGCGGTTAGGGTACTTGTACCATAAAGGTACAGAAGAGTATCTTGAGTATGTTATTATTTGTGTGGAGAGAGGGGGCAGGTGTATATGTGTGTGTGTGTACGTATTATGGTAACATACATAAAACACGTTTGTAAGGATTCATTAAAAAACTCAGGATAGAGGCACAGTGTTGGGGGGAGATATTTCCCTTCTGGACTTTCTGAGTTTTGGACTATGCGAACGTATCATCCTTTCAAAAATTCAACAAAGGATTAATTTCCTCCTTCTTAACTGTGCCCCTACCTCCAGCGGAAGAATGGGCTTAGAGAATCAGATATACCTGGGTGTTGAAATCCCAGCTCCAAGTGATCTTAGGCAGCACTTAACCTTTAATACCGCATGTTTTTCATCTACACAATAGAGGTAATAATGGTAACCGTCTCCTATGGAGGTTGTGAGGATTAAATGGGATTGTTAGCATAGTGCCTGGTGAAGCACTCAAGAAAGGTTCGAACAATGGTAGTACTAACAGTAATAACAATAACAATATTATCTGATCGCTCTGGGCCCCTGTTAGCCAGCTCTAAATTCAATCTCTTTCCCTGTCCCTTCCACATCCACTGAGTTCTTTGAAAAACAAATGAGGGCCAGGTGCTCTCGCTCACGCCTGTAATGCCAGCACTTTGGGAGGCTGAGGTGGGCGGATCACCTGCGGTCAGGAGTTCAAGACTAGACTGACCAACACGAAGAAACCCCGTCTCTACTAAAAATACAAAATTAGCCCGGTGTGGTGGCACATGCCTGTAATCCCAACTACTCGGGAAGCTGAGGCAGGAGAATTGCTTGAACCCAGGAGGTGTAGGTTGTGGTGAGCTGAGATTGTGCCATTGCACTCCAGTGAGGGCAACAAGAATGAAACTCTGCCAAAAAAAAAAAAAAAAAGAAAGAAAGAAAGAAAGAAAAACAAATGAGACCATGGGCTTGGAAATGCCTTGAGAACACGTCAGGTGTGATTGAGAGTGAGGAAGTGTTACTGTGGAGTAGTCACTGTAGCAGTTGTTCCTGGTCGTCCAGCTACTGCTGTGCCTGCTCTATCCTGACTTAACCTTTCTCTATTTGCAGTACATTGAGGAGTTAACAAAGGAGAGGGACGCCCTGAGTCTGGAACTGTACAGGAACACGTAGGATGGGGGAAGGTGGAATGGGAGGTCTGGGGGCCCTTAGCATGGGTGGTGTGCTGGGAGGTGGGGGGTCCAGGTGAGTGTGGGGAGAGGCTCATACATGTTTTCATGTGTGCACACGGAAGCTCTAGTGCTGGCTGTGCCACTGACTCATGGGGTAGCCTCAGGCAACTCATGTCTTCTCTCTGGCCTGCCACCTGGGACTTTTAATTCCTGGGGTCCCTTCCAGCGCCACGGTTCTGTGGTTGTGGGGCGAGGGTAGGGGGTCAATCACCAAAGTGGTCTTTTATGTTCTTCATTCATTCCTTTCTCTACTGCCTCTGGCCATAGCATAACTGATGAGGAGCTGAAGGAGAAAAATGCCAAACTACAAGAAAAACTTCAACTTGTAGAATCTGAAAAGTCTGAGATCCAGCTCAACGTAAAGGAGCTAAAAAGGAAACTGGAGAGGGCCAAGCTCCTGCTGCCACAGGTGAGCAGCTGCAGCCCCGGGGGTTGTGGGAGACCCATCCAGCTGGGACCATGGTCTAGGGATCATGCAGGGTATGGGGAGGCTCCAGCCAAGAGCTGGAAAATTTGGGTCCTTGTTCTGGTCCCGCCATAGAATCCTCTAGAGTGTACTAAAAATGTACAAATTGGGGCCCTGCCTGGGGAATCAGAATCTCAAGAGTTAGGGCTTAAAAATATTTTTTTAAAGGATCATGGATGAAAACCATTATTTTATAGATTACATTTATTTATTTATTTATTTATTTATTTATTTATTTATTTGAGAAGTAGTCTCACTCTGTCACCCAGGCCAGAGTGCAGTGGCGCAATCTCGGCTCACTGCAAGCTCCACCCCCCGGCTTCACGCCATTCTCCTGCCTCAGCCTCCCAAGTAGCTGGGACTACAGGTGCCCACCACCACACCCGGCTAATTTTTTTGTATTTTTAGTAGAGACGGGGTTTCACTGTGTTAACCAGGATGGTCTCGATCTCCTGACCTCGTGATCCGCCCACCTCGGCCTCCCAAAGTGCTGGGATTACAGGCGTGAGCCACCGCTCCCAGCCTATAGATTACATTTATGTGGCTAGCTCATGATTCTGCTTCCTTCTGAGGTTCAAAAAAACACTTTCACTATTCCAGCAGCAGCTGCAGGCGGAGGCTGACCACCTGGGTAAGGAGCTGCAGAGTGTGTCAGCAAAGCTCCAAGCCCAGGTGGAAGAGAACGAGTTGTGGAACCGCCTGAACCAGCAACAGGAGGAGAAGATGTGGAGGCAGGAGGAGAAGATACAGGAGTGGGAGGAGAAGATACAGGAGCAGGAGGAGAAGATACGGGAGCAGGAGGAGAAGATACGGGAGCAGGAGGAGAAGATGCGGAGGCAGGAGGAGATGATGTGGGAGAAGGAGGAGAAGATGCGGAGGCAGGAGGAGATGATGTGGGAGAAGGAGGAGAAGATGCGGAGGCTGGAGGAGATGATGTGGGAGAAGGAGGAGAAGATACGGGAGCTGGAAGAGAAGATGCACGAGCAGGAGAAGATACGGGAGCAGGAAGAGAAGAGGCAGGAGGAGGAGAAGATACGCGAGCAGGAGAAGAGGCAGGAGCAGGAGGCGAAGATGTGGAGGCAGGAGGAGAAGATACGGGAGCAGGAAGAGAAGATACGGGAGCAGGAGAAAAAGATGTGGAGGCAGGAGGAGAAGATTCACGAGCAGGAGAAGATACGGGAGGAGGAGAAGAGGCAGGAGCAGGAGGAGATGTGGAGGCAGGAGGAGAAGATAAGGGAGCAGGAGGAGATATGGAGGCAAAAGGAGAAGATGCACGAGCAGGAGAAGATACGGAAGCAGGAGGAGAAGGTGTGGAGGCAGGAGGAGAAGATGCACGACCAGGAGGAGAAGATACGGGAGCAGGAGGAGAAGATGTGGAGGCAGGAGGAGAAGATAAGGGAGCAGGAGGAGAAGATACGGGAGCAGGAGGAGAAGATACGAGAGCAGGAGGAGATGATGCAGGAACAGGAAGAGAAGATGGGGGAGCAGGAAGAGAAGATGCAAGAACAGGAGAAGATGCGGAGGCAGGAGGAGAAGATAAGGGAGCAGGAGGAGAAGATACGGGAGCAGAAGGAGAAGATACGAGAGCAGGAGGAGAAGATATGGGAGCAGGAGGAGAAGATACGAGAGCAGGAGGAGATGATGCAGGAACAGGAAGAGAAGATGTGGGAGCAGGAGGAGAAGATGTGTGAGCAGGAAGAGAAGATGCAAGAACAGGAGGAGAAGATGCGGAGGCAGGAGGAGAAGATGTGGGAGCAGGAAGTGAGGCTGCGGCAGCAGGAGGAGAAGATGCAGGAACACCAGGTGAGGCTGCAGGAGCTGGAGGAGAGGCTGGGGAAGCTGGGGCAGAAGGCCGAGCTCTTGGGGGGAGCAGGCGGAGGTGTGTGCAAACCCTGGAGATCATACAGAACGACCTCACCACAACTTAGCAGATGGTGGTTGGCTCCCTCTGCTTTTCCACCAGTCTGTGGCCTACAGTTTAAATGGTGGGAAGAAGGGTGTGAGATTTGAGGCTGGGGAGGGAGGCATGGGCCTCTAGGCAAGGGAGGCAGTCATTTAGGCCTGGAGGAAGGGGCCAGGGCCAGGGGCCTGGGTAGGCGACAGAGCCCCGCAGTGCCCTCACTACCCTGTTTATGGGCCCAGAATCTGGAAGCCAGCCACTACCTACCCTGACGCCTATCCTGCAGGTGGAGCTGAAGAGCCAAGAGGCTGAGTCTGCAGCAGCAGCGAGACCATTACCTGGGTCACCTGCAGCAGTACGTGGCCGCCTATCAGCAGCTGGCCTCTGAGAAGGAGGCACTGCCCAGCTGCAGCAGCAGGAAGCTCAGGGCGAAGCGGTGGCCGAGATGGCCCACCAATAGTTGCAGGAGACCCGGTTGAGGGAGTTGATGAGGGCGGGGCCCCAAGGGGGATGATCTGGCAACCTCCGTGCCTTCTCACTCTCTTTCCTGGCCCCTTAGGAGCACCTGGAAGCTGCCATCTAATGAGCACATGACAAGAAGGCAAAGACAATAAACATGTAAAAGCCGGCAGCAAGGCCTGGAGAAGAGTAAGCCGCCATGTGACTGTTTAGAATATAGTCTGAGCACAAACCTGAAAAAAAAATTTTATTTATTTTAAATTGTGGCAAAATACTGGCCAGGCATGGTAGCTCACGCCTGTAATCCTAGCAATTTGGGAGGCCGAGGTAAATGGATGACCTGAGGTCAAGAGTTCAAGACCAGCCTGGCCAATACAAAAATTAGCCGGGCATGGTGGCGCATGCCTGTAATCCCAGCTACTTGGGAGGCTGAGGCAGGAGAATCGCTTGAACCTGGGAGGCAGAGGTTGCAGTGAGCTGAGATCGTGCCACTGCACTCAAGCCTGGGTGACAGAGCGAAACTCCGTCTCAAAAAAAAAAGTTTCTTCCTTACATGTATGTTTCTATTAGTTTTCTTCTTGGTCTTTCTCATTTAGTCTTGTGTTGTCTTTTGACATTCATAGTAAACTTTTATCTGCCTCCAGAGAGTATTGACTTTGAGTTTATGGCACACAATTGGAGTAAGGGCAGATCGCCTTCATCTACTTTGGGACTAAGCTGGTTCAAAGCAGGTTTTAGGTTTTCTGATGGCTGGTCTATGTTTTATTCATTTGGACTCCCAGGGGTGGCCCTTCCAGGGTCCCCACCAAGGTCCCATCTCCTTCCTGGGACCCAAATTCTCATTAGGTCATTTCAGCCCTGTGAGAGTGCCAAACATTCAGCTAGGCTCTCCAGCCTCTTAACTACCACTTCATACTCAGTTTCTTAGCCTCTTAGCCCTCTACTGTTGACCAATCACCAAATGTGGGAAAGCACTACAGACTGTCAGGATCACCTCCTAGGCCTGGTCACTCAAGTCCTGACTGAGGTCTCCAATTACCTTCCAACAATTGTTTTTGATTGGGGGCGGGGCACATTTTTATCCAGTTTTTCTAACTGCTCTTGTGGGGAGGCGAATCTGTAACAAGCTCCTCTGCCTTTACTGAAAGTTGAAAACCTTCATCTGTCCTTTTTTTGTTGTTGTTGAGATGGAGTCTTGCGCTGTTGCCCAGGCTCTAGTGCAATGGCACGATCTCTGCTCACTGTAACCTCTGCCTCCTGGGTTCAAGCAATTCTCCTGCCTCAGCTTCCCGCGTAGCGTGTGCCACCATGCCTGGCTAATTTTTTTTTATACCTTTAATAGAGGCAGGATGTCACCATGTTTTCCAGGCTGGTCTCGAGCTCCTGACTCAGGTGATCTACCTGCCTCAGCCTCCCAAAGTGCTGGGATTACAAGTATGAGCCACTGCATCCGGCCCATCTGTCTTTTAAAACATGTTTTTAATTGGAGGTATAATTTCTATTAGTGAAATGCACAGGTCTGGTTTACATTTTGATGAGTTTTAACTCATTTAACATTACTATGGAACCCACCTCCTTTGAAGATACAGAGTATTTCTATCATCCAGAAAGTTCTCCTGTGCTTTCATGCTGTCCCGCACTCCCCCAGCAGCTGATGAACATGCTGAGGACATTGGTACTGGATTCTGGCCGCCCCAAAAGAGCCGCTTTGACCAGGCTTACCCAGCACTAAATCCCTGCCTGCTCTCTCAAAATTTCCATCTTTAAACTGGTTGTACCTATAACCCTCCCTCATCAAGTCAATAGATAAACAAACCCTGAAAAATAAACAACTCTTCCTGGCCCAGCAGCCCACAGCCTAATATTTACTGTATTCCCAGGCTTTCAGAAATGTAACTCGCCTGCCGGTTCACCCTCACTAGGGCGGCAGCTGCACGGGAGCAGCTGGGCTCACCCATTAAGCAAGAAGCCAATAGCTGGACAGTGACACTCAGACCCCAGCCTGGGCGAGCCTGGCTGAAAGCCCCCTTCTTTCCATCCGACTGTGGAGAAAGGGGGCGGAGCACACACAACTCTACTGCCCTCCACATCCTTCACCTGTGCTTCCTCCTGGGAGAGGGAGCCGCTCCTTAATTTGGCCAAAGCCTTCTTGAGGGCTGTAGGTTTCACAGGCTGGGTGTGTGGGGGCCACCGTGCTAGAGACAGAGGCTGGTGTGTCAGAAGGCAGCCACCTGGCCAGAGGGGGGTCAACCCCCTTGGTGACCTCCTTCCCCCGGCTGGACACAGTGCCCTGCACTCTCTACATGTGACTGTTCCCCTCAGAGCTGCTTCCAGGGGAGGGGTTCTAATCCTGTGGGTGGGGACATTGTGTTACTTTACAGTGGGCCATGGCTCCCTCTGACATCTCCAACTCAGAGGCAGTAGAGAGAAGATGAGAAATTCCCTGCCCCTCCTCCCTCAGCACCCCCACCTCTGCACACGTCCACATGTGGAGACCCTGACAATGGGCCCTGGGAGTGCCGCCATCTGTGCCTGCTTTCCATGCCTGCAGCAGCCATGCCCACTCTCCAGACCCTCACCCGCCTGGGTCAGTAGACGCTTCACTGCCTGTGGTCCTGCGCCTACACCTGGGCCTCTGTACCCGTCAGTTCCCCCAGTCTGGTTCTTATTCCCTGCAAAGAGTAGGGAGCCTGTAAGGTCACCTGTTGAGCAAGCTGGGGGAGAAAAGTAGGGTGGGGATGGGAGGATCAGGATGAGAAGCTCATGGTCGTGCTGGAGACTCAGCTGAGCAGAGTCTCTGCAGGCCCATTGGCTGCCTAGCCAGTGGTGATCTCGCTCCCACCCTCATTTCTTCTTTGTTAACAAAACCATGACCTCATTAAATACTGGACACCTATAAACCTCATGGACCCTCCTCCAGCCTCCCCACCGTGTACCGGTGAGTCTAAGTCAACTCTAGTCATTTCATTCCTCTGGACATTGACTGCTTAGGGCTTGGGCATGAGCTGCCTCTTCACCTGAGCCTGAGCCACAGGTACCCTCTGCACCTACCACGCTGATGCACTGGGCCAGGGAGAGCGCCGTCTGGATGGAGATGAGCTGTGAGGAGCTGGTGGCTGGGCGGATCAGGTTGTTGTAACAGGTTTTGTTCAGAAGGTCGTCCATCAGTTTCTGCTCGGCATGGGCCATGCGGCAGTCCCCTGGGTAAACACACAGACATGCTGGGCCCTTGTGCAGCTGTCTCCCACTGCAGCTGACAGCTATGAAGCAGGAGCTGAGAGGGCCAGGGAGCACAGACACCCTGAGAGCTGGCTGAAGCAGTGAAGGGGCTGGCCGGCCTGGCTCTCCCTGGGGACTTCAAATGACATTCACGACAGAGCTCAGCTACCTCCTCCCCATGCCATACCTCTTCCTCCTCCTCCTCCCTCCGTCAATGAACAGCATCCCACGCTCTACACATCTGATACAAAACTGGGTGTCTCTTCCTGACTCCTCCCTTGGTTCACCCAAGTGGCCACCAAGTCCTGTCTGTCCTCCCATCTCCACGGCTACAGCCATGTCCCTGCCTCCCCTGCCCTGCCCACCTTCTATTCTCTCCACCTGCACTCTGCCCCTGCCATCCATGTGCCATACAGTGGCAGACTGATCTTTCTACAGCAAACTGGACGAGGGCCCTTCCCTACCCACAGCTCTCAGAGCTGGAGGTGGAGTTGAAGCTCATGTTTTGGCTTGGCATTCAGAGCTCTTTCCCCCTCAGCACTGGCTTATCCAGAGTGCTCACAGTGCAGGGCAGGAGCCTCGTGACTCAAATGTGGGTTTGGTGCAGAACTGGGTCTGAGGTGGTGCTTTCCCTGTGAAGAGACAGGGCCGACATGGGGGAATTTTCTGGGTTCAAAGTTAGACCTAGAGAGTGCAAAGTTTCTCTGAGGCACCAAATGGAGGGGTCCAGCTAGCAGCTGGCTCCTGGTCTGGAGCTTCAAGGAGAGGTCTCAGCTCAGAGCCACATTCAATAGCCAGCTTACATGTGGCCTCCTGCAGGGAGCCCCTGGAGCTTCCACAGCCTCCGTTCTGCCCCTCTGCATACCCCAGATCTCCTGCTAAGTGGCGTTTGGGTCTTCATGTCATCTCCCTCCCATGTCTGGGAGTAAAGGTGAGGTGCAGGGACTTGCGCTTGTGTACTCTGGTGTCTTAAGGGAGAGTGTGTCAAGTAGAGTGGAGGCGGCTTGGAAAGAGGGAGACTCAGAGGAGAGTGAAGGACACATGACCAGGCGAGCCTGGGAGCAGGAAAAGAGAGTGAGCAGAGGCAACTGCTGGGTCAGGGGAGCGGATGGGAGGATCAGGGAATGCGGGGGGGCTGGAGAGGTAGGGGTGGGGACGTTGGCGAGGGGCTGCCTGGCTCGCCAGGCTCAGGAGTCAGTTACATCCTCCCACAAGGGCCAGCTCACCTGGTCGCCCCAAAGACCTCCCTCTGTGGGTGGGATCAGAGGGCCAAGAGCACGGATAACCCAATTGAGCAGGACTGAGGCGGACTCAGGTGGGTGCTGGGCCGGACTCCTGGCTGTGGGGAGCAGCCGCCACCCTGCCTATTGCATCCACTTTCCAACTCGCTGCCTATCTGAGCAGATGCGATATTGGGCACCTTGTGAAACATGCTCCTGGTGCACCTGCTGCCTGCTGCCCCTCCTGCAGAGTGCCCGGGCTCTCCAGAGGGGATTCCTATGGAGGCTTGGCCTAGATTCTGAGTCCTGCCTCTCATACCTGGGGCTGCTACCCCAGAGGCCAGCTGCTTGAGTACCCCGGAAGCCAGCCTGTAGCCCCAGGCTACAGCTGGGTCCATCCCACAGCCCTTCTCTAATGTACCTATTTGGACTGGCTGCTCATTTCATAGAGAGGGGTGTGTCTTGCCCCAGACCATCTGGCATGTCTAAGGCAGCTGTGGGGTCAGAATCTGCAGCTCCCAGCCCTCAGCCCAGCAATAGTAGGAAAGGCTGGACCCCACATCTCTGAAGTCCCGCTGGGTTGGTGCGAGCGGGCTCCCGAGTACAGGGCTGCTCTGCAGGCTGTGGGGCTCATGCGCCAGCTCTGAGCCCACCTGATGTGCTCACGTTGCTCACCTTTGGGCCTGTCCGGCCTCTCAGGCATTCGGCTGACCCTGAGGGCCTCTCCCTCATCTTGACCACCAGCTACGGGCTCTGATTTCTCAGGGATCTAGAACTACAAATACCATTTGACCCAGCCATCCCATTACTGGGTATATACCCAAAGGATTATAAATCGTGCTGCTATAAAGACACATGCACACGTATGTTTATTGCGGCACTATTCACAATAGCAAAGACTTGGACCCAATCCAAATGTCCAACAATGATAGACTGGATTAAGAAAATGTGGCACACATACACCATGGAATACTATGCAGCCATAAAAAAGGATGAGTTCATGTCCTTTGTAGGGACATGGATGAAGCTGGAAACCACCATTCTCAGCAAACTATCGCAGGGAAAAAAAAAACAAACACCGCATGTTCTCTCTCATAGGTGGGAATTCAACAATGAGAACACATGGACACAGGAAGGGGAACATCACACACCGGGGACTGTTGTGGTGTTGGGGGAGGGGGGAGGGATAGCATTAGGAGATATACCCAATGCTAAATGACCCGTTAATGGGTGCAGCACACCAACATGGCACATGTATACATATGTAACAAACCTGCACGTTGTGCACATGTACCCTAAAACCTAAAGCATAATAATAAAAAATAAAAATATAATAAAAACAAAAGTCCTGTGAACCTCAGATGGTGAGTATAATACTTCAGCACTAGCACAAAAGCCTCAAATATAAAAAGATACCAAGAACACCACTAGCAAACAAAAGTAAGCTCTCAGTCACGAGCAGTAGTTCACACCTGTACTCCCAGCATATTGGCAAGCCAAGGTGGAGTAAGTTAGGAGTTCAAGACCAGCCTGGGCAGCATAGCGAATTCACAGCTCTACAAAAAAAAATTAAACATTAGCTGGGCATGGCGTCACACACCTGTAGTCCTAGCTACTTGGGAGACTGAGGTGGGAAAATCACTTGAGCCCAGAAGTTTGAGGCTGCAGTAGCTATGATCATGCCACTCCACTCCAGTTGGGGTGACAGAGCAAGATCTAGATATTACATTCTGTCCTGCTCCTCTTTCCAGTAAAATCATTAAGTTAAAATGTTTTCATTCAGCAACATAAAAATTAAGTGAAATGTGACTTTGGTGCTTGGCTAGCAAAATATAAATAAATAAAGCGAAATGACAAATTACTTATGAGGAGAAAGTCTTTGTAACCTCAATGACATTAAAGGTTTGTATCCTTAGCCTATAAAGAAAAATTTAAAATTACTCAGAAAAAAAAAATGAATGATTTCCAGCAGAAAATGGGCAGTAGAGAAACCGGCACTTCCCACAAGAATAAAAATAGCCAATGAGCATATGAAAAAGATTCAAAAGCACTAGAAATCAAAGAAATATAATGAAAACAATGAGATTTTCTGCTTAAAGACCAGCGAAGATGACAAATGGAAGGGGGAACCTGGAGCTCTGTCCCTGTTGGTGGGAGTATAAACTCAACCAATTTTCCTATAGGATGATTTGAACATTTCTTTTAAAAATCCTAAAACTGTTTTATATTACTTTCCTCTAGAAATTCTACTTGTATGAATTCAGTGCAAAAATCCTGACTCGAGTTCATTAAAATATATATAGAAGGAAATCCACCTCTGGGGTGGCAATGATTCACTTAACATACATCCAGCTATTGAAAGTGATGATGCCAGGATATATTTCTGCCATAGAAACATGCTTAAAATATAGTAAGTGACAAAAGACCATATATTATGATTCTACTTTTTAAAATGTTTATATGCATAAAAAGTGTAAAAAGCAACAAACCAAAATGTTTTCAGTGGCAAAATTAAAGATTTTTCTTTATATTTTGTCATCTAAATTATTACAAAAAGAGTGATTTCCTTTATAATCGGGGAGAAGTGTTATTTTCATTTATTTATATTTACATTTCTTTTCTTTTTCTTCTTTTTTCTACTCCATGTATTCCATGTAGGCTAGAGAGCTTAAATCCCTGCCTCTTGAGAGAAATCAGCCCATTTTCGGGACATGCAGTACACAAAGCTGCCCCATCTTCCCTTTATTTTTATTTTTATCTTATTTATTTATTTATTTATTTATTTATTTATTTATTTTGAGATGGAGTCTCACTCTGTTACCCAGGCTGGAGTGCAGTGGTGCATCTCAGCTCACTGCAACCTCCATCTCCCGAGATCAAGCGATTCCCCTGCCTCAGCCTCCCAAGTAGCTGGGACTATAGGCATGCACCACCATGCCCAGCTAATTTTTGTATTTTTAGTAGAGAGGAGGTTTTACCATCTTGGACAGCCTGGTCTTGAACTCCCGACCTCAAGTGATCCATCCGCCTTGGCCTCCCAAAGTGCTGGGATTACAGGCATGAGCCACCGTGCCAGGCCTATCATATTATTTCTAAAAATTTCAGTGACATTTCAATTAAGTGAAATTTAATTCTTACTGACCTGATCTCTTATCCTCTGCTTAATGATATCTTCCAGTTGAAAGGTGTTTCCTCTGTAATCACAGGTGCTAAAGGAAATACAACATGTATTCATTAGGTGGATATCCACTAAACCACGGATTCATGCATTGTAGTCCTTAGACCCTCAGCATCAGAAACACGTGGGAACTTGTTAGACATGCAAATTCCTGGGCCAGCCCCACACCTCCTGAATCAGAAAGTGGGGAAGAAGGACAACTATCTGTGCTTTAATAAGCCTTGAAATGCTCCCTGAAGTTTGAAAACTACAGAACTAGAATACATATGGTAGTAAGTGCTCATACTTTATCCAAGGTACCTACGGACTCTTCCCCTCTTTTCCATTCTGTTTTCCATTGAAATAAAATGAGAGCTCCTTTTGACTTAATGGGTATAAGAAAGAAGGCAATGAGATGACCAGGGTTTCAAGTTAGAGTTCAAAATTTAATCAGTGGACAGTGACAGGATGCAAGCCTTCTAAACAGATTCTGCAAGGAAGCTGATTATAATCTATACAGTAGGTATCATTAGTGTATTGATGTTAAATTTTTGGGGTGGATTAACGGTATTGTGATTATATAGGAGAATGTCCTGGTTCCTAGAAGATATCTGTGAAAGTACTTAACAGTGAAATGCCACGATACTGGTAACTTACTTTGAAATGATTCAGGGGGAAAAAGGGCACATATACAATCTTCCATATGCGGAGGAGAGAAAACAAGTATGACAAAACCTTAATTGGTGAATCCAGTTGAATAGCATACCGATGTTCACTGTATTATTTTATCAACTTTTCTGTGTTTGCAAGTTTTAAAATAAAAAGTTGAGGGAAAAGAAACATCACCCCAAATCTTTCTATGAAATGGAACCATAGAAAAAGCATAGAAATGAACACTCTGCAGAAGAGGGCACCGTACCCATCCGGACAGCATGGTCAAAGCGTAGGCTCTCCTCCAGGAGGCTCTTCTCTGGTCTCTTCTGTGCTGTCACTTCCCCTACATGCAGCCAAGGCTTTTTTCTAACAACTCTTTTTCTAAAGGTGTAATTTTTTTCATTCATCTAAGAAAGAGACAAAACAATTAGTATACATTTAGAAAATAAAATTACACTTATACTTGTGTAAAAGCAAAAAATACTTTGAAAAGTGGGGAAGGAAGAAACGTACTGTTCTATAATTCTGTTCTGTTCTTACCATCTTTTTATTCTGCCAATGACTTCCTATTCCTGCTGCGTATGGTAGGGTGAGCTGCAAATGATTTCTTTTCCTCATTGATTTAAAATGTCATGTTTATAATATACTAAACTCCCCCAGAAGCATTTGGGTTTATTTCTGGGCTCTATTCTATTCAAGTGATCTATCTGTTCAAGTGATCTATCTGTTCACAAGCCACTATCAATTTTGATTATTAGAGCATCGTAAAGTTAAGTTAAATAATAATAATTATTATTATTATTTTGAGATGGAGTCTCTCGCTCTGTTGCCCAGTCTGGAGTGCAGTGGCGTGGTCTCGGCTCACTGCAAGCTCCACCTCCTGGGTTCATGCCATTCTCCTGCCTCGGCCTCCCAAGTAGCTGGGACTACAGGAGCCCGCCACCATGCCCGGCTAATTTTTTGTATTTTTAGTAGAGACAGTGGTTTCACCATGTTAGCCAGGATGGTCTCAATCTCCTGACCTTGTCATCCATCCACCTTGGCCTCCCAAAGTGCTGGGATTACAGGCATGAGCCACTACACTCAGCCAAGTAATTATTTGATTAGGATATTAGTATTTGATGGAGACTGACCCTTTTGACTCTAAACTCAAATTCTTATTATCTCTAACTTCTAAAAGACAGCAATTATGACTTCAGTGTATAAAATGCCAGCTTTTTCAGCTACCTTACAGAATTCTCTTATTTTCCTATATCAATTCAGTTTATCCATTTGGTCTTCTCTCCAAACACTCATGTTTTTATTTTAGTATCCTTAATCCTTTTTTTTTTTTTGAGACAGAGTCTTGCTCTGTTGCCCAGGCTGGAGTACAGTTGGATGACCTCAGCTCATTGCAACCCCTCTGCCTCCCAGGCTCAAGCAGTCCTCTCACCTCAGACTCCCAAGTAGATGGGATCACAGGTGCATGTAACCACGCCCAGCTAATTTTGTATTTTTTGCAGAGATGAGGTCTCACCATGTTGCCCAGGCTGGTCTCAAACTCCTGAGCTCAAGTGCTGGGAGCTCCTGAACTCCCAAAGTGCTGGGATTACAGGTGTGAACCACTGCTCCCAGCAGTTTTCCTAATCTCTTATCTTTATCACACTATGACCACGTGAGATTACTCCAGGTATGCAAATGCTGTAGAATTTGAAAAACAATTAATGCAATGTATTATAGCAACAGCTACAAAAATCATAATGTCATATTAATTGATAGAGAAAAAGCATTTGACAAAATCCAATACCCATTCATGATGAAAGAAAAAAAAACTCTAAGAAAATTGGAGATAAAGAATAGGAATCAGAGTGACCTTCCTCCACTGATAAAGAACATCTACAAAAAATCTAGAGTTAACATTATCCTTAACATGGAAGCCTAAAAATGCTTTCCCTACAAGGCCAGAAACAAAGCAAGAACATCTGCTCTCACTGCTCTTATTCAACATAGTACTGGAAATTCTAGATACTAAAATAAGGCAATAAAAATAAAGGGCACACAAACAAGAGAGAAAAAAATACAACTGTCCACATTTACAGATGACATGATTGGCTATATAGAAAATCTCCTGGAACCTGCAAAAAAAACAAAAACAAAAACAAAAAACAACAACAAAAAAAAACACCTAGAATTGATAAGTGAGTTTAGTAAGGTTGTAGAAGATAAAATCAAGAAACACAAAAATCACATCAGTTAAATGTGGAAACTGAAATTAATGATGCAATACCATTTACAATTGCTCCCCTCCAAAAAGAAATACTAGGTATATACTTAACAAAACATTATGAAATTATAGAATGCTAATGAAAGAAGGTTTTTAAAAAAGCTAAATAAATGGAGGGAGACACCACGTTTAAGGATCAGTAGACCATACAGTAAATATATCAACTATCCCTGTACTGATGCATTAGTTTAATGCAAGCCCAGCAAGGTTTTGGAAAATATGAACAAGCTCATTCCAAAACTTATCTGGAAAAGCATATAGGTCCCAGAACAGCTAAAACAATCTTAACAAAGAAGAATAAAAGGAGAGGACTCACTCTGTCCAATATTAAGCCTTATTATGATCAAGTAGTCTTAATTACAGTAATCAACACAATGTTGTATTGATAAAGGGACAGACACACAGATCAATGGAAAAGTTTAGAGAACCCATAAGTAGCCCCACACATGTATGTCCAAATGATTTTTGACAAGACACAAAAGTAATTCAATGCAGGAAAGATAGCCTTCTCAACAAGTAACACCAGAGCAATTAAATATCCACAGGCAAAAACCAAAACCAAAAGAAAACCTCTAACTAAACCTTATATTTTATATGGAAATTAACTCAAAATGGATCACAAACTTAAATATAAACATATAACCATGGAATACTATGCAGCCATAAAAAATGATGAGTTCATGTCCTCTGTAGGGACATTGATGAAGCTGGAAACCATCATTCTCAGCAAACTATCGCAAGGACAAAAAACCAAACACCACATATTCTCACTCATAGGTAGGAATTCAACAATGAGAACACATGGACACAGGAAGGGGAACATCACACACCGGGGCCTGTTGTGGGGTGGGGGGAGGGGGGAGGGATAGCATTAGGAGATATACCTAATGTTAAATGACAAGTTAATGGGTGCAGCACACCAACATGGCACATGTATACATATGTAACAAACCTGCACGTTGTGCACATGTACCCTAAAACTTAAAGTATAATTTTTAAAAAAGTGTATAACCATAAAAAATATTTTTTAAAACAAGAGAGAAAATCTTTGGACTCTAGACAGGGTTCTTATACTTGACATCAAAAATACAAACCATCAAAGGAAAAACTGATAAAGTGAACCCATTAAAATTCAAAACTTTGGTTCTGTAAAATATCCTGTTAAGAAAAGATGACAAGCTACACACAGAGAGAAAAAATTTGCAAACCATATATCTGACAGTGGGCTCATGTCTAAAATATATAAAGAACTCTCAAAATTCCACTTTTGGCCAGTAGAAGCTCCTTCACATTGGCTCCTGCATTCTTTTTAACATGACCTTAGAAGTCTCTGATAACTTCCTTGCTTTCAGGAAAGACATGTCCCAGCCTCAATTTGTTCATTTCTGGCCTAAATGTAAAGCTGTGCCAGAGACTTGGAACCTATTTATACAACAGACCATGATTTGAGTAGAAAATGGTACTTAGAAATTAAAACTTGAATACTAGCTTCTTAGTGTTATAAACTGAATTCTGTTCCCCTCAAAATTCACATGTTGAAGCCCTAATCCTCAATGTGACTATATTTGAAGATAGGTATGTATTTGGAGATAGGGCTGTATTTGGAGATTTAAGGGGGTAATTAAGGCTAAATGAGGTCATATGGGGGATGTCTAATCCAGAAGACAGCCCTCTATGTAAGCCAAGAAGAAAGACCTCACCAGAAACCAAACCTGCCGGGACCTTGATCTTGGATCTGTAGCCGATGAACTGTGAGAAAATAAATTTATGTTGTTTAAGTTGCCTGATCTGTGGTACTCTCTTATGACAGCCCAAGCAAACTAATACACATAGATAAAACTATGAAATATATAATTTCCTTAAAAAGATGGAAAAATAAATGAGTTTATCCTAACACTTTTGAGTCAAATTAAAGAAGAGAGAATTTTACTTAATTATATTTTTCTAATTGTACATTTAATTTTACACTAATAATATTGGTTATTATTGGAGTTAGCATAATTATTAGTTTCTTCACCATATATATAGAGACCATATACATATAGATATATAGATATATATATAAACACACCAGAGAGACATATATATACCATAGAGGCCACATATATATATACACACACACACATACACCATATATAGAGAGAGCATATATATACACACACACACCATAGAGCATATATATATATATACATGAAATATATAATTTCCTTAAAAAGATAGAAAAATAAATGAGTTTATCCTAACACTTTTGAGTCAAATTAAAGATGAGAGAATTTTACTTAATTATATTTTTATAATTGTACATTTAATTTTACACTAATACTGGTTATTATTGGAATTAGCATGATTATTAGTTTTCTCACCATATATAGAGAGAGACCATATATATATATATAGATATATATACAAACACACCATAGAGACATATATATACCATACAGGCCACATATATATATATACACACACACATACACCATATATAGAGAGAGCATATATATACACACACACCATAGAGAGCATATATACACACACACACAGAAACACACACCATATATATATATATATATATATATATATATATATATATATATATATATATAAAATAGTTTCAAATGGCAATACATATATTAACACTGACAACCAGAACACTGAATGCAGTTTAAGGTTTCTTAATGGGATTAAAATATATTATATTATGATTAAGATATATTATGATAGAAATATTCTGCCATAATACTGTAATTTAAAAGCATTCGCTTTAAACATCTCTTCTCTGGGGAATCATACCACAAACTTGACACACAGATTGCTTTCAATTTTTAAAGACCACTTTATTTTTATCATTTTTATTTTTAACATTATATAAAACATTTGCCTGGTTCTTAAGTCTAGACCATAAAGCAGGTACATTCAGAGAAGCATAGCTCATTCCTGGCCCTGCACCTTCCTTATTCTGTTTCTAATCCTGTAAACTATCACTCTTTTTAATTTATTTAACTTTCCATTCTGTCTTTTGTAAAATATTAGTAAAGGCACATATCTTCTCTGTTTTCACCCCCTTTCTTAGACAAAAGGTATTAATAGTATGCTATGAATAACTGTTCTACATCTGACTCTTATCAGGAGAATAATGTCTTGTAGATGACTCCATGGCTGTGTACAGACATCTTCCTTGTGCCTTTCCACAACTGTGTAGCCCTCCATTCTGGGGACTGTGATGGTTGGCAGAATGCTAAAGATCCCCCTGCCCCCAAAGCCCCACCATCCTGGCCATTCAAACACCAATCTAGATACTTCCGCTGGTCCCCAACTTACATTAATTCAACTTGCAATTTTATGATATTTTAGTTTGCGATGGTACAAAAACAATATTCAGTAGAAACCATATATGGAATACTCGTACAACCATTCTGGTTTTCACTTTCAGGGTGGTATTCAATAAATTACATGAGATATTCCACACTTTATTATAAAAACAGGCTTTGTGGGCAGGGTGCAGTGGCTCACACCTGTAATCCCAGCACTTTGGGAGGCCAAGGCAGGTGGATCACTTGAGGTCAGGAGTTTGAGATCAGCCTGGCCAACATGGTGAAACCCCATCTCTACTAAAAATACAAACAGTAGTCAGGCATGGCAGCACACACCTGTAATCCCAGCTACTCGGGAAGCTGAGGCAGGAGAATCACTTGAATCTGGGAGACAGAGGCTGCAGTGAGCCAAGATCACGCCACTGCACTCCAGCCTGCACGACAAAGCGAGACTCCATCTCAAAAAAAAAAAAGTTGGCTTTGCATTAGATGATTTTGCCCAACTATAGGCTAATGTAAGTGTTCTGAGCACATGTAAGGTAGGTTGGGCTAAGCTATGATGTTCAGTAGGTTAGAGGTATTAAATGCATTTTTGACATGATATTTTCAACTTACGATGGGTTTACTGAAATGCAACTTCACTGTAAATCAAGGAGCATCTGTATTGGGAAGTGAGTTTGAAGACATAATTAAAGTCCCAATTCCATTAATCTTAAGATAGATTATCCACTTTGGGAGGCCGAGGCGGGCGGATCACGAGGTCAGGAGATCGAGACCATCCTGGCTAAAACGGTGAAACCCCGTCTCTACTAAAAATACAAAAAATTAGCCGGGCGTAGTGGCGGGCGCCTGTAGTCCCAGCTACTTGGGAGGCTGAGGCAGGAGAATGGCGTGAACCCGGGAGGCGGAGCTTGCAGTGAGCCAAGATCCCGCCACTGCACTCCAGCCTGGGCGACAGAGCGAGACTCCGTCTCAAAAAAAAAAAAAAAAAAAAAAAAAAAAAAAAAAAAAGATAGATTATCTGAGTGAGCCTAAGCTAATCAAGTGAGACATTTAAAACTCATTTTCTCTGACTGATGGCAGAGGAAGGAAGTCAAAGATGTTTGAAGCATGAGGGGAATGAGTCCCTGCTTCTCAGGACATGAGAAGCAATCTTGCTGGCCACCAAGAGAAAGTAAACAGGTATGCAGTAAACTGTCAACGAAGAAAAAGGACAGATTCCTGAAGCTGAGAGTGAACCCCAGCCAAATATCAGCAAGAAAGTGAGGATGTCAAAGACTGCAAGAAAATGAATTCTGTCAAGAATCAGCGAGCTTGGAAGAGAACCTCAAGCCTCAAATGAGAATCTCAGCACCAGCCAACACCTTGACATCAAGTATGTGAGTTGTGAGCAGAGGATTCAGTTATAACAAGCCCAGACTCCTGACCCATGGAAACTGTCAGATTAATAAACAAGCACTGCCTTAAATCACGGAGTCCGTGGTAATTTTCAACTTCCAAAACACAAAGACAAGGTAACAACATTCATCTGCTTTAGCCATCTTTCCCTTTGCTTCTGCCCTTGTGGTTTCACGTCTTTTAATTATTTTATTCTCATTTGAGTACAGTATCAGAAAAGAGCATGTTCAACCAGAAGATGACCGCTATGATTTCCTCGACTGGAAATCCTCCTCCATCTGTTCTTTACTCCTCCTAAAATTCTTAGCACTTGGCATGTGAGGTCTCCTGGATCTCCACTCGTACTTTCTTATTGTTTCCTCTCAAGTTTCCATGTCTTTGTCATCAGCTCTGAATGGTTCAATGTGCCCTTTCATACTGCCTTTCAAAGCACCAATGCTATCCCCAGCAGAGGCCATTCTCTTCAGTTTTAGACTTTCAGAAACAAACAAACAAACAAACAAACAAACAAACAAAAAAGCCACTGCCTTCTCCATAGAGTTTTCGATATTTGTTAAAATTCTTTTCTGTCTCTTCCATTTGTTTTGCCTCCATAAGAAATGCCTGATCTGGCCGCGTGTGGCAGCTCATGCCTGTAATCCCAGCACTTTGGGAGGTCAAGGCAGGCGGATCATCAAGGTCAGGAGTTTGAGACCAGCCTGGCCAACATGGTGAAACCCTGTCTCTACTAAAAATACAAAAATTAGCTGGGCGTGGTGGTGAGCAGCTGTAGTCTCAGCTATTCAGGAGGCTGAAGCAGAAGAATCACTCAAACCCAGGAGGCAGAGGTTGCAGTAAGCCGAGATCAGGCCACTGTACTCCAGCCTGGGTCACACAGTGAGACTTGGTCTCAAAAAAAAAAAAAAAAAAATGCCTGGTGTGCCTGTTCTTTCTCTTTCAAGTACTATGTTTCCCTAACTGGGCTGGGACAAATCTCTGCCTACTGACTTCTTAAGCTACTCAGCACCCAATCAGGACAGGTGTGGCAAAGAAGCAGGTAGTAAGAGGGAGCTGTTCTTTTCAAGGGCAGGAAGGTGATGTGGTCTTTCTCGAACCTTACAGACGGGGACAGATTGGCCCACCATTTCAGTTCTGCTCAAGATCTCCTGGGAATAAGACTGCAAGCCCAAACCACCACATGTAGAAAGCATCTGCATTTTAGACCCTACAGAAGCACCAAGTTCTACTATTCATGCTGAGCTTAGGAACCCAAGGACAGGGGCACCATCTCTGCCACACAGTGCAGGAGAAATGGAGCCTACCTTACCTCCCCAGCAAGGCTAAGGTCATCTGCCAGACCCTCTCTCTACAATCACCCTGCTTGTTGTGTTGCTCCAGAGAGTGAGAAGAGTGGAGGTCAGTGTCAGGGGCATGCCTTCAAACCACCACGTTCCCACCACTGCTCCAGCTTCTAAACATTCATTCAGAGACAAGTCACAGCAATTTCCAGGGAGGAGGGATCACATATGTCATACCCAAGCTCTGAAGGTGTAAGTGGTTTAGTTGCTTCCAGTTAAAGAGTTTCTGAAGTTGAGGTTACGGGTATTTTAGATAACGTCATCAGGGTGGCTCTCAGAAGAAGTAACCCTTGGACAGAGACTTGAATGATCTGAGGAAGCCAGCCATGCAAGCATCTGAAAGAAGAGATCATAGGCACAGGAAACAGCAACCAAGAAAAGCCCTGAGGTGAGCACAACAGGCTTAGTGCATTCAAAAAGCAACAGGCAAGCCATGGGGCTGGAATGGAGTGTGCCCAAAGAAGACAAGGGCTAACACAAGGGCAAGAATTAGACAAGGCAGGACAGGCAGGACATGGTGAGGGGCAGGGGTATTATTTCAGAGTGACTGCATGTTACTGGAGGAGTCCGAGAAGGGAAGAAACAAAAGCTGATTCACGGTATGTAGGTACTCTAAGCTGCTATATAGAAACCAGACTGTGAGTACAAGAAATGATGTAGGAGCATCCATTGAAAAAGTTTTTTACTTGTTCTTTCTCTTTTATTGTTTTATTTTCTCCTTTTTTTTCTCTTTTCTTGCCCTAACTCTATATGGTAGAACTGTTGAGAAACAATATTAGTTGTTCTAGTGAAAAATGACAGTAAATGCAAAGACAGATCAGAGGTAGCGAAGCCAGTGGTGAGGCCATTAAAAATAAATAGACAAGAGTGACTTCCACTTCTGGCCATAATAGACTAACAGAAACAGGATTCGCCCTCCCATCTAAAACAACCAAAAAATAGACAAAATACATGAAACATCAAACTTCAAGACACTGGACAAGGAAAAATAGTGATCCCTAAATGATGAGAAACAAGGAGGTTTGTTAGGAAATTCCACACCCCTCAATTGGAAGTGATTGATCTATAATGTAATGACATCCTGAAACACAGAAATCAAGAGAAGAATCTAATAGAATTCTACAAATGCCTTCCCAGTGACAAATATGCTCAATTAAAATCATATGCTCATGAGTTGATATTGTTATTTGGCAGTATCTACCTGTGTGAAGACATTTTCAAAGACAAAACACATTAAATCACATTAAAAATCAGCACTAAGAGAACATTTGCCATTGATTTAATGATAAAGACACTAACTTTGATGCCCAATTAAGCAAAATGTCATCTCCCCCTTCCCCTGAAAAAATTCTCTTCTCATTAACAGACCTGTATTACAAAAGAAAAATTTCATTCAATTATGATTGGTATATTTTTATGTCAATAAAAAACATGGTCTGGGCATGGTGGCTCATGCCTATAATCCTAGCACTTTAGGAAGCTGAGGCAAGAGAATCACTCAAGCCTAGGAGTTCAAGACCAGCATGGACAACACAGTGAGACCCTGTCTCCATCAAAATATTTTAAAAATTATCTGGGCATGATGATATGCACCTGTAGTGCCAGCTACTCTGGGAGCTGAGGCGAGAGGATCGCTTGAGCCTGGTGTGGGGCTCAAGGCTCCAGTGAGCTGTGATTACACCACTGCACTCCAGCCCGGGCAACAGAGTAAGACCCTGTCTCCAAAAGTACACATGGAAATTTGTGTCCTTGTTTGTTATATAGGAAGGTATATAATAGGCCCAATTTTGCCTCTTGACCTACAAAGCCTACCCTCTCACTGTTACCAGGAAAAAAAAAAAATTGTCAACCCCTAATCTAGATCAATCTCAGCAATACCAGGCTCTGCTCAGTACTCTAGAACAAGTAAAAATCTGGATCTAGAAACAGGCATTAAACCAAATTGCCAGGGCTTCTCTGGGCTTCAATACAGCATGGATGAGATGGTTCAGAAGATGTTAATCAGAAAGCACCAGAACATGAAGAAAACTTGAGGAGCATCTAGAATAGCTCCTCCTTTTAGAGGAAAGAGTTACAAGCCAGGAGAAAGACCTGCCCTTCCTAGGACCAGTCCATAAACTCTTGCCCCCTGCCCTGCTCCTCCTTCTGAGCCTTCAGCTACTTATTCCAGAATCTTACAATAAGCAAAATTACAACCAAACCACTGGTCCAATATTGACTCCCAAAGGTACAAACCAGAACCTTCTCAACACCCTGCTTTGGACTGTTCTCAGATCTAGGGCTGTATTAGCTCATTCTCACACTGCTATGAAGACATATCTGAGACTGGGTAATTTATAAAGGAAAGAGGTTTAATTGATCCACATTGCTGGGGAGGCCTCAGGAAACTTACAATGACGGCAGAAGGTAAAGGAAAAACAGGCACCTTCTTCACAGCTGGCAGGATAGAGTGAATGCCAGCAGGGGAAACGCCAGCTCCTTATAAAAATCAGATGTGGTGAGACTCACTCATAATCACAAGAACAGAATGCGGAAAACCACTCCCATGATCCAATGACCCTCACTTGGTCCCACCCTTGACACATGGGGATTATGGGGATTATAATTCAAAGTGAGATTCAGGTGGGGACAAACAGCCAAATCATATCAAGGACACACCAGGCATTTCTCACCCTGCTACAGTTTCAGAGGTCTTCTCGGGGTCCTCAGTACTTTCAAACTGAGATTACAGAAGAAATATTAAGCCCCTGGAAAAACTCTTAAAAAATATATACCAGATACACAGAAGCCAAAAAATGCCCTAAAACTACTAATACAAGAGGCACTAAATTGAAGCTACTGAAGAAAACATCAGAGAAAATCTTACCTTGCTTGGCAATTGAACAGCAACATTTCACGGTTATAAATCAAAATATATAGAAGAACCAGGAAGGCTTTTGCTCTAACGTATGCTGAGAGGCTGTCAAGTAAATGGATAACTGTGGAGACAAAATCTTGTGGAAGACATTTAAAAAATTTTTTGAGAGAACATAAAAAAATAGGGCAGTCTCAATTCTCAGGGTGAACAGCCTATAATAATCAAGCAGATGGCAGGAAGTAAAATAATATCAACTACTGTTTTCGCATTCTCAATTTGTGCCAGATCCCATAACTAAATTTTAATATTATCTCATTTAAATCTGAAAGTCATAAAAAGTTGACAATATTGGCCGGGCATGGTGGCTCACACCTGTAATCCAAGCACTTTGGGAGGCCAAGGCGGGCGGATCATGAGGTCAGGAGATTGAGACCATCCTGGCTAACACAGTGAAACCCCGTCTCTACTAAAAATACAAAAAAATTAGCCAGGCGTGGTGGCACGCGCCTGTGGTCCCAGCTATCGGGAGGCTGAGGCAGAAGAATGGCATGAACCCAGGAGGCAGAGCTTGCAGTGAGCCGAGATTGCGCTACTGAACTCCAGCCTAGGCGACTGAGCAAGACTCCATCTCAAAAAAAAAAAAAAAAAGTTGACAATATTGTCCCCACTTGAAAGAGAAAAATGAATATTGAAAAGTTAAGCAATTACCCAAATTCAGATAATAAGCAATTTACCCAAATTCAGATAAAATTCAACTGGCCTTGTATAAAATCCACGCCAGTTGAATGACAAAGCCTGCCTGTTCACTACTCAATCACACAACTGGAAATGTGGCAGCAAATAATACAACTGTCAGTCACAACTGCATGTAGATATAAATCTCTGAGAAGAGCTGCATACAGAGAGATCATATCTCTGGTCTACACATCTGAGGGCTTAACAGAAAATGAAGACAATACTCAATACATGACACAAAGAAACATATACTCCTATACCACTCTTCAATTAAAGGTATAATTCAACACAGAGGACTAAGTATTGACAAGGAATACTGCTACTTTCCCTTTTAAAAAACAGACTATAAATAATTTATATCAATATGCAAACAGAAAACAGACACACATGCACACACATGGTTAATGAATGTAAATAGTCAGAAATATGGAATCATAATATCAGCAAGGTGACTACAGAGAACAGGAATATATAAGTTCCCAAGAGAGCTTAACAGAGGCCAGCACCTAACAGTAACACTGTGTGTCCAAGATAGATTTAAGAAGCTCGATTTTTTTTGGCCACACTCCAATCCTTTTCTATTCACTGGTATGTTTCCAGGTAGGAAGAATTTACATAGTCATGTATATGCCATGTAAACTCTATACTACTTAAGGATACAAACATATCTAAGCATCAGTCTCACCTAGTTCCTGAACCAAATTATCAAAGCCAAATTATTCATCTCGGGTAAAAAACAAATCAATGCAGTCATCCTTGAGTAGAAGATCTGTTTTCTACCTTTCCAGCAACAGACAGTAGAAAATCCATCTCCCCAGATGCATTCCTGATTCTAATTTATACTCTGTGGTCTAAGGACCACAATCACAAGTCTGTTTCCCATATCAACACCACCCCCAACATATACACACATAATTCCAAAGCCATTCAAATTTCCAGCAATCATAGACTGAAAAACTCTTCCAGATTATATGAGATTAAAAAGACATGATAACTGACTTCAATTCAAGATCTGGAAGTTCTGTTCCCCATAAAGAACACTATTGGGACAACTGGCAAAATCTGAATAAGGTCTGTAGATTAGCTAACAACACTGAATGTTAATTTCTTGATTTTGACAATCACGGCTTGTTTCAAGGAAACATTCAGTGAAGTAATTAGATTTAGAAAAGCATCATGTCCACAAACTTCTCAAATGGGTCAGAAAACATACACACACTCACACACATGTGCACACAAAGTGAAAGAGATAAAGACAGAGAGACAGATAAATCATAAAGTAAACATAGTAGAATGTTAGCATTTGGTGAATGTGGGCAAAGGATCTATTGCAATCATTTACACTGTATGTCCAAAATTACACTCAGTGCCTACTCTAAACATGATACTCCTACTCTGAGGATCAGTCTGCTAGCCAAACTCAGAAGCCTGGGTACCATCCTTGACCCTTCTTTCCTTTGTCCCATGCCCAATTAACCCCAAGCTCTGTGAAAATGACACCCCCACTATGGCTGTCTTATTTCTATGTACTATTATATCTTTCCTGAATTACTACAACAGGCTTTACCTAATTTTCCTTTATTCCATCTATTCTACAAATTTTAGCCACAGTGGATCCTCTATAAGAGCAAATATAACTCACCTATAAAATATTCTCAATAGTTACACTACCATTAAAAAGAAGC
Organism: Homo sapiens; assembly: GCF_000001405.40. Taxonomy (NCBI): domain Eukaryota; kingdom Metazoa; phylum Chordata; class Mammalia; order Primates; family Hominidae; genus Homo; species Homo sapiens. The sequence goes on along the minus strand of NT_187603.1, from coordinate 207,588 downwards.
TAAAACTCGTGGCATATGAGGTTCTTCATGGTCTGGCTTTTCGTTATCTTTCCAAAATCATGTATCATACCATCAACTCCACTGAATACCCTCAACACTCACCATGAGGAAATAAAAAAAGGAAATTGAGAATATTGAAAAAAGGAAAGTGGCAAAGGGAATCCCAGGATGATTCCAAGGTGACAGCCTTCACCAGACAGAGGGCAGCCCATCTGTGTGGAAGCTGGTCAGAGACCCCCAGAGAGAACTCAGGAGAAAAAACTGACAGACTATCTGAAGCACCTGAGTGTAATTTGAAACACAAAGTGATGTAAACAAAGAAAGGTCCACTAGATATTGATCCACACAAAATTAACAGACCGAGTACATATGCATGTTGGAGCCTATCTCATGTCCTACTTCAAAATAAACACCAAACAAATCTAAGATTTAAGATCTAGAATAGGCCATGGCAGGTAGGAATACAAACATATATACGTACATATATACATATTTCAATCTCAGACTGGGGAAAATGTTCATAAATAATTTATCAGAAAGAACAAAATAAGCGTGAGAAATGTAAATACAAAAAACATTAAATGCCACATAGAAATAAAACACTATATAGAAAAACACATAAACTAGAGAATGTATTTGCAGCACATTTTTTGAATAAAGTGGTGATTCTCTTGATATATAAATATCAATAACTAAGAAAAGAACTAAAGAACTAAGAAAGTAAGAATTCTAGAAACAACTGAAACCTCTGATCTCTTCCATATGGAATATCACATTAACAAAGGATAATTTAAAGTATTTCAAAAAATACAGAAAATAGGAGGCAAGTTTCATATAAAGCTATCCATACAAACCTATTTCACATATAAAGACAACAAAAAAGGAAAATCAAAAACATTTCAGCTGATAAAAACTTTTTTTGGAGACCGAGTCTCACTCTGTGCCCAGGCTAGAGTACAGTGGTGCAATCTCGCCTTACTGCAACCTCCGCTTCCTGGGTTCAAGCAATTATCCTGCTTCAGCCTCTCAAGTAACTGGGACTACAGGCTCGTGCCACCATGCCCGGCTAGTTTTTTGTATTTTTAGTAGAGATGGATTTTTACCGTGTTAGCCAGGATGGTCTCGATCTCCTGACCTCGTGATCTGCCCGCCTTGGCCTCCCAAAGTGCTGGGATTACAGGTGTGAGCCACCATGCCGGGTTGAAATGCTCTGATTTTACCTGCTATGGTCTGAATGTTTTTGCTTGCCCCCAATCATATGTTAAATTTAATCTCCAATGTAATAATGTTAAGAGGTGGAGCCTTTGGGAGGTAAGTAGGTCATAAGGACTACACCCTCATGAATGAGGTTAGTACCCTTATAAAAGAGGCCTGAGTGAGTTTATTTACCCTTTCCAACATGTAAGGACACAAAGAAGACACTATCTGTGACAAATGGGCCCACACTAGACACCAAATCTTCTAGTGCCTTGATCTTGGACTTCCCAGCCTCCAGAATGGTGAGCAATAAATTTCCATTATTTATACATTACCCAGTCTAAGGTACCTTGTTATAGCAGCCCAAACATACTAAGATACCACTCAACCAAAACAAAAAACAAAACAAGCCAAAATTAAGGGAGAGGTAAGCTGTACTGTAACCGCTCAATTTGAAGGAACTATCATTAAGTAAGCATTTATAGACATCAAAAAGGTCCAAGTCACTTAGTTATACAAGACAAGGAGGTATAGACAATATACCTTAGGAATACAGATGCAAAGACTCCTCAACAAAATATAAGCACATTGATCCAGAATATATTAAAGGAATAAAACATTATGACCAAGTGAGGTTTACCCCAGGAATTCAAGGCTGATTCAACATTTGAAAAGCAATCAGTGTAATTCATCATAATTAACGGATGAAACAAGAAAAATCACATAACCATATCAATTACTAATAAAAAAGCATTTTACAAAATTCAACATACATTCATAATAAAAACTCTCAGCAACCTAGGAATAAAAGAGACGTCCTCAATCTGAAAAAAGGCAAGCAGAAAAAAACCTACAGCTAGCATCATACTTAATGATGAAAGACTAGGTGTTTCCCCAGAAACTGGGAAGAAAGCAAGGATGTCCACTCTTATCACCCATGATTCAATATTTTACTGAAAGCTGTAGCCAGTATAAGAAAAATAAATAAATGACATTTAGATTTGAATGAGAGAAATATTTGCAGATGGCATGATGATCTATGTAGAAAATCCCAAGGAATTTACAAAAAAAAAGTTTCTATAACTTATAAGTGAGTTTAGCAAGATCTAGTATATTTCAATATACCAATAATGAACAAATGGAAAATAAATCCTTTTTAAAGTACTACTTTTCAATAGCTCCAACCATAACAACAACAAAGAAGTATTGCTTTCACCCTAACAAAACATCTACAGAATCTGTACATTAACACTCTAAAATAGTGATAAAATAAAACTTTTTAAACATATAATGAAGAGACATTCCATGTTCATGTAGTAAGACTCAAGTTAGTCATCAATTCTCCCCAAATTGATCTATAGACTCAATGCAACTTCAATCAAAATCCCAACAGGATATTTTGTAGATATAAACTAAGTTTAAAATTTCTATGGAAAGGTAAAAAAAAAAAAACTAGAAAATGCAAAACAATTTTGGGGGGATATGCAAGAATCACACAATAATTTTAAGACATACAAAAACTACAGTGATCAAAACAATGTAGTATCGACAAAATGAGACACACAGAATGAGGAAACAAACTAGAGTTCAGAAATATAGTCAATTAGTTTACGATAAAGGTGCAAAGGCAACATTGGAAAAAGGATAATCATATCACCAAATGATGCTGGAACAACTGAATATCCGCATGCAAAAATGTTAACTTACACTCATTCCTCACTCCATATGCAAAAATTAACCCAAAATGTATTATACAACTGAATATCAGTAAACTTCATCAAAATTAAAATTTCTCCTCTGTGAAGGACACTGTAAGAAAAGACAAGCCACATACTCAGAGAAAATATTTGTACCCAGAATATATAAAGAACTCTCAAAACTCAAAATTAAGAAAAAAAATTTTAATGAACAAAATATTTAGGCCGGGCGCGGTGGCTCACGCCTGTAATCCCAGCACTTTGGGAGGCCGAGGCGGGTGGATCATGAGGTCAGGAGATCGAGACCATCCTGGCTAACAAGGTGAAACCCCGTCTCTACTAAAAATACAAAAAAAATTAGCCGGGCGCGGTGGCGGGCGCCTGTAGTCCCAGCTACTCGGGAGGCTGAGGCAGGAGAATGGCGTGAACCCGGGAAGCGGAGCTTGCAGTGAGCCGAGATTGCGCCACTGCAGTCCGCAGTCCCACCTGGGCGACAGAGCGAGACTCCGTCTCAAAAAAAAAAAAAAAAAAAAAAATATTTAAACAGACATTTCACCAAAAAAAGTATCTGTCAAATAAATAAATGCAAGGATGCTCAATATCATAATCATTACAGTAGTGCAAATTAAAATCATACTGACTATAACTATGAACTTATTAGAATGACTAGCATGAAAAATGGTGAGTATGTGAAGCAATTGAAGTTTTTCATACATTGCTAGTGGAAATGCAGAAATGGCACAGGAATCCTGGAAAACAGTTTGGCAGTTTCATTAAAATGTTCAATACATACCTATCATATATGCCTCAACCATCCTACTTCTAAGTATCCTAATGAAATAAAAACTTAAGTTCACAGAGAATCTTGTACACAAAAATTGATAGCAATATTTAGTTATAATACAGATTGAGTATCCCAAATCCAAAAATCTGAAATCTGTAATGCTCCCAAATCCAAAACTTTTTGAGCACTGACATGATGCAAGTGGAAAATTCCACACATAAGTACTTAACACAAACTTTGTTTCATGCACTGAAAATATTTAAAATATTGTATGAAATTACCTTCGCCTTATTTTATACAAGGTGTATATGAAACATAAATAAATTTTGTGCTTAGACTTGGGTCCCATCCCCAAGCTATCTCATTATGTATATACAAATATTGCAAGATCCTAAAACACTGAAATCTGAAACACTTCTGGTCTCAAGCATCTTGGATAAGGGATATTTAACCTGTAGTCAAAAACCGAAAACAGTTCACATGTCCTTCAATGTGTACATGAATAAAGAAACTGTGGTACATCTACATAATGAAACAGTACTCTGCAGTAATGAACTACTGATACATGCAGTGACATGGATGAACCTCAACTGCACTGTATTAAGTGAAAGAAACCAGCTGCAAAGATTATATGCAGTATGATCACATTTATATGACATTCTGGAAAAGCTAAAGCTATAGGGGCAGAGAAGACATCAGTGATTGCCAGGGACTGGGATGGAGGGTGGTTTGCCTAAGAAAAAAGCAGCACAAGGTCATTTTTTGGGAAACTGGAATTGTTCTGTATCTTTCTACAAAAATTAGCCAGCTGCAGTGGCTCATGCCTGTAACCCCAGTTACTCGGGAGGCTGAGGCATGAGAATTGCTTGAACCAGGAGGCAGAGGTTGCAGTGAGTCAAGATCGCACCACTGCACTCCAGCCTGGGCAACAGACAGACTCCATCTCAAAAAAAAAAAAGAGAGAGAGAGAGATATGGGGTCCCACCATGTTGCCCAGGCTGGCCTTGAACTCCTAGATTCATGCAATCCTCCAGCCACAGCCTCCCAAGTAACTGGGGCTACAGGCGCATACAATTGTGCCCAGCTTGAATTGTCTATACTAAAATCTGTGAATCCTAAAATCTGTCGCTATAAATACAGTCTGATAACGATTAAAGTAAATTAGCATTAACTACTTTAAGTTTTTAGAGATTATAATTATAGAAATTTGTAATGAGCTCATCCAATATATTTCTCCCCAGTAAACAGCAGGAAATATCCATGAGCCCTCAAACTCCTCCAGCCTTGAAAATGAAATATTTGGGCCGGGCGCAGTGGCTCATGCCTGTAATCCCAGCACTTTGGGAGGCAGAGGCAGGTGGATCACGAGGTCAGGAGATAGAGATCTTCTGACTAACACAGTGAAACCCCGTCTCTACTAAAAATACAAAATTAGCCCGGAGTGGTGGCGCATGCCTATAACCCCCAGCTACTCGGGAGGCTGAGGCAGAAGAACGGCTTGAACCTGTGAGGTGGAGGTTGCAGTAAGCCAAGATCACACCATTGCACTCCAGCCTGGGCAACGAGCGAAACTCCGTCTCAAAAAAAAAAAAAAGTTTCCTATTAAGTGTTTAGGGGAAAAAAATGGAAAAAGTGGCTTACTGAGTGCCAGGCACCCTGCTAAGCGTGGTATATACATTGGCTCACTTAGTCCTCATATCCAGATGAGCAAATTGAAGTCTAGAGAAGTTACGTGAATTGCTCAAGATCAAAGATTGGAAAATGGCAGAGGAGGGGCTTGCTGACTCCTAAGTCCATCTTTAGCTTAAATCTTACACTTGACTTCTAATCTTCTAATTTTTCATTTTATTCCCTTCACTGTGGTCTCACAGGTTTCCCTTGTTTCTGACAATTGATAAACTTGCCTCTTTTTTCTTTGAAATGGAGTTTCACTCTTGTTGTCTAGGCTAGAGTGCAATGGCCCAGTCTCGGCTCACTGCAACCTCCGCCTCCAGGGTTCAAGCAATTCTCCCACCTCAGCCTCCTGAGTAGCTGAGATTACAGGTGTCTGCCACCACACCTAGCTAATTTTTGCATTTTTATTAGAGACGAGGTTTCACCATGTCAGTCGGGCTGGTCTCAAACTCCTGACCTCAGGCAATCCTCCTGCCTCGGCCTCCCAAAGTGCTGGGATTACAGGCGTGAGCCACTGCGCCTGGCCAAAGTTGCCTCCTTTTAATTCAGATCCTTGGCTCTCCTCCTCCACTCCCACTGGCCCCACCTCCCAACATTGGCCCTACTCCACCCCACAGGCGGTAACAGGCATTTACACCTCTTTCCAGATCCACCTGCCAACTCCTGCTCTGCTCTCCTCCCTCAGGGACCCATTAGCTACACAGGTCTTTCCTGTGCTCTTTCTAAAATGCAAATCTAGATATTTCACCAACTTAATTAAATGCCCTCAGCTGTCCTTAGGAATGAGACTAAGGCCTTTCCTGATCTGGTCCTCGCTACCTCTCCAGCCTCCTCACCCACTTGCTCCTTGCCCTGTGCCTAATCGACACACTCCTTCTGGGTTCTAGCCACCCTCTGGCTGAAATTCCTGTTATTCCTAGTCTGCCTACTCATCCTCCAAGGCTCGTCTGAAGACATTCCTCTAAATGTTTCCAGAAACACTTCAAGACAGAACTTACTGTTCCTCCTCCATCCTTTCCCAGACCACAAACCTGGATCACACCGCACTATGATCACTAGTCTTTCCTACCGGCCCAGAAGGTCTTTGAGAGCAAATACATTTGATTACTTAGTTCTGTCAGTGCCCTAAACAATTCAGGTTTTTAATCAGTGTCAGCTGGATGAGTTACTTTCCCTTTTCATGCCTATTTTAACATATTCCCTCTGGATAAAAATTCTAGATTTGCAGGGCTACAAACAGTAGAGCTGGCTTTGGTCCCTCCCTGGAGGCGCTTCAATTGCTGGCGAGATGGCTGCCTCAAGGCAACTTTGCTCACAGAGGATCACAGGAAAAAGCTCTTCAGTTCGAGAGGTATTTACCTATTGATTAGGTTCCTCTGTGCGTCGGTACTATCGAGAGGAAGCTGATGTCGTAACTCCGGTCCTTTTTCACTTTCTTAAATTTTTTTCCTCCCAAATGAAAAGTGGGTGAATGAATGAAAATCCACTGACCATCAAATGTATTTTACACTCTGAAACATTCCCCATTTTTGTGAGTGCAAATTAATTCAAATAGGATTTCCCTTCCTAACGGCACAATCAACTGCACTGTCTTCAAAAAGAGATGTGGACTGCTTGAAAATGAGACGCTTGTGTCACAAGGACATTGCACATGGACACAGAGCAGCATGATGGTTTCCAAGCCACACGCATCATGCCAGGCAGACCCCACCGCTAAGGCTAGAAGGAACTCTGGTGAAGCACTGACTCCAAACAAGGAGGGACTTTGGTCCAGCAACCCCGTCCCACCCTACAGCAGACGGGCTGGGGCCTGGACGCTCTACAACAGTAAGTAGTCTAGGATTCAGTTCTAACTGGCTTAGAGAACAATGGGTCAGGCGCTTTGGGTAATTTTTTATAACAGGCTCACCTTTTTTATAATATTTGATCCAGATTTTGACAGTTATGCTTTATTTATTTAGCCCACCCAGGAAATCAAGTATCCTACATAAATCAATCTTCCAGGGAGCAAAGCTTTAAGGGTTCTCTCAGAACCATTATTTTGACCATTCTTATGCAAATCTTTTAAAGATATATACATTTCTTTATTTCTGAAGTGACTACAGTGATTATAATTTAGTCAGTGCTAAGGAGTCGGCTTCATCAAAAAGAACATCAGTGATTATTCTGTGTTGTGACACTGTGATACCCTGAGGAGCTATTGAGATGTGAAGCTCTTTTCCCATAAACAAAATGGTCCCAGATTACAATGCCTTTAATTCTTCTGACAGCTTTTCATAATTCTTCTGTCTCCTCCTTCCAATGTTGCCCATCACTTCTTACTAATGTTAATTACTATGACTTCATTTCCTAAACTGCTGCCTTCATTTAATTTTATAGAGAATCCTAAATCAATGGGCCTGAGGGAGCTGTCACACCTCTCCTACGGAGTAGTATCTGTGAGCTCTGTGTCATTCTTCTCAGAGCTGAAAGGCCCCTCTCTCTCACTTCTGGATTTCTAGCCACTTTCCAAATGGCTGATGCTGCCAGGAACATTAAATTTTACTTCGCATTCAATGAATACATACTGGCTGGCAGAGGAGGATAGTGGCCTAGAAACTTCTTTGGTTAACCCTAGGAGGTCAACTGAGATTAAATCTTGCTATGGACAACTCACAAAATGTGTAATTGACAGTGGTCTGCAGCCAGAATACAAAGGTCTTAAGACCAAAAGCTTCTCTGTAAAGCTTTTGTAAAGCAAAAGCTTGCTTTACTCCGCTAAAGCAAGTAAGAAGGTGACGCATCCATGGTATTGTCTAGATCAAAGTCACAGCTGTTTTTTTTTTTTTAATTATACTTTAAGTTCTAGGGTACATATACACAATGTTACATACAGGTTACATACGTATACATGTGCCATGTTGGTGTGCTGCACCCATTAACTCATCATTTACATTAGGTATATCTCCTAATGCTATCCCTCCTCCCTTCCCCCACCCCACAACAGGCCCCGGTGTGTGATGTTCCCCTTCCTGTGTCCAAGTGTTCTAATTGTTCAATTCCCATCTATGAGTGAGAACATGCGGTGTTTGGTTTTTTGTTCTTGCAATAGTTTGCTGAGAATGATGGTTTCCAGCTTCATCCATGTCCCTACAAACGACATGAACTCATCATTTTTTATGGCTGCATAGTATTCCATGGTGTATACGTGCCATATTTTCTTAATCCAATCTATAATTGGTGGACATTTGGGTTGGTTCCAAGTCTTTGCTATTGTGAATAGTGCTGCAATAAACATACGTGTGCATGTGTCTTTATAGCAGCATGATTTATAATCCTTTGGGTATATACCCAGTAATGGGATGGCTGGGTCAAATGGTATTTCTAGTTCTAGATCCCTGAGGAATCGCCACACTGTCTTCCACAATGGTTGAACTAGTTTACAGTCCCACCAACAGTGTAAAAGTGTTCCTATTTCTCCACATCCTCTCCAGCACCTGTTGTTTCCTGACTTTTTAATGATCACCATTCTAACTGGTGTGAGATGGTATCTCATTGTGGTTTTGATTTGCATTTCTCTGATGGCCAGTGACGATGAGCATTTTTTCATGTGTTTTTTGGCTGCATAAATGTCTTCTTTTGAGAAGTGTCTGTTCATATCCTTCGCCCACTTGTTGATGGGGTTGTTTGTTTTTTTCTTGTAAATTTGTTTGAGTTCATTGTAGATTCTGGATATTAGCCCTTTGTCAGATGAGTAGGTTGTGAAAATTTTCTCCCATTCTGTAGGTTGCCTGTTCACTCTGATGGTAGTTTCTTTTGCTGTGCAGAAGCTCTTTAGTTTCATTAGATCCCATTTGTCAATTTTGGCTTTTGTTGCCATCGCTTTTGGTGTTTTAGAAATGAAGTCCTTGCCCATGCCTACATCCTGAATGGTATTGCCTAGGTTTTCTTCTAGGGTTTTTATGGTTTTAGGTCTAACATGTAAGTCTTTAATCCATCTTGAATTAATTTTTGTATAAGGTGTAAGGAAGGGATCCAGTTTCAGCTTTCTACATATGGCTAGCCAGTTTTCCCAGCACCATTTACTAAATACGGAATCCTTTCCCCATTTCTTGTTTTTGTCAGGTTTGTCAAAGATCAGATGGTTGTAGATGTGTGGCATTATTTCTGAGGGCTCTGTTCTGTTCCATTGGTCTATTTCTCTGTTTTGGTACCAGTACCATGCTGTTTTGGTTACTGTAGCCTTGTAGTATAGTTTGAAGTCAGGTGGCATGATGCCTCCAGCTTTGTTCTTTTGGCTTAGGATTGTCTTGGAAATGCAGGCTCTTTTTTGGTTCCATATGAACTTTAAAGTAGTTTTTTCCAATTCTGTGAAGAAAGTCATTGGTAGCTTGATGGGGATGCCATTTAATCTATAAATTACGTTGGGCAGTATGTCCATTTTCATGATATTGATTCTTCCTATCCATGAGCATGGAATGTTCTTCCATTTGTTTGTATCCTCTTTTATTTCATTGAACAGTGGTTTGTAGTTCTCCTTGAAGAGGTCCTTCACATCCCTTGTAAGTTGGATTCCTAGGTATTGTATTCTCTTTGAAGCAATTGTGAATGGGAGTTCACTCATGATTTGGCTCTCTGTTTGTCTGTTATTTGTGTATAAGAATGCTTGTGATTTTTGCACACTGATTTTGTATCCTGAGACTTTGCTGAAGTTGCTTATCAGCTTAAGGAGATTTGGGGCTGAGATGATGGGGTTTTCTAAATATCCAATCATGTCATCTGCAAACAGGGACAATTTGACTTCCTCTTTTCCTAATTGAATGCCCTTTATTTATTTCTCCTGCCTGATTGCCCTGGCGAGAACTTCCAACACTATGTTGAACAGGAGTGGTGAGAGAGGGCATCCCTGTCTTGTGCCAGTTTTCAAAGGGAATACTTCCAGTTTTTGTCCATTCAGTATGATATTGGCTGTGGGTTTGTCATAGATAGCTCTTATTATTTTGAGATACGTCCCATCAATACCTAATTTATTGAGAGTTTTTAGCATGAAGGTTGTTGAATTTTGTCAAAGGCCTTTTCTGCATCTATTGAGATAATCATGTGGTTTTTGTCTTTGGTTCTGTTTATATGCTGGATTACTTTTATTGATTTGCATATGTTGAACCAGCCTTGCATCCCAGGGATGAAGCCCACTTGATCATGGTGGATAAGCTTCTTGATGTGCTGAGTCACAGCTGTTTCTGAGTCTGGTCTTCCCTAGTTGAACCACAGACCCATGCAAAGGCAAGTTTCAAAGGAAGGCTGGGGCCATACTCCCTGGGGCATGTACCCCCTTAATCCTTTCTGTGACTCTCATCTGCAGTACTTCCCTAAGTGTCCTGACAAAGGAGATTCACAGCACACAAACTTTCCCTGGGTCTTGGCATGCCCTGAACATCTAGATCAGACCATGAGATTTTTGCCCAGGTTTGACTTCCCCACCTGGAAGAGCCAGGGCCCTTTCCACATAATGGTGTTACTTACAGTGACAGGCAGGTCTAGAGGATTAAGGTGCTTGTCCTGCCGGCAGAAAGCAAAAGCATAGAGAGAAGCAGACGGAATGAGCTTTCAGCTTACATTCAAACAAGGACCAGGAAGGAAGATTAACAGAGCCAAGCCATCCACCAAAGACAAGGACAGAAAGAACCACAGATGCTTTTGGTCTTCCCTCTAGAATCTACCAAGAGCTGGGTACATACATGATCCCACTTAGATTTCATCTTACTGAGCCCATGAGATTGTCAGAGAACTAAAACGTCTTACTTTTAACACCACTTGGGCTTTTCTCAGAGAAATCTAGAATGTTAGTGTTGGAAGGGCTGTCAGAGATCATTTAAACTGGCCCTTTCATTTTACAAAAAGAGAAACTGAGACCCAAAGAGGTTACAAGCACTTGCCCAGCCAGCAGCAGGGAGAGTACTTAGTTCCAGGCCCCTTGGCTCTTAGGTCAGGGCTTGTTCCACCACCCAGCTGATTCTTAGTTTCCTCATCTGTGAAACAGGGAGCTTGTTTTTCCTCAGACACCCTTGTGAGCTAAACAAGGCAGATGTTGTTGCTGCCATGTGACAGGTGAGGAAACTAAGGTTCACAGAGGCAGAGCTATTTGCATAATGTCACAGTTAATGAACAGGCGAAAGAAGATGTTTAGAATCTGCATCAGAGAACCTTTAAACATAAAACTTAGTGTGAAGTCCCATTTATATTGGAGCCCTTGGACTCAGGGTACCCACAGGGTCTCTTCTTCCTTATTCTTGATCCTCTAACCCAGGAGTTGGCAAACTATGGCCATATTAGGCTTGTTGCCTGTTTTTGTAAATAAGATTTTATTGGAAGACAGCCATACCCATTCATTTACCTACTGTCTGAGGCTGCTTCTGGCTACAATGGCAAGGTTGAGTAGCTATCACATAGGCCATATGGCCCATAAAGTCAAACATGTTTATTCTCTGGCCCTTTAGAGGAAAAAGTTTGAAGGGCCCTAATCTCATCTAAGATCCAGCTGGTTTCTCCTCATAGTTCTTCCCTGGGTCTTCCTTAGCAAAGCCACCCTGCTGGGCTCTAGACCAGAGGGCTAGGAGGAAGGACTCTTGGGAAAATGCCTGGATTTGTGCTCTCTGAACAGCAAAGAGTACGTGGGGTGAGAATTCTTCTCTCAGAAGAGCCCAGATGAAAAATGTGAAAAGGCAGCCACAGATCTGTCTCTAGTCCTCGGGAGGCTTCAGAAAAAGTGCATTAATCAGTGCAATGGCGTAGGTCTGAATCTCCTGTCTGGAGCTATGTCAATGGAGAAAGACGGCACAGGGAGATTAGAAGACTGAACAGCAAGATGATGCTTAGAGATAGTTTAAAACAATCATTTACAGATTATAAGCAAATAATGACCTGGAGCTAAGTCTCAAAAGCATCCAAAGTGGACATGCTCTTGACCCAGCAATTTCACTAATAGAAACTTATCCTAAGACAGTAATCAGAGAGCTATGCAAGATTTACTGACAAGGCATTTCACTAAAGTACAACTTAAAAAAGAATGGAAAGTAATCCAAATGATCACAGTAGCCAACTGTTTATATATATGAGAATCTTAAGTAGTTATTAAAAGTCATGTTTTAGGGTAAATAAACATTCTTAACCTGGGATTCAGGGATGGGCTTAGAGTATCTGTGAACCCCAGGAATGATACAGAAATTATTCTATGTAGTTTGCTGACGAAGTGGTATTTTCTCCAAACTGGTGAGAGTACATACTTGTTAACCAGATTTTCAAAGGTGTCTAGGTTGCAAAAAAGACTTAGAACTACCTTTTAGAAAAATCTTTGACATGGAGAAATGTTCAAGATATATTATTCAGTTAAAAAAAATCAAGGTACACATAGTATATATAATAAGATCCCAATTTTGTTAAAAATATGCATAAAAAATACTGAAGGGATATTTAATGTTTAACAGTGGGTATGTCTGGAGGTGAGATAATGGGCAAATAATTTATTTTTGGGTTTTTCTGTATTTTTAAAGTCTTGACTATAAACTTATTTTATTATGAACAAACAAAATAACTACAATCATTCCCTGGAATCTTACAATCTCAGTACTTGACATCTCCACCTGCCATGTCTTGGGAGCATTCTGTGGCTGTCTTTCCAGAGGGGCTGATGGGCTTCCTGGTTAGTCACAGGGTACCCAGAGAGTCTACCAGAGGGCACGAAGTGTCCCTCAGCCCAAATAGGAAAGCATATAGGTTCTGGCGACAGCTGTGGGCTGAAAGTATTCACGATTGGCCCCTGTGAAATGCCATGTTCCCGTATCGACCCTAGGGAGGCAACTAGGGCCACTCCGAATTCAGAGACAAAAAAACAGAGGTAGACGTGAGGTTACGGGAAAATCAGAATTCTCTATCTGGAGTTTATAATATCCCTCTCATCTTCATCAACCTTGGTGGCTCACTGGGTATGAAAGCTGAGGCTAGACCAGGCATGGTGGCTCACACCTGTAGTCCCAGCTACTAAGGAGGCTGGAGTGGGAGGACTGCTTGAGCCCAACAGTTTGAGACCAGCCTGGACAACACAGCGAGACCCTATCTCTACAAAAATAAAAAAAAAAATTGGCCAGGTGTGGTGGCTCAGGCCTGTAATCCCAGCACTTTGGGAGGCCGAGGCGGGCAGATCACGAGGTCAGATCGAGACCATCCTGACTAACACAGTGAAACCCCATCTCTACTAAAAATACAAAAAATTAGCCAGGCATGGTGGCAGGCACCTGTAGTCCCAGCTACTTGGGAGGCTGAGGCAGGAAAATGGCATGAACCTGGGAGGCGGAGCTTGCAGTGAGCCGAGATGGCACCACTGCACTCCAGCCTGGGCAACAGAGCGAGACTCTGTCTCAAAAAAATAAATAAATAAATAATTAAAAAACAAAAAAAAAAACTAGCCAGGTGTGGTGGAGTGTGCCTATGATTCCAGCTACTCAGGAGGCTGAGATGAGGAGGACTGCTTGAACCTGCAGTGAGTTATGATCATGCCACTGCACTCCAGCCTGGGTGACAGATTGTTTCAAAAAAGAAAGGCAAAGAAAGCTGAGGCTGAAAATTTCTTAAAAGTGACAAGGAGAAATCAGAGTTGCAAAGAAATAATTGTGCTTCCTTTTTACTTGGATTAGTGGGGAGAAACAAGTTGGGAACATAGCTGAGTGAAAACAGGGTCACTATAACCTCCCAAATCTGGGAGCTATGACTTCCCCTCAAACTGGTGGGGGGATTCTGGCAACATTCTGACAATATCCAAAAAGACAGAAGTGAACAACAGTCAGAACAGAATCATCAGTAGTGCCACCGCTGTTCTGCAAAGTCCAGCTTCCTTACCTGGTGTAGGTTGGTTGGACAGGAAGTAAAAACAATGAAGACAGGAGAAACATAACTCCAATGGGTTCATTTGTCATATGGTTTCATTACTGGTAAAATGTTTTAGGATGTGATGAGAGTCTTAACAAACAAAAGCAAAAAGCCCCTGAATTTACTGAATACTTAACCTGTGCTGGCCACTATGCTAGACTTTTTTAAAATCTCCTTTGATCCTCACGTGAGAAGTGAAGATGATTAACCTAGTCTAGAGATGAAGAAACTGAGGCCAGAAGAGACTAGGTTACTTGCTGATAGCAGAGACCCAGTATGCAGAAGAGCCTGGATTTGAATTGATATTCCAAACTCACGCCCTGTGTGATACTTCTTACAATCACCCACAGCGCATCATCAGTTCAGTAAGCATTCATTCAACAAGTACTAATAAAACAGGGGATATGACAATGATTGATCTCTGTTTCTAGGGGGCTCTATGTTCAAAATGGGCAACAGATAATAAAAATCCAGTATTTTATATAATTATCATAGGTACAAACAGACTACTGGGCTCATGTGGGGAGGAAGCATCTAATTTTGCCTGGTACTAGGGCAGTATGGGAAGACTGGGAAAATCTTCATTTTAACCTAAGGGGCAGAGAGAGTTACAGAGGATTTTAGGCAGGAGCATGACATGATGAGGTCTGAATGATGGTAGAAATTCTGGCAGGAGTGTGGAAGAGGCGATGAATGAAGAAGCCAACCAGCAGCTTGGAATATAAGCAAAGCAGAGTAGGATTGGAAGACTTCAAATAAGAGGAGAGACGAGGACAGACAAGTGAAGGGAGGGAGGTGTAGGGGTGTAGGGTCTTTTACTCACACCTGGAAGTGTGAGATGAGCTGTCCCATGGTGATTTCCTCAGCTATCTTCTGGTACAGACTCTGGTATCTTCTGGTGTGGACTATGCTCTCCAGGATGGCCAGGGACCTCTGAAGGACTGAAACATCCACCGTGGGCTCGCTCACATACCCTGCAATCTAGGCCCAGAGATGGCACATCAATTGAGAAGCTCAGGGCCTAAGAAAGATAGAAGCTTAGCATCTGATGCTAGCCCTTGGAGCTCTCTCTGCTTCACATTTGGGCAGCTATTGCTAGGTGGACAGTGGTACCTGGTTTACGGCTACCCTGGCCAATGTGCCAGGGATTCCCTTGGCATGGATACCTTAATTTCAGATTATAGTATCCACTTAATTGTGTTTCCTCAAAATCTAAAAGCTTAATTCTTTTTATCAAAATAAGAGTTCCAGCATGAGAAAGTGGGGTATAAAAAAGCAGAAGATTGCCAGGCACGGTGGCTCACACCTGTAATCCCAGCACTTTGGGAGGCCGAGGCGGACGATCATGAGGTCAGGAGATCGAGACCATCCTGGCTAGCACTATGAAACCCCATCTCTACTAAAAATACAAAAAATTAGCCGGGTGTGGTGGCGGGTGCCTGTAGTCCCAGCTACTCGGGAGGCTGAGGCAGGAGAATGGTGTGAACCCAGGAGGCAGAGCTTGCAGTGAGCTGAGATCGCGCCACTGCACTCCAGCCTGGGTGACAGAGTGAGGCTCCATCAAAAGAAAAAAAAACAGCAGAGGATTTTACTCATACTGGGATCTCATTTTATCTCCATGTATTCCTCCCCTGACACACATTCTCCCTAAACACACTTAAGACTTTGAGAGGTAGAAAGGACCTTGAAGCCTTTTACTCTAATCCTTCTTCTCAATCCCCATTATAATATACCTGACACATGGTCATTTCACTTGTGTCCAGGGTCGGGGAGTCCCAATGTCCTAAGCCAATGATAAGTGAAGTTCTAGGGCAGCAGAGAGAGTATTATTCAATGGTTTTAATTCAGTTTTCTGAATTGACACTGCTCCTTTGTATAAAAGAAAGGAAGGTAAAACCAGAAGTACCCTCTCCTACCCACTGAGCTTAGTCTGACAATACAAACAGGCTACCTTGCAGATTTGTAAATAGAAGGCAGATTTGCAAATGAAATGCACATTTTTTTTTAATCCAAAGAGAAGAGAGAGCTCAGGAAGTCAGTCAAAAGACTCAGGGATAGTCCTGGTTGACTGGCTGGCTTTATCCCCAGTCTCACTGACAACCTAACTCTACTTTGATCATATTTAGTTCTGACGGTCCAGTTCCATCTCAGTGCAGGCCCTGAGAGTATAACAAAATCCACATCTTTCAGAAGCCACAAAAGACCAGAACTTGAGGATGAAAAATCTGGCCCCAGGGAATATAAAGCTGATATCACCAAAATAGCGATATTGCTTGTATCTCCCCTTAAACCCTGTGAACTGGCAGCTGAGGGAGGAGAGAAAGACAGAATGTTGGATGCCTCACCTGCTTAATAAAGGTGATTGAAACCATGTCCCAGGAGACAATGCCATGGTCCATGAGCTCTAGGAAGGCAGTCAGGGTGAATGCCAGCATATCACTGTAGCTGAGACACACACAAAATGGACAAAGATGCAGACTGGGAAACACAGGTGTGAGGGCAGCCACAAAAAAGATGAATTTTAGGCTGGGTGTGGTGGCTCATGCCTGTAATCTCAGCACTTTGGGAGGCTGAGGCGGGTGGATGAGATCAGGAGATCGAGACTATCCTGGCTAACATGGTGAAACCCCGTCTGTACTAAAAAATACAAAAAACTTAGCCAAGTGTGGTGGCGGGCACCTGTAGTCCCAGCTACTCCGGAGGCTGAGGCAGGAGAATGGCATGAACCTGGGAGGCAGAGCTGGCAGTGAGCCGAGATTGGGCCACTGCACTCCAGCCTGGGTGACAGAGCCAGACTCCGTCTAAAAAAAAAAAAAAAAAAAAAAAAAAAAAAAAATGATGAATTTTAATGTGAACACCCCATGGGAAATCAGTCGATGCAACTGTAACTGTAAGTGCCTGTGCGCACACCTAGCAAGTAGAGCAGGTTCAGCCCAGGTATCTATCACTGCCAAAAAAAATGCTGCTGGCTGATCAAACCTTTCTTCTCTATGTGCTTCATCCTAGGGACACAGAATCACTTATCTATTTCTCAAGACCAAAGAAGACATCGGACCCTTGTCAAACTCCAGCACCTATTGGGGGAACCTAAGGAGGCATAAGTGCCATGTTAACCTTTGGGCCAAGAGGCAGTAGAGTGCAAGAGATGGGCTCAGTTCTTGTCCACCTTACTAACCAAGCAAATTTTATCTTTTCAAAACTCAATGTCTTCCTCTGTAAAATCAAGTTAGTCTCACAGCGTTAACCTCACAGGATTGTGGAGAGGGCAAGATGATGATGTATGCAAAGCACTTATTCTAGTGCTGATAGAGAATAAGGATTAAAATGTTTTCTCTTTTCTCTCTTCTCCTTTATATATCTGTACAGTGCTCTAGAATTAACAGATGATATTCCCATTTACAAAGCATGTTCAGACACAGTCTCATTAACAATACTTCTCACAATAATACTGCAAGGTAGCTATTATTATCCTCAGGCTAAAGAGAGGGAAACTAAGGCCAGTCTAACCCTGCACTCTCGGGAGACTGTAGAACTGTGTCAGTGCTGATGGCAGCTGAAGGCTTCAGGACTTGAGTACAGCTGGAAGATCCAAGATGTAAAACAAATATCTATGATTAGTTACTTGATTTGGCTGAAAATTTCCATAGTTCATCTACGGGCTGAGAAGATTTCTGATTCCCTCTTTGGCAGCGTAGGCTCCAAGCACCTGTTTACTGACTGCTCTTCACAAGGCACAGCTGCCCACCTCATGCATGTCAACTCTGGGGTATGATGAAAATGTTTGTGGGTATCATAAAGTTCTGGTCTCCTCCTCCCTGTGCAAAAGTGTGGCAGGGAGATGGTGACTTGGTAGGTTGTAACCTGTGGTAAACACAAACGAAGCTGTGTGTGTGTGTGTGTGTGTGTGTTGTGTGTGTGGTGGAAGGTGACTTGAGAGAGAGGGAGCAGGGGGTGGTTACAGATGGACACACACCTGGGACATATTGGACCATGTGCTCAGTAACCCTCATCAGACCAAGCATTTCCAGCAATTAACAGGTCTGTCACAACCTGACCGCTCTCCTACTGACTTCTCTAGCCCCTATTTTCACTGCTCACTTGGCACAGTATTGTTTTGTACTATTATTTAATTTGTGAGAGCCCAACTATACTACAAGATTTAGAAGAACAACACGGAATTATATGTCTCGGTATGGACTCTAGTGCTTTGCACACTGCTCTGTACATAGGTGGTATTCAATAAACTCCTTATGTGACTTGATGGAAATGAGACTAGGATGCCCTGTGGGATGTAGTAAATCACTGAAGTCTCTGGAATGAGACCTTAGTCATACTCACTGGGACAGGAGTTTGGTTCCATTTTCCACAAGCCTCGTCAGCACAATGATGCCATCCATGTTGATGAACTCAGTAGCAAAAGTCACGTCAGCAGAGCTTGGCCAGTACCTTCATGGTATCCAGCCGGGTCTCCATGTTGGATGACTGGGTCCTCTCCATCAGCTGGGCGTGCAGCCTGGGACTAGGAAACCAGGGACAAGACATGTGCCATCTGCTCCTTGGAGCAGGTTACTACTCTGTGGATAGCTCACAGAGGCTCTTTTGTGGACATCCAAACCTGAGGCAGAACTAGCTTTTTTAACACTGCTTAGGAGTTGCTAAATTGTGGGATCAATCAGGGAGTTATTAGCATACCAAAACAAATCTGTATTTATCTGTATCTTTTCTGTACCACTCTGGTCTATGGATTAAAAAAATTCCTACCAAGGGAATACCAGAGACATCTGGGAGGCCCACTAATGAGTCACAGAGAAACAGATATTGGTTTAATAGAGGAAGGTTGTCTATTAATTAAAGCTGTCTGGCTGGGTGCAGTGGCTCATGCCTATAATCCCAAGGCTTTGAAAGGCCAAGGCAGGAGGATTGCTTGAGACCAGAAGTTAGACACCAGCTTGGGCAACAGAGTGACACCCCGTCTCCACAAAAAATTTTTAAAAATGAGCCAGGTGTGGTGGTGCACACCTGTAGTCCTAGCTACTCAGGAGGCTGAGGTGGGAAGATTGCTTGAGCCCAGGAGTTCAAGGTTGCAGTAAGCTAGGACTGTGCCACTGCGTTGCAGCCTGGGTCATAGAGCAAGACTGTCTCTCAAAAATAAAAAAAATAAATTAAATAAAACTGGCCGGGCGCAGTGGCTCACGCCCGTAATCCCAGCACTTTGGGAGGCCGAGGCAGGCAGATCACAAGGTCGGGAGTTCGAGACCAACCTGACCAACATGGTGAAATCCCGTCTCTACTAAAAATGCAAAAATTAGCCGGGCATGGTGGCATGCACCTGTAATCCCAGCTACTCAGGAGGCTAAGGCAGGAGAATCACTTGAACCCAGGAGGCGGAGGTTGCAGTGAGCCGAGATCATGCCACTGCACTCCAGCCTGGGCGACAGAGCAAGACTCCATCTCAAAAAAAATAAATAAAATAAAATAAAATTTATAAAACTGTTAGACAGCAGAAGAGGTTTCTCTTGGGGTATTAAGCTCCCTGTCACCAGAAGCAATCAAGGAGAATGTGGACAACTATCTGTCAAAGATGCTGTAGAAGGGATTCTTGCATTGGGTGAAGAATTTAATCTAATGTTCTCTAAGCTCCCTTTTAATCCTAAAATGTGAAAAGCTTGATAATTTTTTAAAAACTTTCTCTCAAAATCCATATGATTATTCCTCAAAGTAACAGTTCTGGAGAAATTTTAAGAATATCAAGGAGCCAGAAACAATTTCCCAATCATTTTTTGAAAATGAAGGCTGATGAAGACAAAACCTCCTCCTAGCACATGAACTTTTTCTAGCAGGATGCCTGCCTCCTTTTCTGCAAACTGTGGCTAAAATCCCTCCTCTAGCATTCACTGGGCTTTCCTTCTGCTGAGCTTGTTAGTACATAGTACCTCACAATTTACTGTTTCATCATACTCTGTTTTTTGGGTGTTAATTTAATGTTCTCCACTAGAAAGGAAGAGCCTTAAGAGCAAAAACACTCCTGTCTTCTTTTTCTCAGTGTTAAGCAAGTGACTGGAGCCCAATTCCTGCGGCCACCACGGAGTCAGGCCTGTTGTCCCTCTCCCCTTTGCCTCTCCTCTTTTACTATTACAAAGCTGGCCCTTCACAGCACAATGCTCTCTGTGATAGAGAAGCCCTCACTCTGTCTACAGTGGACAAAACGTGCGCCACAGGAAAAGGTCACAGCACAGAACAATCTGAAGAGCACTGGTCTGCATCCCACTTAGAAACTTCCAACTCTGTCAATTTTCCTCCTGATACAGCATTTCTGGGCTGCTGCCTCCCGCTCCAGAGAGATGTGCTTCTGGGAAAGGCAACTGCACTGTGCAAGAGGTCGGAAATGTGTCAGCACTTCCATAAAAGTGTGTAACTCCCAGGCTGTCATATTAAATTACCAGAGCTTAGGAGGGAAGAATGAAGTCCTTAAAATGAGAAGAGTTCAGGAGAAGAGGGGGAGGCAGAAGAACATGATGGGAGGAATATGGGCCTAGAGTCAGGCAGACCTGGGTCTGAGAGCAGGCTTGGCTACTTTATTAGCTGTGTGACAAGTGGCAAGTAATTTAACCTCTCTAAGCCTTGGTTTCCTTGTCTACAGAATGTGGCTATTAAGAGTACCTATCTCATGGGACGTTTGTAAAGATTAGATGATTTAATTACACAAAGTATTTAGCAAAATACAGGCATTCAGTAAAGGTTGGCTGATATCACTTCATACCTCCCCTCCTCTCAGATGAACCAGTCTCTCTCTCTGCACCAAGAAAAGAGGTGCCATCACGCCCTTATTTTGCTAGCTGCGCTTCTACGAATGTAACCAAAGGTGCAATCATATTGGCTGTCTTCCTCATGGGCTTAGCAGTCAAGGTGATTCCCTCTACCTGGGCTTTGAGTCCTTCCTCTCCTGGTCCACTAAGATCCTGTTCTATTGATTACCTGCTTTCCTGCACCTTCAACCTTCCTCTCTTCCATCTTAACACATTCTTAAGGGCACATAAAAAATTGCAACAGAAACAACAACCAGGAAGGGTCAGAAATGTGGGGAACTGGGCAGATGGGGACAGGAGTTGCAGGGAGACCTTTTGCTACATCTCTGTGAAAATTTTTGATTTGTGAAACACATGAATGCTTTACGGGCTTTTAAAAAGCGCATCTTTTTGACTCTACATCCTCTTCACGTTATCACCTTCTCTGTGTTTTCTTTTAAAACCAAGCTTCTTGATACAGCAGTAGACTCAAAGTCCTTACTTTTTTACCTTTCTTTTACTTGACTCAGTTCAGTCTGGCCACCTGGCCTCCCCACCATAACTTTTTTGTGAAGATCACCAAGGTCCTCTTCACCTCCCAAGTCTTGAGACAGCTTCTCTGTTCTCAGTTTGCTAAATTTCTCTGCTCATTAAAAATTGCAGACCATGTTTTCCCCAATCCTGACACTCTCCCTGCCCAAAGCTCCTGTCACTTCACATTCTTGGTGTTCTTTCTACCCTTCTGGTTGCTTCCTTGGTGACCTTTAAGGGCTGCTCTTGCAAAAACCAGAGTCATTCTCCATTCTCCCCTTTCCTTCCACATCCAGCGTATCACCATACTCATAAAGGTTACCTCCTAGATACTCTTCATATCCTTTCATCTCCATTACCATTTGCCTTCCCTGGGCTGTTAACATTCCTCATTTGCCTCTTAAAAGGTTCCTACTACCACCAACCTACTTCTTAAGGCCCATCTTCCACACGGTCACTAAAGTCATCTTTCTAAAACTTAAAATCTAAACATAACATATCTTCCTGCTTAAAATCCTTCAATATCCCTAGTTTCCTTCTGGACAGAGTTCAAACCTATGAGCAGGCCATCAAGGAACATTGAATACCTGGCTTTTCAATGATTGCTACAAGCCTCCAGCCACCCAGCACTTCTGCTTTTCCCAAACACAGCAAACCTCTGTGCCTTGGCATATGCTGATTTCTCTGACTAGAATACTTTTCCTTTTCTTATTTCTCCAGCTAATTCTTGCTCATCCTTTAACATCTGAGCTAAGTGACCCTTTCTCTGGCAAGGCTTTCTGGAAATCTCCAGGCTGAGTTAGGTGGTCCCCTTTGTGAGTTCTCACAGCTCTCTAAGCAACTTTCTCTCAAGATCCTTGAGACAGGCCTTCAATTGCATGTGTTTACTCCCCACTAGGTGGTGAGAACCAAGACACTCTTATCTTCCTATATTATGTCCTGATACAAAAGGACTGACTTTTTAATCTCCAGAGTCCTTGTTTCTAGAACAGAGCCTGGCCCATGGTAGGTGCTCTTATTTGTTTGTGACATGAATAAACTCCTAAGGAAGGAAGAATACCTACTGGGGAGATAGCCAGTTGTAAGATTGTCTCATTTTTTTTTTTTTTCTGAGACGGAGTCTCGCTTTGTTGCCCAGGCTGGAGTGCAGTGGCATGATCTCGGCTCACTGCAAGCTCCACCTCCCGGGTTCACGCCATTCTCCTGCCTCAGCCTCCCGAGTAGCTGGGACTACAGGCACCCGCCACCACGTCCAGCTAATTTTTTTTTTTTTTGTATTTTTAGTAGAGACGGGGTTTCACTGTGTTAGCCAGGATGGTCTTGATCTCCTGACCTCATGATCCGCCTGCCTCGGCCTCCCAAAGTGCAGGATTACAGGCGTGGGCCACCACGCCTGGCCCGATTGTCCCATTCTTAACGTCACTGCGAGTCTGGGTAGTGAAAAGCAAAGAAACAACAAAGGTAACTAAGATAAAATGTTAAAGTGGTACAAGCAAGTTGAATCAACATAATGTTTTGTCTTTTTTACAGTAGATGTAACAGGCTCTTCAGTCGGGCCCTCTTCTCCTGCTTATTCCTTGGCAAAGAGCTTCTAAGATCCTCTTCTAGCACCCTGGGCCCTCAGGAAGTAAAAGCCACCTTTTTCCAGCCACTAGGGAGGAACAAGGGCTGGTACTTCCCAGTCTGCCCAGGGAGCGACTCTTTACCCAACACATGGAAGCTACCTGGATGCTGAGTGAAGATAAATAGTGCTGTCTCCTTGGGTCATTTACTTCCAAGCAAGGCCCACATTGATTTTGCCTTTCCCTATATTAACCTGTTCAGTGATGTACAGCTGAGGATCATCTGCATGACGGAGGGTGTAATACTCTGGGTTTGGCAACGACCACCTACGCAAGAGAAAAACAGTATATCCCACTTGGCCACTCTCTTGTCCAGAAGCTTCTCATAAGTCATTTTCAGTAGAGTTGCTCAAGGGATCAGGTGGCCTATTTGGAATACAGTGGAAAAAAACAAAGCTTTAGGTTGTCATGTTGAAAAAATCACAGCCTCAGCCTTTTGTAAAGACAAGCACCACAAAAGGAGGTGTGCGGAACTGAGGAGGGGTCTCAGATCCTACCATGACCTCAAGCAGGGCAATGCTAGACTTACAGGAAAAAATTAAGAAGTATAAACGTCTTAGGGGTATTGTTGTCAACTGTACCTCCTTCCCAAGACAATGATTCCCAAGAGCCCCTTTCTGGGGACCTGCCTAACTGGAGATCCTTCCCAGAACTCCCCTCAAGGTGTGGCAGTGCTCCTTCAGTCAGAGCTGCCACTGTCAAAAACGAGGTCCATTTCAACCTACCCATCACAAACTTCCTTGATAATGGATGCCAGGGGCCATTTCTGAAAAAGAGAGAAAGAGCCTTCAATAGCAGCAACATCCTACCCAAGCCAAGGTTCAGACAAGAGAGCCTGCCAAGCAGGGTCAAGCCGGGGCATGAGAATGTACTTCTTTCCTAACAGCTTTTGTTAAAGAGGAAGCCTCTCCCAAGCCATGGTGACAGACCTTCCCTAGGGTGGGCCAGGCCCAAAGCTTAGCCTTCCTGTTGATGGTTCTTACTCTTGATGCCAGTAGTCCCCATCCCTCAAGATATCCTCTGCCATGCACTCCCCAGGTGCCTTTCCTCACTTCAGGAGTGTACCTGGTTGATTTCAAGGAGCTGGGCATTAGCATCTGGACACTCAATGGCCACTTTGACAATGTCTGATGGTGGTGGCATTTTTCCCAACCAGTGGGCTCTAATTCTGCAAGACAAGAACACAGACACGACTGCCTGGGGAGAAAGAATCTGAAAGACAGAAAAAGTCAGAGTACCTCTTCATTTTTCACTCTTGTTACATGTTTTGAAGAGTCTACAGACAGACACTGCATAAAGTAACACATGAAACTACTTGGTTTGAATTTTTCTAGATCATACCAAAACCTCTCCTTGGGGTTTTGTTTTTTGACATTAAATCAGCAAGAAAAAATGGGACAAACTGTCTATCATCCATAGATCAGCCAGCAGCAACATGTGCCAATGTGGCACTTCAGTTTAAGAGTCGAGAGGACTCAGTGGTAGAAGAACGTATTTACTGCAAATTCCTGTCTTGAGACCTTGGGAGGAGAGTGTGGGGGAAAGAGAGATCAGACTGTTACTGTGTCTATGTAGAAAGAAGTAGACATAAGAAACTCCATTTTGTTCTGTACTAAGAAAAATTATTCTGCCCTGAGATGCGGTTAATCTGTAACCCTAGCCCCAACACTGTGCCCACAGAGACATGTGCTGTGTTGACTCAAGGTTTAATGGATTTAGGGCTGTGCAGGATGTGCTTTGTTAAAAATGTGTTTGAAGGCAGTATGCTTGGTAAAAGTCATCACCATTCTCTAATCTCGAGTACCCAGGGACACAATGCACTGCAGAAGGATGCAGGGACCTCTGCCCAAGAAAGCCTGGGTATTGTCCAAGGTTTCTCCCCACTGAGACAGCCTGAGATATGGCCCTGTGGGAAGGGAAAGACCTGACCATCCCCCAGCCCGACACCCATAAAGGGTCTATGCTGAGGAGGACTAGCGAAAGAGGAAGGCCTCTTTGCAGTTGAGATAAGAGGAAGGCATCTGTCTCCTGCTCGTCCCTGGGAATGGAATGTCTCGGTGTAAAACCTGATCATACATTCTATTTACTAAGATAGGAGAAAACCACCTTGTGGCTGGAGGTGAGACATGCTGGCGGCAATACTGCTCTTTACTACACTGAGATGTTTGTGTAGAGTCAAACATAAATCTGGCCTACATGCACATCGAGGCACAGCACCTTTCCTTAAACTTATTTATGACCCAGAGACCTTTGCTCACATGTTTTCCTGCTGACCCTCTCCCCACTATTACCCTATAGTCCTGCCACATCCCCCTCTCCAAGATGGTAGAGATAGTGCTCAACAAATACTGAGGCAACTCAAGAGACCAGTGCCGGTGCGGGTCCTCCGTATGCTGAGCGCCGGTCCCCTGGGCCACTGTTCTTTCTCTATACTTTGTCTCTGTGTCTTATTTCTTTTCTCAGTCTCTCATCCCACCTGACAAGAAATACCCACAGGTGTGGAGGCGCTGGCCCCCTTTAGGAGAGAAGCATATGCTCCGAAACAGATAAGAATAGCCAGGCTTTTCTTGGTTGAGTGGTTAGCTGGAGGAGCCAGGCTCCTTCTGTTCTGCAGTCATCCTAGGAAGATCCCAGCATCAGCGGGGCACAGCTACATGCTCTCTTGCTTCCCTCGCACTCATCAATGCCACTGCTTTCCCCTCAAAGGACACTATGCAAAGCCACCTCTGTGTGGGATGACATCAGAAAATGGGGAAGAGAACTGGGACAGGAAATGCTATTTTCATCCCTATTGCCAAGGGCAATAGCAGCTGACAACTCAAGTGGAGGGAGATAAAGATATCTTCACACAAGGGCCCGTCTTATAAGGACAAGGCTTTGCAAGTACCTCTGACCACCTCCCCCACTTCTCTCCAAAATAAAGGAAAATAAATTATCTTGAGCAAGTCTGGAAGATGGGCCCAAGTGACTGGTATCCTAGGCAACTCTGATAGCTTACTGGTATTCCAAGCAGTAACTAAAGCATTCTCTCTCCAAGGTCTGACGAAGGGAAGTCACTTGGCTGATGGATTATTTCGATGTATATTTACACTCCTTGCCTACAGGTTCAGGAGAGGGCTTTTTTTTTTTTTTTTTTTTTTGAGACGGAGTCTCGCTCTGTCGCCCCAGGCTGGAGTGCAGTGGCTGCGATCTTGGCTCACTGCAAGCTCCGCCTCCCGGGTTCACGCCATTCTCCTGCCTCGGCCTCCCAAGTAGCTGGGACTACAGGCACCCGCCACCACGCCCGGCTAATTTTTTTGTATTTTTAGTTGAGACGGGGTTTCACCGTGTTAGCCAGGATGGTCTTGATCTCCTGACCTCATGATCTGCCTGCCTCGGCCTCCCAAAGTGCTGGGATTACAGGCGTGAGCCACCGCTCCTGGCCAGGAGAGGGCTCTCTCTTAATGAAAAAGACCTTTCTGCATCTTCCAGATTTAGCCATTCACCCACAATTCATGTCTCGCTTATGGGGACCACCTGCCTCTCCTGGCATACAAAGCATAGCTGTTGTGAGGCTATTATGCACGTATGCTATCAATTTTTCAGCCTAAACACAGATGCCAGTTCTCACAGCCTGATAAGTATAAACCTCTTTGATGAAAAGGAGTAAAAGTCCTGTCCCCCACAAGCCCCCCGGCCTCAGAAAGAGGGATGCTTTCATGACCATTTCCTAGTCAGGATGGGATGCTTCAGAAGTCTACTGTCATAAAAAACCAGCATTTCCAGACCATGACAATGTAAAGGAACTAGTTTTCAAAGTGCTTTCACTTACTTTATTGTGTCCTCCCAGCAGCACCATGAATTAGGCAGAAGAGGATTATCACCTGCATTTGAAGATGGCACAACTAAAGCTCAGTGTTTTGTCAAGTGCCCAAGGTCACCCAGCTAGTAAGTCATAATAGGGGACAGAACTCGGACTGGCTTCAGCCAGTGCTTTCCCCTTTTCCTCTGAGCCAGCTTCAACTTCTGTCCACTGCAATTAAACGCAGCCTAAAGGGATTGAAGTGGGTTGGCCTTATGGCCCCCAAAGCTTCCATAACTTCTGTGGCTTGTGGCAGAATTTTTCACAGTAATTTTTACATGCCTAGACACACAACAAACCTCAGAAAAGAAACTGGCCCTATCAGCATAATTTCTGGGGAGACTGCTCTGTTGCAGTTACAGCAGGGCAGGGAGTTCTCGTTCCAGGGGTGGCGCCATCAATCTCTGGATGCCTAGAGATGCGTCCTTATCCTTATCGGCAAAGCGGCTGCAATTAGTAGACTAGGACTGCATGGTTGTGAGGTCAATTTTAAAAACTGAGATATAATTTACATACAATAAAATGCAGAGGGCTTAAGTGTACATATGTTTGTATGCATATACATAATAGACATAAACACATGCATCTCCCTGTAACCGCCACTCAAAACGGGACACTGAACATTTTCATCACCCTAGAAAATTACTTCATACTTCCTCTTCCTGTCAATCCTTTCAGTCCTTTAAAGGGGAATTTCTGACTTCTTATCATCATCCATGAGTTTTGCCTGTTTTTGTACTCCATATAAACGGAACTATACAATATGACTTTTTAGATCATTTGTTTTTCAATTTGGCTTCTTCTTATTTTTAAAATAAGCAGGTACAAAAGGCACAACAGAAAGAGCACTGGGCTAGGATAATTGTCCCTGGTGAAAAAAGTGACTGGATTTAGAGCCAAAGGCCTCAAGACCCAATCCTAGCTCTTTCATGATGTATACATGCCCCTTTAACCAAATCTCAGTTTTCTTCTATTGAGGGATGGATAATTGTCCCTGCTGAAAAAAGTGACTGGATTTAGAGCCAAAGGCCTCAGGACCCAATCCTAGGTCTTTCACGATGTATACATGCCCCTTTAACCAAATCTCAGTTTTCTTCTATTGAGGGATGGATAATTGTCCCTGCTGAAAAAAGTGACTGTATTTAGAGCCAAAGGCCTCAGGACCCAATCCTAGGTCTTTCACGATGTATACATGCCCCTTTAACCAAATCTCAGTTTTCTTCTATTGAAAGATGTGAGTGTAGGCCAGGTGCGGTGGCTCATGCTTGTAATCCCAGCACTTTGGGAGGCCGAGGCAGGCGGATCATGAGGCCAGGACATCGAGACCATCCTGGCTAACATGGTGAAACCCTGTCTCTACTAAAAATACAAAAAATTAGCCAGACACAGTGGCGGGCGCCTGTAGTCCCAGCTACTCGGGAGGCTGAGGCAGGAGAATGGCGTGAACCCGGGAGGCGGAGCTTGCAGTGAGCCGAGATAGAGATCGCACCACGGCAGTCCGGCCTGGGCGAAAGAGCAAGACTCCGTCTCGAAAAAAAAAAAAGAAAGAAAGAAAGACGTGAGTGTAGAACTAAAGCATGTCTCAGGTGACTTCTAAGTCTAAAAGTCCATGATTCTTAAGTGGAATTTTAAAAATCCAAGTGAGGATGCCCATTTTAAAGTCCTCACCAAATGAAGTTACACCCTTCCTTAATTTCGATGGTGCTGCTAAGAAACAAACCACATTATTTTTAACTCCTTTCTGAAAACCATCTTTGGAGATAATTAAGCCAAAGCTCATTATGTTATACCTATTATTTTCTCTTGACCCCATATGACATATCCTAGGTTGATGCTCTGTTTATTAAAGTTAGCACTGAATGATTCTCAGCTGTTCAAAAGTTCATATACATTTTAAAGCATGGAGATTTGCAACTACTGAACTATTTGAAAGATATTAATAAGCCCCCATTCTCAGTGACTCTGTCCTTCCCACAAAGCCCAGGCAGCCTATCTGAACTGAATGACACTCTCCACAACCCTGCCATAGCTGATGGGACCAAAGTGAATACCCAACTTTAGCTGAATTATTCCAATTCTTTCTCTTGAATTTAAAATACACAGATTGGCCAGGCGTGGTGACTCACGCCTGTAATCCCAGCACTTTGGGAGGCTGAGGCAGGTGGATCACCTGAGGTCAGGAGTTCAAGACCAGCCTGGCCAACATGGCGAAACCCCGTCTGTACTACAAATACAAAAATTAGCTGGGCGTGATGGCAGGCGCCTGTAATCCCAACTACTCAGGAGGCTGAGGCAGGGAGGATCGCTTGAACCTGGGAGGCAGAGGTTGCAGTGAGCCTAGATTGCACCATTACACTCCAGCCTGGGCGACAGAGTGACACTCCATCATAAATACATACATACATACATACAAACAAACAAAAGACACAGACTAAGGGAACTGGGTGATAACGGGCCCTGGAGAAGTAAGATCATAGTAAGCTTCAGAGCAGTTACCATGGCAAGCCAAAGATTCGCATAAGCCAAAAATACGGAGAATAAAAAACCAAGAGCCTTTCAGAGGAAGTGATTCTGCAAGAGGAATCCAGAAATATATAAATGAGCTGAGGCCAGAAATCAGAAAGATGAGAAAAGCCATTACCTGGTAACTTTCCCGATTACGTGGCTACACTTCCTATGCTTGGGGTACCTGAAAGTCCACTGTATCCTGCCAATAAAACTCCTATAAATTAAGCTAGTCTATGTATCTACTCATTGCAACTAATAAGCCTAAGACCAAAACTGCCCCCAAGTTCTGCAGGAACTCTAAAATGGAGGTCTGAGCAGACAGCAGCATCACTGGCATAAGATGATGGTTCTGGGTAAGCACTTAATTAACAATGGCTGAATTAATGACAGCAAAATCCACAGGTTTGCTCTTATCCACTAGGTAAGTCTGATTTGTTTGCAACAGATCAGTTATACAGTAACTTCGTAGTAATCGTATATCTAATAGTAACGTACAGGTAGCGTCTTTATTTTTATTTTATTTTTATTTATTTATTTTTTTGAGACGGAGTCTCGCTGTCTCCCAGGCTGGAGTGCAGTGGCGCGATCTCTGCTCACTGCAAGCTCCGCCCCCCGGGTTCTCGCCATTCTCCTGCCTCAGCCTCCTGAGTAGCTGGGACTACAGGCACCCGCCACCACGCCCGGCTAGTGTGTGTAGTGTGTGTGTGTGTGTGTGTGTGTGTGTGTGTGTGTGTATTTTTAGTAGAGATGGGGTTTCACTGTGTTCGCCAGGATGGTCTCGATCTGCTGACCTCGTGATCAGCCTGCCTTGGCCTCCCAAAGTGCTGGGATTACAGGCGTGAGCCACCGCGCCCAGCCTTTTTTTTTTTTTTTTTTTGAGATGGAGTCTCGCTGTCTCCCAGGCTGGAGTGCAATGGCGCGATCTCCACTCACTGCAACCTCCACCTCCTGGGTTCAAGCGATTCTCCTGCCTCAGCCTCCCGAGTAGCTGGGATTACAAGTGCTCGCCACCACACCCAGCTAATTTTTGTATTTTTAATAGAGACGGGGTTTCACCATGTTGGCCAGGCTGCTCTTGAACTCCTGACCTCAGGTGATCCACCTGCCTCAGCCTCCCAAAGTGCTGGGATTATAGGCGTGAGCCACTATGCCCAGCCCAGGTAGCCTCTTTATAGTTGATTGCTCACTTCTATAGCATTATTTTAGTTGATGCTCATAAGAACTCTGAAAAACATTCCTATCTTACAGGTAAGGCAACTGAAGTTCAGATGGATCGACAAACTTGTTCTCCATGTACCTCTTTCTACACCTCCCTCCCAAATGAAGGAAGAAAAAAAAAGAAGGGAGGGAAAAGAACAGTAAGTCAACCCAACACTTCAGAACTGGGTCTGAAGCCAAGGTCTTAGGACTGATCCCTCTACATAATACTTCCTTACATGATGACATTAGCTAACAATTACATAATGCTAGGGCACTATTTTAAAGGCTCTATATATACTAATTAATTTAATCTGCACAGCAACGCTGTGTGGTATGTTATTATCCCCACTTTAGAGACAAGAAAATAGAGGCACAGAAGAGTTAAGTAGCAGGCTCAGTGTCACACAGCTAGGAAGTGGCACAGCCAGAATTTGATCCCAGGTTATCTGGTATTGCTGGAAAGCCATGAGAAAGCAGGTGGCTCTGCACTTGACCCGCAGCAGGTGCTTTGTGGCAATTTCTGGTTTGTGTATCCGAAACCAAAGCACACTGAGGCTAAGAAACTTTCACAAGAACTCACCATTGTATCAAAAGATAGCACTCCACTGTCTACAGGTGGGCCACGGTCCCTTGTGTGCTATTTGGTCCTTTACAATCTAGCCAGACTCTTCCCTGGACTACCTGCTATTTCTATAAGGCCGTGTTCTTTCAATTCTTCTGTACCTTTGCATATTCTCTTCCTCCTACTGACTGTCAGAACAGCTCCTATTCAAGCATCAAAGCCTAGTTCAGATCAGATGCTACCTCTTCCCTGTACTAGTCTTAGCTTTCTCTAACTTTTCCTGGCAAAACTAAATAGGACAGGGGCCTCTGTGTTCTCACAGCATCCTGTTCATACTTCCATTAGCGAGTGTGATCTTGTCATACTCTATTATAGTTACATATTTACATATCTCCACTAGCTCCTCCTCCAGGACAGGTATAACTCTGCAGTGTCAACCTAGCACAACACTTGGTGTCCAGCGAAGGCTCAGTAAGCACCTGTGTCTGCTTAAACCCGATGACTCTGACTTCTTCCAAGCTGGAACCAAGCTGGCTCCAAATGGACAGGGATGGGCATGAATTGCGCAGGTTGTCTGGTGTTCCCTCTGTGTCCCAATACCCTTTCACTACAAAGTATTTTCATTGTTTAACAGTTTGTTTTGGCTGGGCGCAGTGGCTCACACCTGTAATCCCAATGCTTTGGGAGGTGAAGGCAGGAGGATCACTTCAGGCCAGGAGTTAGAGACCTGTTTCTACAAAAAAAATAAAACATTAGCTGGGCATGGTGGCATGTTCCTGTAGTCCCTAGCTACTTAGGAGGCTGAGGCAGGAGAGTCGCTTCAGCCCAGAAGTTCGAGGCAGCAGTGAACTATGATCATGTCACTGAACTCTAGCCTGGGTGACAGAGCAAGATCCTGTCTCTATTAAAAAATAAAAATTAAATTAAAGAACTGTTGTTTTCATATCAAACATTAGAATAATTCTTACTGAAAAATCAGGGTTAGCACACCTAACTCTAGTTAAAGAGGAAAACATCTCTCTGCTTTTCTCCCTATGGAATAGAAACATCAGGAGATAGGAGACTAGAAGTAATTCTATTCTCCAGATAAGATTCCCAGGATAAAATATATCCTTGTAGGGAACCCTCCCAGCACATGTTTGCTTACTCTCTTCATTTTCATTCCAGAAAGGAAGTGGAAATTAGGTAGAAGGAATTCAATAACATTGCAAAATTCTCAGGGTTATAAATGGCCTCTTGCTCCACCACTCAGCAGTACTGTAGCTCAACCGCAAACCACCAGAATAAAGGAGCTCTAGTTCCACATCAAGGCCCAGAGGGCCCCTTCCAGATTAAACAACTCTCCACCCTTCTCCCTTCCACCCCTCTTTAAGCATTACAGATATAAGGATGATTTGGAAAATCAAAATGCTACAAAACAGGAGAGGCACACACTGACCTGAAGACAATTTTACTGTAAGTCATTAAGAATAAAAGGCCAGTTTCTCAAATATAGAGCTGGGAAAAGTATAGAAAAATAGGAACATTAGTGTCTCCAATAGAGCAGTCTCTAAGTGGCTTCTAGAAGGTGTGCTTATAAAATCAGCACTGTTACAGAAGCCCCCATGGAGCTTTATCAATCACCCGTACAGTGACTGCTGCTTCACGGAGCTGGAGTCTGACAGCAGGGTTGGAAAATCCATCTCAAGGAAGGAAGTGAAAGATGATCTCCTTCTATTAGTAAGGACCCCGCCAGCACGGGGTCTGAAGGAACGTGATTTCCTTGCAAATGCAAGAGGCAGCTTTATTTTTCCCCCAAACTTTTTTTTTCTTTTTGGTATGCAGTCTTAGAATGAAGGAAAAGGCTTTGGTTCCCTGCGTTAAATCATAGGTTGTGAGCTCTAAGCGGTCGTCTGGTGGCACTCCGCCCTGTGCCCAGCGGGCACTTACCGCACACTCAACAGTGGGGATAGCTGTGGTTTGGGGAACTGAGTGGGAGTGACTTTCGTGTCAGAGGCTGTGAGCAGCCGCTCTGCTCACACCGAGTGGGGCTGACCGTGGGCGCTGAGCAGAGGCAGAAGGGTACAACCCGGCTGTGCTTTTTGGAAGGGATCCCGGAGGTGGCATTCGTCACTGCACCTGCGGATCGGAACAAGGCTGGGCACCGCGCCAAGGACTCACTCCTGCTGTCTCTCTTCATGCTCACAGCAGCCCTGTGATGGAGGAGCACCCTGATCCCTTCGCTGCAGATGAGGACACAGGCTCACAGAGGGTCCGAGATCTTACAGCTGGTGAGGGGCAGAGCAAAACGCCAACCTATTCCTGTTGGATTCCAAAGTTTATACTTTAATCGTTCGTCTAGCAGATTCTTACAACAATCCTGGGAGGTGTGTATTCAGTTGTCACTTTGCAGATAAACTGATACTCAGCAAAGAGACTACATAGTGACTACCGCTTATAGGGCACTGCACAGTCTGCAAAGCAGTTTTACATGTTGTTTCATTTGATCCTCAAAACATCTTGGAATTAAAGATGATTTTTCTTAGTCCTATTTTACAGGTGAATAAAGTGAGGCTTGGGGAGGTTGAGGCTTAGCCATAGCTAACATTGCTAAAGCTCTGGCAGGAGTTACTCTTTCTCCTTCTCACTGGCTGGCCCAGCCTTGACCTTGTGATGATGATGATGACGTGCTAGGGGACAGAGCCACAGCACAGAAGGTGCCGAATGCTACCTGCCGACTTGGGACACTCACTTCATACTCTTATGTGAAAAAGAAATGATCTTCTCCGTTCTTTTTATTACTAATTTTGATAGCAGGGAGGGCTGTTAGAGCCAACCCTGCACTCACACAACACTGAGGAAGAAAGCCTTAAATTTTGTACCCTGGGTGCCTCACTTTGCTTCATTCTAGTCCTGACCCTGCTTAATACACATTTATCCAAGGAATGAGTCACTCACTTAAGCTTTACAAGACTGTGTAATTTTTTTTGCTGATATTGCCAGTGCAAGTTCTTTGATTGCGAGTCTTAAGAATCAATTCTGGCTAACTTTACCTGAAAAGGATTTTATTGGCAGGCTAGTGTCTAACTCACAGAGGTAACACGAAGCTGGAGAATCAGGCTTAGAAAAGGTTAGAAAGCGGAGATGTTTTGAGAGTTTAGGCAGGCAAGTGAATCAATTCCATGTTTTTTTTCCCTTTCTTGACCAGAGCTTTCTTTGATGAGTCAAAGTCCCTGGAGCAAGGGTTCAATTGGCTGAGCTCAGGTAACATGTCCACACTTTAGCTAAGGAGGGCAGGCACCTTGATGGACAGCTCCACCAAGACTGCACAGGAGTGCAAAGTTGCAGATCCCTCTTCCTCCACCTCAGCTGCTCCCAGTGGGCAACTAAGTTCAGGTGCCCTGTTTTCAGGCTGGGATCAAATAGGAGGAGTTCCTGCAGTGGAATGTCATGATTACACAAATGCAATTGTGTCTGGCATGTGGGAGAGCATAGCAGATATCCTGAGCTTTGTAACCTTATAGACCTTTGTGCTATTTACCAGCTGTTTGTCCCTGGGTAAGTTACTAGATCTCTCTGAGCCTGTCTCCTTGTGTGTACAATGGGGAGAATAACGGTACCAGCCTTAATGGATTGTTGTGAGAAGTGAGATCACTGCAAATGTACAACACTTAGCAGAATGTCTGCATATAAGTGCTCAATAAATTGTAAGTTATAAAATAGTAACATTATAGTAGGCCTTCCATAACTACTTATTGTGTGAGTGAATTATCTACCCCTCTCATTTCTCTAATCCATTTGACTTTTGTTTGTTTCTTGTTTTTGAGACAGAATCTCCCTCTGTCACTCAGGCTGGAATGCAGTGGCACGATCTTGGTTCACTGCAACCTTCGCCTCCCAGATTCAAGAGATTCTCCTGCCTCAGCCTCCCAAGTAGCTGGGACTACAGGTGTGCACCACAACACCCGGCTAATTTTTGTATTTTTAGTAGAGACAGAGTTTCACCATGTTGGCCAGGCAGGTCCCAAACTCCTGATCTCAAGTGATCTGCCTGCCTCAGCCTCCCAAAGTGCTGGGATTATACGCATAAGCCACCGCACCCGGCCAATATGGCCCATCTTTAGAGTGGTGGGGAGCTTAGAGATGAATTTTTTTTTTTTTTTTTGAGACAGAGTCTTGCTCTGTCGCCCAGGCTGGGGTGCAGTGGCGCGATCTCGGCTCACTGCAACCTCCGCCCCTCCAGGTTTAAGCAATTCTCTGCCTCAGCCTTTGGAGTACATGGGATTACAGGCGCGTGCCACCACACCTGGCTAATTTTTTTTTGTATTTTTAGTAGAGACAGGGTTTCGCCATCTTTGCCAGGCTGGTCTTGAACTCCTTACCTCGTGATCCACCCACCTCGGCCTCCCAAAGTGCTGGGATTACAGGCGTAAGACACTGTGCCAGGCCACAAAATCTTTACCATGGTCTACAAGACCCTAGATGATCTCGCACTTTACTTCTCAGACTTAATCTATTCCTACTCTCCCCCAACTTACTGTTTGAGTCTCACATACTAATTTCTCATTCTGTGAACAGTTTCTTCTCATCTCTGTGCCTTTGGACTTGCTGTTCCCTCTCTTGGAATGCTTTTCCCCCAGCTCATCACATGGCTTCCATCTTCACTTTATTCAGGCCATGCTCTGTTATCTCCTCCTCCAAGTCTTTCCTGACAACTCTATCTCCTATCATCCAGGGCCTCCACCCCTCTTCTTCCCTTAACCTGCTCTAATCTTCTCCCTAGCATTGCATGTCATATTAACTTTTTTTGTTTCTAACTTCCACATTAGTTGTAAGCTAACTCCATGACAGCAGAGATGTTGACTGTCTTGTTCATAGCTGTATCTCTGCTACCTAGAACATATCTATTATAATACATGATATGGGGTCAATATCTTTTTTGACCATGTAAAATAATGGTTGCATCACTGAATAAAACAAAAATGACCTATGAGTAAATGGAAGGTCTCTATGAACTTGACTTATACTTAAATCATTCTAAACACTTACAGATTAATCATGGCCCTTCTCACATAGAATTATTGTCAAGTACAACCCCTGCCACCACA
The DNA here is from genome assembly GCF_000001405.40 of Homo sapiens. NCBI lineage: Eukaryota > Metazoa > Chordata > Mammalia > Primates > Hominidae > Homo > Homo sapiens. Next base: position 171,199 of record NT_187603.1, on the reverse strand, counting down.
CCAAAAGGCTATTTTAATTTTTTTGAGATGGAGCCTTGCTCTGCCGCCTAGGCTGAAGTGCAGTGGCGCTATCTTGGCTCACTGCAACTTCCCCCCCGCCCCACCAGATTCAACCAATTCTCCAGCCTCAGCCTCCCGAGTAGCTAGGATTGCAGACACCTGCTGCCACGCCCAGCTAATTCATTTATTTATTTATATTTTTATTAGAGACAGGGCTTCACCATGTTGGCCAGGCTCGTCTCGAACTCCTGACCTCAAGTGATCCGCCTACCTTGGCCTCCCAAAGTGCTGAGATTACAGGCGTGAGCCACCGCACCTGGCCACAGCCAGTTTTGTTTCATTTATATTCCCACTTCATTTATATACATTCCTTCTTCCTCTGAATTATTTTGAAGTGAAAACTATACATCATATCATTTTTTAATTACCTTATATGTATCTGTAGAAGACAAAGAATTTTTAAAAATATATTCACAATGCCATTAAATACCAAAAAATTAATACATTCTGAAAATAGCCGCAAATCCAGAGTTCACATTTTCTTGACTTTTTCATAAGTGATTTTTTCTAGGTTATCTATTTCAATCAGATACCTGTTTGCTCATATTTACATTCCTAACTGAACAATGTCTAAACTTAAACTGACATAAAACACAGACGATCTTATGACCAAATGCTTAGTGCAAGAAAAAACTTCAAATTGCAAGAGGAGTCCCTCCAAATATAGAAAAGACCAGTATTTTAAGAGATATGTTAACTAAAATGTGGCAATGTAAGAAGCAGAGCAGGAAGAACCTTTAAGTCTGAAACTTGCAAGTCAATTTCATAGTCAGTTTCCCTGGTCCTTCCACAACAACCTCTGGCATACCTACAATGAAGGTAACAATAGTAGCTATTTCAGAGCAGGAAAAGGCTTAGAGCAGTGCTAGAAGAGGGTTGAGGCTATATAAAGTTTAGCTATTTGTATATTGTAACAAACCTACAACTTTTTTTTTTTAAGTCAATAATAGAGTTCTTTGGGAAGAGTAGCAGCCTCCTGTCGGGGAGCACCTGCAGTTCCACTAAGTGACCACTGGTGTCCGCTAACCTTTGCCTCTACTTCTCTCAGTAATACACTGTCCAGCTGCTCCTTGATTTAACAATTTTATATACTTTCTTTTTTTTTTTTTCCTTTCCCTTTTCCTGAGACACAGTCCCGCTCTGTCCTCCAGTCTGGACTACAGCAGGGCCATCATGGCTCACTGCCACCTCCACCCCCCACCACACCCCCCCACACCCCCCGGGCTCAAGCAATCCTCCTGCATCAGCCTTTGGAGTAGCTGGGACTACCCGCGGGGCCCACCACGCCCGGCTAATCTTTGTGGCTTTTGTTTTGTTTTTCCGTTAAGAGACCGGGTTTCGGGCCAGGCGCAGTGACTCACGACTGCAATTCCAGCAGCCCGGGAGGCCGAGGCCGGCGGATCACCCGAGGTGAGGAGCTGGAGACCAGCCCGACCAACATGGAGAAACCGCATCTCTACCAAAAAAATAAAAAATAAAAAACTAACCGGGCATGGTGGCTGACGCCCGCAATCCCAGCCACTCAGGAGGCTGAGGCAGAAGAATCACCCAAACCTGGGAGGCGGAGGCCTAGGCGAGCCGAGACCGCGCCACTGCCCTCCAACCTGGGCAAAGGAGCGAGACTCCGCTTCAAGAAAAAAAAAAGAGATCAGGTTCCACCATATTGCCCAGGCAGGTCTGGAACTCCTAGGCTCAAGCGATCTGCCGCACTCGGCCGTCCAAAGTCCTGGGATCAAAAGCGTGAGCCACCACTCCGGGCCGATCTATTCCTTTCTGATTAATAAATTGGGCCGGGCGCGGTGGCTCAAACCTGCAATCCCAGCACCCCGGGAGGCCGAGGCGGTTGGGTAACGTGAAGTCGGGAGTTTGAGACCATCCTGACCAATATGGAGAAACCTCGTCTGGACCAAAAAAAAAAAAAAAAAATTAGCCGGGTATGGTGGTTCATGCCTGGAATCCCAGCCACTCGGGAGGCTGAGGCATGAGGACCACCCAAACCCGGGAGGCGGAGGCCGCGGGGAGCCGAGACTGCGCCACTGCACTCCAGCCTGGGCAACAAGAGCGAAACTCCCTCTCAAAAAAAACAAGCAAAAAAGAGACCTGGTTTCACCATGTTGCCCAGGCCGGTCTGAACTCCTAGGCTCAAGTGATCTGCCACGCTCAGCCATCCCAAGTCCTGAGATCAAAAGCGTGAGCCACCAAGCCAGGCCGATCACGCCTGTAATCCCAGCACTTTGGGAGGCTGAGGTGGGTGGATCAGCTGAGTTCAGGAGTTCGAGACCAGCCTGGCCAATATGATGAAACCCCGTCTCTACCAAAAATACAAAAAAATCAGCCGAGTGTGTGGCGGGCGCCTGTAATCCCAGCTACTCAGAAGGCTGAGGCAGGAGAATCGCTTGAACCTTGCAGGTGGAGGTTGCAGTGAGCCGGGATAGCGCAACTGCACTCCAGCCTGGGTGACAGAGACTCCATCTCGAAAAAAAATAATAAAAATAATAAATTGGGCCGTGCGCCCTGGCTCATGCCTGCAATCGCAGCACCCCCGGAGGCCGAGGAGGGCGGGTAACCTGAGGTCGGGAGTTTGAGACCAGCCTGACCAACAGGGAGAAACCCCCGTCTGTACCAAAAAATAAATAAATAAATAAATAAATCAGCCGGGCATGGTAGCTCATGCGTGCAATCCCAGCCACTTGGAGGCTGAGGCAGGAGAACCAACTAAACCCGGAGGCAGAGGCCTAGCGAACCGAGACCTTGCCACCGCCGTCCAGCCTGGGCAACAAGAGCGAAACTCCGCCCCCCACCCAAAAAAAAAAAGACCAGGTTTCACCATGTTGCCCAGGAGGGTCTGGAACTCCTAGGCTCAAGAGATCCGCCGTGCTCGGCCATCCAAAGTCCTAGGATCACAAACGTGAGCCACCACGCCAGGCTGATCTATTCCTTTCTGATTAATAAATTGGGCCAGGCGCGGTGGCTCACGCCTGCAATCTCAGCATCCCTGGAGGCTGAGGCGGGCAGTTAACCTGAGGTCGGCAGTTTGAGACCAGCCTAACCAACATGGAGAAACCCCATCTGTACCAAAAAGAAAAAAAAAAAAATGAGCTGGGCATTGTGGCTCACGCCTGCAATCCCAGCCACTAGGGAGGCTGAGGCTGGAGAACCACCCAAACCCGGAGGCGGAGGCCACGGGGAGCCAAGACCACGCCACTGCTCTCCAGCTGGGCTAGAAGAACGAAATTCCGCCTCAAAAAAGAAAAAAATTAATAATAATAATAATAAATAGACCAGGTTTCACCATGTTGTCCAGGCCGGTCTGGAACTCCTAGGCTCATGGGATCTGCCGGGCTTGGCCGTTGAATGTCCTGGGATCACAAGCGTGAGCCACCACGCCAGGCCTATCTATTCCTTTCTGATAAATAAATTGGGCCGGGCGCGGTGTCTCAGGCTTGCAATCCTGTAGCGGGATTTTTAAGGAATTAGAGAGACTGATGGGGTTTAGGAGGATATTATTTAGGTGCACTGGCCCAGTCAGCTTAACATTTAAAGCATTGAGTTCTGGAACCAAGGGCTATCTTTTAAGCATTTTGTGGGGCGGGGGTAGATCTGTGCAGGGGGAAGCATAATACAGAAGCGAGAAACAAAGATAATTAATTGAAATATGCATTATATTATTTTTTACTATTTAAGGAAAAATACGTTTTGTTGAGTTTGTTTAGTGACCTTGCAATTGCACAGTTAGGGAATTAGCCGGGCACGATGGCTCACGCCTGCAATCCCAGCCACTCGGGAGGCCGAGGCGGGCAGATAACCTGAGGTCGGGAGTTTGAGACCAGCCTGAGGAACATGGAGAAACCCCATCTCCACCAAAAAAAAAAAAAAAAAAAAATGACCCGGGCATGATGGCTCAAGTGTGCAATCCCAGCCACTCGGGAGGCTGTGGCAGGAGAACCAACCAAACCTGGGAGGCGGAGGCCCGGAGAGCCGAGACTGCGCCACTGCACTCCACCCTGGGCAACAAGAGTGAATCTCCGTCTCAAAACAAACAAACAAAAAAAAACAAGCCGGGCGCGGTGGCTCACGCCTGTAATCCCAGCATTTTGAGAGGCTGAGGCTGGCGGATCACGAGGTCAGGAGATCGAGACCATGCTGGCTAACACGGTGAAACCCCGACTCTACTAAAAAAAATACAAAAAAATTAGGCGTAGTGGCGGGCGCCTGTAGTCCCAGCTTCTCGGGAGGCTGAGGCAGGAGAATGGCGTGAACCCGGGAGGCGGAGCTTGCAGTGAGCTGAGATCGTGCCACTGCTCCAGCCTGGGCAAGAGAGCAAGACGCTGTCTCAAAAAAAAAAAAAAAAAAAAAAGAGAGACCAGGTTTCACCGCGTTGCCCAGGCCAGTCTGGAACTCGGGAGGCTGTGGCAGGAGAACCACCCAAACCCAGGAGGCGGAGGCCCGACAAGCCGAGACCTCGCCACTGCACTCCAGCCTGGGCAACAAGAGCGAATCTCCACCTCAAAAAAAAAAAAAAAAAAAGGGACCGGGTTTCACCATGTTGCCCAGGCGGATCTGGAACTCCTGGCTCAAACGATCCGCCGCGCTCGGCCGTCCAAATTCTTGGGATCACAAGCGTGAGCCACTACGCCAGGCCGATCTATTCCTTTCTGATTAATAAATTGGGCCGGGAGCGGTGGCTCACACCTGCAATCCCAGCACCCCGGGAGACCAAGGCTGGCGGGTAACCTGAGGTCGGGAGTCTGAGACCAGCCTGACAAACATGGAGAAACCTCGTCTGTACCAACAAAGAACAAAAACAAAAAATACAAAAAAAACTACAAAATGAGCCGGGCATTGTGGCTCACGCGTGCAATCCCAGCCACTCCAGAGGCTGAGACTGGAGAACCACCCAAACCCAGAGGCGGAGGCCGCTGGGAGCTGAGACCGGGCCACTGCACTCCAAGCCGGGCAACAAGAGCGAAACTCCACCTCGAAAAAAAAAAGACCGGGTTTCACCATGTTGCCCAGGCCAGTCTGGAACACCTAGGCTCATGAGATCCGCGCGCCCTCGGCCGTCCGAAGTCCTGGGATCACAAGCGTGAGCCACCGTGCCAGGCCGATCTATTCCTTTCCGATTAATAAAGTGGGCCAGGCGTGGTGGATCACCCCTGCAATCCCAGCACCCCGGTGGCTCACGCCTGCAACCCGGGAGGCCGAGGCAGGCAGATAACCTGAGGTCAGGAGTTTGAGACCAGCCTAACCAACAGGGAGAAACCCGTCTGTACCAAAAAATAAAAATTAAAAATATAAAAAAATAAAAAACAAATGAGCCGGGCATGGTGGCTCATGCCTGCAATCCCTGCCACTCCGGAGGCTGAGGGAAAACCACCCAAAATTGGGAGGCGGAGGCCACAGCCAGCAAAAACCATGCCACTGCGCTCCAGCCTGGGCAACAAGAGCGAAACTCCCAGTATCAAAAAAATTAAAAAGAGACCGGGTTTCACCATGTTGCCCAGGCTGGTCTGGAACTCCTAGGCTCAAGCAATCTTCTGTGCTCAAGCGATCCTCCGCGCTCGGCCGTCCAAAGTCCTGGGATCAAAAGTGTGAGCCACCATGCCAGACCCATCACTCCTGTAATCCCAGCACTTTGGGAGGCCAAGGCAGGTGGACCACCTGAGGTCAGGAGTTTGTGAAGGCTCATCTCTACTAAAAATACAAAAATTAGCCAGGTGTGGTGTACTGTGCCTGTAGTCCCAGCTACTCAGGAGGCTGAGGCAGGGGAATCACTTGAACCCAGGAAGCAGAGGTTGCAGTGAGCCGGGATCCCCTGACTGCACTCCAGCCTGGGTAGCAGAGCTCTGTCTCAATAATAATAATAATAATAATAATAGTAATAATTGTGATTGTATTTAGAAATTATTGAAATAAATTTTTTAGCTACATCAGATCAATTTGGGTTCCTTCTTAAAACGGCCATTTCATCTTTTGGTTCCTGTATTATTTTATTGTATTCCTTAAATTCCTTGGGTTGGGTTTCAACTTTCTCTTGAATCTCGATAATCCTCATTCCTATTCCTATTCTGAATTCTGTGTCTGTCATTTCAGCCATTTCAGCTTGGTTAAGAATATTGCTGGGGAACTAGTGCAGTCATTTGGAGGTAGGAAGACACTCTGGCTTTTTGAATTACCATAGTTTTTACGCTGATTCTTTCCCTTATGTGTGGGGCTGATGTTCCTTTAATCTTTGAAGTTATTTCCTTTGGATGGGTTTTTTTGCTTGTATATGTGATGCCCTTTGGGGTTTGATTGTGATGTAAGGTGGGTTCATTTGACTGATTTTGTTTCTGGATCATTTTAGGGGGGCTAAGGCTTAGCTCAGCACTCCTGGGCTAACTGCTCTAACTCTGGGGCACTGGTTTTGGGCTCCCAGCTTTCTTCTCTGGTCCCTTGATTTAGGAATTTGCCGGACTAGAGGGGCCAAGGTGTTTCTGGTCCACTGACCCCCAACACTCCAATGGGGGGTGTCAGCCAAAGTGTTTCATTGGGGCAATGGCAGTGGGATTTATGCTCACTCATGCATGTCAGCAGCTGCAGCAGCACAGTGGGGTGCATGCACATTGGCTGGGGAGGGGCACTGGTGAGAGCAGGGCAGCAGCATTCCTGCACATGCTCTCACACTGGCAGCAGCATGGCAGGGACAGGGAACTTGTGGGGGCAGGGTTGCTGGTGTCCACGTGTGCATTCATACCAGCAACAGCAGTGGCATGATGCGGGCAGGATTGCCAGTGTCCGTGCATGCGTTTGCACTGGTGATTGCAGTGGTGTGGAAGGGGCAGGGTTGTCAGTGTCTGTGCACATGTTCATACTGGCACTGGTGACATGGCAGAGTGACCACACATCAGCAGGGGTGGAGAGCAGCAGGGTGCACTCATGCCAGTAGCAGTGGCATGGTGTAATACCTGCACACACATGCACCAGCATGGTAGGCAAGATCTGCCCGTGCGAGTGTGCTGACAAAGCAGTGGGGGAAGAGGCCGTGGGTACACTGGTGTGCATCAGCAGAGGTCAGTCTGCTGGAGCTTCCAAAAGGTTAGGTGCAGTCCACCAGCAAGGGAGCTGTGATGAGGGTCCCTGGGAAGCACGCTGATTGGGCATCCAAGGCTGTGCTGCAAGCAGGCATGGCCAGGCTGGGACCTCAGGAGAGGCCAGCAGACAAGGGGGCACTCAGATCAGACTGAGCAAGACCAAGGGCAAGACCATCCTGCTCTGTCCAGGTCCAACAGTCATGCTAAGGCTAAAATCTCCCAGAGGAGCATGGCGAACCTTGGGGGATGGATGTCACTGGCCATGCTCCACTGTAGCCATTCCCATGCCAAAACCCTCTGGGCTCTGCACAGGCTGGAGTCCTGCCCCTACTACCTGTCTAGGCAGCTCTTCCTGTCAGCTCAGATGTCTATGGGGGTTGTGGGGTCTCCTGCAGCTAGGATTCTGGAGGTTCATGGTGAGAGTAGGCCACTCCTCACCTGTTCAGTTTACTCCTTCCCCAGGAGATGCTAGGAGCAAGCAACAAGTCCTGGTGCTCAGAAACCCCGTGTAGGGCTCCCAGCATACTCCCCCTTCAGTCCAGCATCTGTGTCCTCCCTCTGTCCACTCTCAACACTTTTGTTCTGAAGAGCTGCTCAGAGTGTGCCAGTCTCTCTCAATATCCCAGTATCTTTGTGGGAGAATATTCCTCCTGGCTGCATCTACTCAGCCATCTTGGCTCCTCCTCAAGAATTTCATAATACAATCAAAAGCATTAGCAGCAGAATAGGCCAAGCTAAAGAAAGAATTACAGAGCATGATATGGTTTGGATCTGTGTCCTTGAATCTCATGTTGAATCGTAATCCCTAATGTTGGAGGTGGGTCCTGATGGGAAGGTGATTTGATCATGGGAGCACTTTCTCATGAATGGTTTAGCACCATCTATCTTGGTACTGTGCTCTCAATAGTAAGTGAATTCTCATAAACTCTGGTTAAAAGTGTATAGCACCGCTCCCCTCACTGTCTCTTGCTCCTACTCTGGCCATGTGAAGTACATGCTCTACCTCTGCCTTCCGCCATGAATGGAAGCTTCCTGAGGGCTTCCCAGAAGCCAAGCAGATGCCAGCATCATGCTTCCTGTACAGCCTGTGGAACTGTGAGCCAATTAAACCTCTTTTCTTCATAAATTACCCAGTCTCAGATATTTCTTTATAGCAATGCATGAATGGACTAATACAGAAAATTGATACCTAGAAGTGGAACATTGCTACAAAGATACCTGAAAATGTGGAAGCAGCTCTGGAACTGGGTAATGGGCAGAGGTTAGGAGAGTGTGGAGGGCACAGAAGAAGAGAGGAAGATGAGGGAAAGTTTGGAACTTCCTAGAGACTGGTTGAATGGTTGTGACCAAAATGCTCATAATGATATGGACAGTGAAGTCCAGTCTGATGAGGTCTCAGATGGAAATGAGGAAGTTATTGGGAAATGGAGCAAAGGTCACACTTGTGACACCATAGCAAAGAACATGACTGCATTGTGTCCATACCCCAAGGATTCATGGAAGGACAAACAAGAGTGATGACCTAGGGTATCTGTCGAAAGAAATTTTTAAGCAGCAAAGTGTTCAAGAAGTGGCATGGCTGGGTTTTTTTGTTTGTTTTTTGTTTTGTTTTGTTTTGTTTTGGGGGGGGGGTTGAGACAGAGTCTCACTCTGTCACCCAGGCTGGAATGCAGTGACACCATCTCAGCTCCCTGCAACCTCCGCCTCCTGGATTCAAGTGATTCTCTGACCTTAGCCTCCTGAGTAGCTGGGACTGCAGGTGCACATCACCAGGCCTGGCTAATTTTTGTATTTTTAGTAGTGATGAGTTTTCGCTATGTTGGCCAGGCTGGCCTTGAACTCCTGGCCTCAAGTGATCTGCCCACCTTGGCCTCCCAAAGTGCTGGGATTACAGGCATGAGCCACTGTGCCCAGTCAGCAGGGCTGCTTTTTAACAGCCTATGACCAGATTTGACAGTAAGAGAATGACTTAAAGGTGGAATTTATAATTAAAAAGGAAATAAACCATTAAAATTTGGAAAATTTCCAGCCTTGCTATGTGGTAGGAAAGGAAAGAGCATTTTCAGACAAGGAATTCAAGGGGGCAGTGGAGCAATCTCTTGCTAGAGACATAGGCAGAGACAAAAGGGAGCCAGGTGCTAATAGTCAAGACAATGCAGGAAAGCCCTAGAGGCATTTTAGAAATCTTCAAGGACACCTCTCTCATCACAGGCCCAGAGGTCTAGGGGGACAGTATGTTTTTGGGTGCCAGGCCCCAGGTGCCACAGCTTTGTGGCACCTTGGAATGCTGCTCCCATATCCAAGCCATTCTGGCTGTAGCCATAGCCCAAATAGCCTCAAGTACAGCTTGGGCTGCTGCTCCAAAGGGTGAAAGTCATAAGCCTTGGCAGTTTCCACATGTGTTAAGTCTGCAAAATGCAAGTGTGGGGGAGGCTTGGAAGCTTCCACCTAGGTGTCAGAGGATGTGCCAGGAATCCAGGGTGCCCAGGCAGAAGGCTGCTGCAGGGCAGAACCCCCAAAGAGAGACTCTACTCAGGCAATCCTGAGTGGATAGTGCGGTTGAGGGCCCCACAAAAAAAAGCCTATATTAGGGCAATGGCTAATGGAGCTGTGGGAACAGGGATGCCACCTTCCAGACCCAAGAACAGTAGAGCCACCAGCAGTGTGCACCCTCAGCCTGGAAAAGCCAAAGCCATTGAACTCCAACCTGTGAGAGTAGCCAGGTGGGCTGCACCCAGCAAAGCCATGGGGGTGGGAATGCCCAAGGCCTTGGGGGGACCACCTCTTGCACCATGGTGCCCAGGATACAGTACATGGACCCAAATATTATTTTGGAGCTTAAAGGTTTAATGCCTTCGCCAATAGGTTTCAGTCTTGCATGGCCAATTTCAGTCTTGCAATAACCCTTTCTTTTGGCCAATTTCTCACTTTTGAAATAAGAACGCTTACCCAGTATATGTCTTACCATTCTATCTTAAAAGCAAACAACTTGTTTTTAGTTGTACAGGCTTACAGGTGTAAAAACTTGACCTTGAGTCTCAAATCAGACTTTAGACTTTGGACTTATGAGTTGATGATTGGAACAAGTTAAGCCTTTGGGGACTATTAGGAAAGGGTGATTATATTTTGCAATGTGAGAAGTACATATGATTTGGACGGTCTGAGGCGAAATGATAAAGTTTGGATATTCATCCCCTCCAAATATCATGTTGAAATTTGTACCCAATGTGGAGGTGGGACCTAATAGGAGGTATTTGTGTCATGAGGACAAACCCCTCATGAATGTTTGATGCCATCCTCTCTGTAATGAGTGAATTCTCACTCTTAATTCCTATGAGAACTGAATGTTTAAAAGAGCCTGGAACTCCCCTCCTTGCTCTCTTGCTTCTGCGGTCTCATCATGTGATTCTGCACACACGGCACCCCTTCACCTTCCACCAGGGGTGAAAGCCCCCCAGGAGACTCACCAGATGCAGATACAGGGGACTTGCTTCTCAGGCAAGCTGCACAACTGTAAGCTAAATAAACCTCTTTTCTTTATCAATTACCCAGCCTCAGGTATTCCTTTAGAGCAAAACAAAAACAGACTCAGATAGAAAATACATAAAAAGAAATTAAGAACAAATGTGAGAAATTTCATTCCAATAGCATGTTGTCAACACTAGATTACAGAGTGCTCTACGTGTTAACCATTTCCATTCTCTGAAAGTAATGAGCACATGATGCACCTCTGAAAAAAATTGTTTAGATTTACCTTTTTTTCTTTTTTTTTTTGAGATGAGTCTCACTCAGTTGTCCAGGCTGGACTGCAGTGGTGCAATCTCAGCTCACTGCAGCCTCCACTTCCTGGGTTCAAGCAATTCTCCTTCCTCACCCTCCAGAGTAGCTGGGACTACAGGTATGCACCACCACACCCAGCTACTTTTTGTATTTTTAGTAGAGACAGAGTTTCACCATGTTGGCCAGGCTGGTCTCGAACTCCTTGCCTCAAGCGATCCACCCACCTCAGCCTTCCAAAGTGCTGTAATTACTGGCATGAGCCACCGTGCCTGGCCTAGATTTACCTTTTAAATGTGCTTATGTAAATACCTCATAATAACCTCTTTGGAACAATAATAAGAAATATCATTCAAGAGCATGTTGTCAACACTAAATTTCAGAATTCTCTGAAATAATAATAAATAATTCCACTCTCTGAAACAAAAAAAAAACATATGGTGCATCTCTAAAGAAACTTGTTTCGATTTACCTTAAATATTTTATGTAAACACTTTATAATAAGCCATAGGAACAAATGTAAGAATTATCATCAATAGCATGTTAATCAACAGTAGATCACAGAGTTCTTTAAGTGCTAAACATTCTCATTCTCTGAAAGAAAACAGCACATGATGTACTTCGCCAAAGCTTGCTTAGATTTACCTTTTTTTGTTTTGTTTTTGTTTTTTGTTTGTTTTTTGAGACATAGTCTCGCTCTGTCACCCAGGCTTGAGTGCAGTGGTGCAATCGTGGCTCACTGCAGCCTCAACCTCCTGGGCTCAGGTGATCCTCTCACCTCAGCCTCCTGAATAGCTGGAATTACAGGCACATGCCACCATGCCTGGATAATTTTTTTGCATTTTTTGTAGAGGTGGGATTTTGCCATGTTGTCCATGTTTGAACTCCTGGGCTCAAGCAGTCCACCCACCTTGGCCTCCCAATGTGCTGGGATAACAGGCATGAGCCACCATGCCCAGCCAGACTTACCTTTTAAACACGCCTTGTAATACCTCATAATAAATCCTTAGGAACAAACGTAAAAAAGAAAATCATTCATTAGCATGTTGTCAAAAAGAGACTTTTAAATTTTATATGTTATAAACAATTCCATTCTCTGAAACAAAACAGCACATGACGCATCTCTGAAGAAGCTTGCTTATATTTATATTTTAAGTATTTATATGTAAACACCTCATAATAACTCCTTTGGAACAAATAAGAAATATTATTTAACAGCATGTTATCAAAATTAAATTTCAGGCCAGGCGCGGTGGCTCAGGCCTGTAATCCCAGCACTTTGGGAGACCGAGGAAGGTGGATCACTTGATCCCAGGAGTTCAAGACTAGCCTGGGCAATGTAGCAAGACCTCAACTCTACTAAAAATAAAAAATAAAATATAAAAACATTAGCCCAATGTGGTGGTACATGTCTATGATCCCAGCTACATGGGAGGCTGAGCTGGGAGCCTGGGAGGCAGGCGCTACAGTAAGCCAAGATAGTGCCACTGTAATTCAGTCTGGGTGACAGAGTAAGACTTTGCCAAAAAAAAAAAAAAAAAAAACCACTAAATTTCAGATATCTCTTTGTGATAAATAGTTCATTTCCTGAAAGAAACCAGCCCATGGTGCCTTTCTGCCATATACCTTTTAAATGTGTATATGTTAACACCTCATTATAAGCCCTCAGGAAAAGTATTTCAGTGTAAGAAATATCTTTCAATAGAATGTTGCCAACACTACATTACAGAGTTCTCTATGTAATAAAGACTTTCATATTCTGAAAAAAAAATAGCATGTAATGCATCCCTAAATAAGTTTACTTAGATTTACCTTTTAAACATGTATATGTAAATTTGTAATAACTCATTTGGAACAAAGATAAGAAATATCATTCAGTAGCATGTTATTAACACTATATTTAAGAGCTCTTTGGCTGGGCGCAGTGGCTGTAATCCCAGCACTTTGGGAGGCTGAAGTAAGCAGATCACTTGAGGTCAGGAGTTCGAGACCAGCTTGGCCTACATGGTGAAGCCCCATCTCTATTAAAAATATAAAAATTAGCCAGGCATGGTGGTGCGTGCCTGTAATCCCAGCTACTCAGGAGGCTGAGGCAGGAGAATCACTTGAATCCGGGGGGCAGAGGTTGCAGTGAGCCGAGATCGCGCCATTGCACTCCAGCCTGGGTGACAGGATGAGACACCGTCTCAGAAAAAAAAAAGAGTTTTTTATATGTTAATCAATTTAATTCTCTGAACAAAAGCAGCATAATGCATTTTTGGAGAAACTCATTTATATTTCCCTTTAAACAAGTATATGTAAATACCTCCCAGTAACTTCTGTGGAGCAAGGATCACAAACACCATAAAATAGCATGTTGTCAACACTAGATTCCCAGTTCTCTGTGTAATAAATACTTCTCTGGGGGAAAAAATAAATTATGCATCTTTGAAGAAGCTTCCTTAGATTTAGCTTTTAAATGCACATATGTAAACACCTCACAATAACATTTTCAGAATAATGATAATATCATTCAAGAACATGTTGTTGAGACTACATTTCAGAGTTGTCCATGTAATACCAAATCTGTTCTCTAAAACAAAACAGGGCACAATACATCTCTGATGAAGTTTGCTTAGCTTACCGTTTAAACATGTATACATAAACACCACTTAATAAGCCTGTAGCAACTCAAATGAGAAATATTATTCAATAACATGTTTCAACACTAGACTACATAGTCTTTATGTGTTAAGCAATTCCATTCTCTGATAGAAAACACCATAGGATGCATCTCTTAAGCAGCTTGGTTAAATTTACATTTTAAATGAGTATATGTAAATACCTTACAATAACCTCTTATTGTAGAAACAAAGGTGTGATATATCACTCAATAGCATGTTGTTAACACTAGATTACAGAGTTTTTAGCAATTAAGCACTTTCATTCTCTGAAAGAAAACTGCAAATGAGCAACTCTGAAGAAGGCTGCTTAGATTTGCCTCCCAAACAAGCGTTTGTAATCATTTCATTATAAGATTTAGGGAACAAATACTAGAAATATCATTCAATAGCATGTTCCCAACACTAGGTTACAGAGTTCTGTATTTGTTAAACAGTTCCAATTTCTGAAAGAAAACAGCACAAAATGCCTCTCTAAAGAAGCTTGTGAAGATTTACCTCTTAACCGTGTTTATGTAAACCCATCATCATAAGCCATTGTGAACAAAGGTAAGAACTATCATTCAATAGCATTTTCTCCACACTAGATTACAGAATTCTGTATTTGTTAAACAGTTCCAATTTCTGAAAGAATATACCACATAATCCATCTCTCTTTTTTTTTTTTTTTTTTTTTTTGAGATGTAGTCTCACTCTGTTGCCCAGGCTGGAGTGCAGTGGCGTGATCTCGGCTCACTGCAAGCTCCGCCTCCCAGGTTCACGCCATTCTCCTGCCTCAGCCTCCTGAGTAGCTGCGACTACAGGCGCCCGCCACCACGCCCGGCTAATTTTTTTGTATTTTTAGTAGAGACAGGGTTTCACCGTGTTAGCCAGGATGGTCTCGATCTCCTGACCTTGTGATCCACCCGCCTTGGCCTCCCAAAGTGCTGGGATTACAGGCGTGAGCCACCACACCCGGCCCACATAATCCATCTCTAAAGAAGCTTGCTTACATTTACCTTTTAAACAAGTATATGTAAAGTTGGCATAACAAGCTCTTATGAACAAAAGTAAGATAGTGTTGCTATTGAACAATGTTTAACAATATTAAATTCTCAACATTAGATTGGAGTTCTCTGTTAAAAGTTCCATTTTCTGAAAGAAAACAGCAAATAATGCATTTCTGAAGAAGCTTGCTTAGAGGAGGGAGGTGGAACCAGGTGGTAAATGGAACCCTCCAGTTGCTATCTCCCCAACAGGGACACCAAATTCAACAACTATCTACCCAAGAAAGCACCTTCGTAAGAATCAAAAAATTAAATGAGTGACAACAGTACCTGGTTTGAACATAATATAACATAAAGGCACATTGAAGAGGGTAGGAAGGACAATGTTACATTGCCTACACCACTACCACCACCAACAACCCCAGGCATCACAGTATGGAGAAACAATCTGTGTGTTTGTGGGAGACAGAGTGAAATGAGCATGGAACTTCACATTGGAAATCAGTGCTTTTCTGTCGCAATGGAGCACAACACTGGACAGAAACCCCTGATGCCCACAGAGGGAACACTTAAACCAGCCCCAGGCCAGAGAGGAATCCTCCACTCCAATAGGAGGAACCCAAGTCCCAGCTTGCTTCACCACAGCCTGGCTAAAATGGCCTGGGTACTGAGTAAATTTGAGTGACTGCCAGCCCACAGTGACTGCATCCTTGGCCAAGCAGATGTGCTGCACTCATTTCAGAGGCTGTGAACTTGTGGTGTGACCCAGCATAACACCAGCTACAGCAGCCATGGGAATGCTCGCATAACCCCTTGCCCAACTGCAGGCAGTTTGTCATGGAGAGACTCCTTCATCTTGGGGGAAGGAGAGGGAAGAGTAAAGAAGACTGTGCCTTCCAAGTGGGTACTGACAGAGCAGGAGCATTGCCATCTTGGACAAGCTCCTGATTCTAATTTTTATTCTGATTTCTACCTTGGTAAAAAACTGCCTCAGTCCAAAGGGCATCAGCCTAATGGCTAAGGTCAGCACGACCATAAACCACAAATAACATCTCCAACCAGAAACATTCCAAACTCCTCCCCGACCAGAGACATGCTAGCCCCAAGATAACCCCCCTCCGCCAGGAAGATGCCAGCCTCGAGATAACCCCCCTCTGGCCGGAAAGATGTCTGCCCCAAGATAATTTGATGAGGAATTCAAATAACTGTCTTGAGGAAGCTCAATGAATTTCAAGATAACACAAAGAAGAAACTTAGAATTCTATCAAAAAAAGAGAAATGAAAATAATTTTTAAAAAATCAAATTCCAGAGACAAGTTTTTTTGTTTGTTGTTTTGTTGTTGTTGTTGTTGTTTTCTTTGAGACAGAGTCCCACTCTGTCACCCAGGCCGGAGTGCAGTGGTATGATCCCAGAGACTAAAAATTCAATTAGCAAACTGAAAAATGCATCAGAATGCCTCCAGAATTGATCAAGCAAAGGAATAAATTATTGAGCTCAAAGATAGGCTATTTGAAAATACACAGAGCAGAAAATAAAAGAATAAAGTATGCTTACTCTTATATTTGCCCTTTTAAGGCTATCTAGAAAACAGCCTTAAAAGGACAAATATAAGAGTTATTAACCTTAAAGAGGATGGAGAAAGAGATTTGGGTAGAAGGTTTATTCAGGCAAATAACATGTAACTTTTCAAACCTAGAAAAAGATAGTAATATCCACATAGAAGAAGGTTAAAAAAAAAAAGCACACACCAAAAAGATTCAAGCTAAATAAGACTCCCTCAAGGCCTATAATAATCAAACTCTCAAAGGTCAAGGACAAAAAAAGGATCCTAAAAACAGTAACAGAAAGAAGCAAATAACATATAAAGAAGCTCCAATGTATCTGGTTGTAGACTGCTCAGTGGAAACTGTACAAGCCCGGAGAGAGTGGAATGACATATACAAAGTCCTGAGTGGAACAACTTCTAACATAAAATACTGTATCCAACGAAGTTATCCTTCAAACACCAAGGAGAAATAAAAGCTTTTCCAGACAAACAAAAGCTAAGGAAATTCATCAATGCTAGATCAATTTTACAAGAAATGCTAAAGGTACTTCATTCTGAAAGTAAAGGATGCTAATATGCAACAAGAAATCATCAGAAAGAACAAAACCTGCTGATGAAAGTGAGTATACCTAATACTCTAATATTGTAATTGGAGAGTATAAATCACTCATGTCACGTTGGGAGGCTGAGGTGGGTGAATCACTTGAACTCAGGAGTTCAAGACCAGCTGGCCAACATGGCAAAACCCCATCTTTACTAAAAATACAAAAAGTAGCTGGGTATGGTGGTGCGTGCCTGTAATCCCAGCTACTCAGGTGCCTGAGGCACAAGATCACTTGAATCCTGGAGGTGGAGGTTGCAGTGAACCAAGATCACACCACTGTGCTCCAACCTGGATGACAAAGCCAGACTCTGTCTCAGAAAAAAAAAAAAATCACTTGGCCAGGCGTGGTGGCTCACACATGTAATCCCAACACTTTGGGAGGCCGAAGCGGGTGGATCACAAGGTCAGGAGATCGAGACCATCCTGGCTAACACGGTGAAACCCTGTCTCTACTAAAAATACAAAAAATTATCCGAGCATGGTGGTGGGGACCTGTAGTCCCAGCTACTCGGGAGGCTGAGGCAGGAGAATGGTGTGAACCCGGGAGGCGGAGCTGGCAGTGAGCCGAGATTGCACCACTGCATTCCAGCCTGGGTGACAGAGCAAGACTCTGTCTCAAAAAAAAAAAAAAAATCACTCATATCGTTAGTGTGAAGACTAAAAGACAAACCCATCAAAAATAATCATAAGTAAAACAATTGTGAAGATACAAAAAATATAAAAATAGAAACAAGAAAAAGTCAACAAGCAGCAGTGACAAAGTTAATTTTTCTTTCTTTTTTCTTTTCTATGTGATCAGAGTTGAGTTGTCATCAGTTTAAAAGAACTGATGATGTTTTTTGCAAACCTCATGGTAATCACCAAGGAAAAACCTATAATAGATACACAAAAATTAAAAAGCAAGAAATCAAAATATGCTACCAGAGAATATCACTTCTACAAAAAGGAAGACCAGGAGAAAGGAAGGACTAATAAAACAACCAGAAAACAAGTAACAAAATGGCATTAATAACCTATCAATAATAACATTGAATTTAAATAGGCTATATTCTCCAATAAAAAGACGTAGAGTGGCTGAATGTATTTTAAAAACAAGACTCACTATATGTTGCCTATAAGAAACTCATTTCGGCTGGGCACAATGGCTCACGCCTGTAATCCCAGCACTTTTGGGAGGCTGAGGCAGGCAGATCACTTGAGTTCAGGAGTTCAAGACCACCCTGGCCAACATGGTGAAACTGCGTCTCTACTAAAAATACAAAAAAATTAGCCATGAGTGGTGCAGGTGCCTGTAATCCCAGCTACTTGGGAGACTGAGGCAGGAGAATCGCTTGAACCCAGGAAGTGGAGGTTGTAGTGAGCCAAGACCGTGTCATTACACTCCAGCCTGGGCAATGAGAAAGAAATTCTGTCAAAAAAAAAAAAAAAAAGGAAAGAAACTCACTTCACCCATAAAGATACACACAGACTGAAAAGGAAGGGATGAAAATAGATATTCCATGCAAATGGAAACAAAAAAGCAAGAGTCACTGTATTTATATCAGATAAAGTTTCTGATATAAGACGTTTCAAGACAAAACAGTAAAAAAAAAAGACAAAAACGGTTATTATATGAGGATGAAGTGGTTAACTCAGCAAGAGGATATAACAATGGTAAACATATATGGGCCCAACACTGGAGCAGCCAGATGTATAAAGCAAATATTATTACAGCTAAAGAGAGAGATAGTCCTCAGTACCATAATAGCTGGAGACTTCAACAACCTACTTTCAGCACTGGACAGAACTTCCAGGCAGAAAATCAACATAGAAACATCTGACTTAATCTGCGCTAGAGACCAAATGGATCTAACAGATATTTACAGAACATTTCATCTAACAGCTGCAGAATACACATTCTTATTAGCACATGGAACATTCTCCAGAACAGACCATACCTTAGGCCACAAAAAAAGTCTCAGAAAATTTGAAAAAATCAAAATTATATCAGTTGTCTTCTGTGACCACAATAGAATAAAACTAGAAATCAACAACAAGAGGAACTTGGGAAACTATTCAAATACATAGAAATTAAATAACATGCTCCTGAATACCATTGCTCAATGAAGCAACTAAGACAGAAATTTTAAAGTTTCTTGAAACTGTAAAAAATTGAAATACAACGTACCAAAACCTATGAAGTATATCAAAAGCAGTACTAAGAAGGAAGCTTATACTAATAAATGCCTATGTTAGAAGAGTAAAGGCTAGGCACAGTGGCTCATGCCTGTAATCCCAGCACTTCGGAAGCCAAAGCAGGTGGATTGCTTGAGCTCAGGAGTTTGAGACAAGCCTGAGCAACATGATGAAACCCCGTTTCTACCAAAAATACAAAAAAAAAAAAAAAAAAAAAAAAGCTGAGTGTGGTGGCACATGCCTAGAGTCCCAACTACGCAGGAGGCTGAGGTGGGAGGATGGCATGAGCTTGGGAGGCAGAGGTTGCAGTAAGCCGACATCACGCCACTACACTCCAGCCTGAGTGACAGAGCCAGACCCTGTCTCAAAAAAAAAAAAAAAAGAGAGAGAGAGAGTAAAAAGACTTCAGACAACCAAATGATGCACCACCTTAAAGAATTAGAAAAGCAATAGCAAATCAAACCTAAAATTAAGAGAAGACAATAAATAATAAAGATCAGAGCAGAAATCAAATTGAAACAAAAAATACAAAAGATCACAAAACAAAAAGTCGGTTTTTGGAAAGATAAACAAAATTGACAAACTCTTTTGACAGACTAAGAAAAAAGAGAAGACTCAAATAAATTAAATCAGAGAGATGACATTACAACTGATATCACTGAAATTCAAAATATCTTTAGAGACTACTATGAGCAACTATTATACATGCCAAAAAATTGGAAAAGGCAGAGGAAATTGATAAATTCCTAGACACATACCACCTACCAGGATTTAAACATGAAGAAATGGAAAGCATGAATACACCAATAACATACAGTGAGATAGGGGCAGTGCTGAAAAGTCTCCCATCAAAGAAAAGCTAAGTACCTCATGGCTTCACTGCTGAATTTGCCAAATATCTAAAGAACAACTAATACCAATTCTACTCAAACTACCCCAAAAAATATAAAAGAAGGAAATACACCTAAACTCATTCTACAAGTCCAGCATTATCCTGATACAAAAACCAGACAAACAAACAAAAAAGAAAACTACAGGCCAATATTTCTGATGAATGTAGATACAAAAATCCTCAGTGAAATACTAGCATCCCAAATTCAAGAACACATTAAAAAGATCATTCATTTTGATCAAGTGGGATGCATCCCCGGGATGCAAAGATGGTTCAGCATATGCAAATCAATAAACGTGGCACAATGCATCAAAAGAATGCAGGACAAAAACCATAAATTATTTCAATAGATGCTTTTAAACATTCAATAAAATTCCACATCCTGTCATGAGAAAAACCCTGAACAAACTGTGTATAGGAAGAACATAATAAATGTCATATAAAATAAACTCACAGCTAGTATTATACTAAATGGGAAAAAAAACCGAAAGCCTTTTCTCTGATCTGGAACAAAACAAGGATACTCATTTTCCCCACTTATTCAACATAGTACTCAAAGTTTTAACCAGAGCAATTAGACAACAGAAAGAAACAAACAGCATGAATAATGGAAAGTCAAATTGTCATTGTTAGTAGATGATGTGACCTTATATTTAAACAAACCTAAAGATTCTTCCAAACAACTGTCAGAATTCATAAATGAATTCAGTAAAGTTCCAGGATACGGCCGGGCGCGGTGGCTCATGCCTGTAATCCCAGCATTTTCGGAGGCTGAGGTGGATGGATCACTAGAGGTAAGGAGTAGAGACCAGCCTTGCCAACATGGCGAAACCCCGTCTCTACTAAAAATTCAAAAATTAGGGAGGCGTGGTGGTACACACCAGGTGTGGTTATGAAGTCCCCCAGCACCTATGGCCAGGTGGGGTTGTGATGGCCTCCAGCACCTCTGGCCTGGTGGGGTTATGAACTCCCCCAGCACCTCTGGCCAGGTGGGGTTATGATGTCCCCGAGCACCACTGGCCAGGTGCGGTTATGATATCCCCCAGCACCTCTGGCCAGGTGCAGTTATGAAGTCCCCCAGCACCTCTGGCCAGGCGCGGTTATGAAGTCCCCCCGGCACCTATGGCCAGGCGTGGTTATGAAGTCCCCCCGGCACCTCTGGCCAGGCGTGGTTATAAAGTCCCCCCGGCACCTCTGGCCAGGTGGGGTTATGATGGCCCCCCCGGCACCTCCGGCCAGGTGGGGTTATGATGGCCCCCCCGGGACCTCTGGCCAGGTGTGGTTATGAAGTCCCCAAGCACCTCTGGCCAGGTGGGGTTATGATGTCCCCCAGCACCTCTGGCCAGGTGTGGTTATGATGTCCCCCAGCACCTCTGGCCAGGTGGGGTTATGATGTCCCCCAGCACCTCTGGCCAGGTGTGGTTATGAAGTCCGCCCAGCACCTCTGGCCAGGTGTGGTTATGAAGTCCTCCCGGCACCTCTGGACAGGTGTGGTTATGAAGTCCTCCGGGCACCTCTGGCCAGGTGTGTTTATGAAGTCCTCCAGGCACCTCTGGCCAGGTGTGGTTATGATGTCCCCCCGGCACCTCTGCCCAGGTGTGGTTATGATGTCCCCCCGGCACCTCTGGCCAGGTGTGGTTATGAAGTCCCCTGGCACCTCTGGCCAGGTGGGGTTATGAAGTCCCACCGGCACCTCTGGCCAGGTGTGGTTATGATGTCCCCCCGGCACCTCTGGCCAGGTGTGGTTATGAAGTCCCCTCCCAGCACCTCTGGCCAGGTGGGGATATAATACCCACCCCCAGCACCTCTGGCCAGGTGTGGTTATGATGTCCCCCCGGCACCTCTGGCCAGGTGTGGTTATGAAGTCCTCCGGGCACCTCTGGCCAGGTGTGGTTATGATGTCCCCCCGGCACCTCTGGCCAGGTGTGGTTATGATGTCCCCCCGGCACCTCTGGCCAGGTGTGGTTATGATGTCCCCCCAGCACCTCTGGCCAGGTGGGGTTATGAAGTCCCCCCGGCACCTCTGGCCAGGTAGGGTTATGAAGTCCCACTGGCACCTCTGGCCAGGTGTGGTTATGATGTCCCCCCGGCAAGTCTGGCCAGGTGTGGTTATGAAGTCCCCCCACCAGCACCTCTGGCCAGGTGGGGATATAATACCCACCCCCAGCACCTCTGGCCAGGTGAGGTTATGATGTCCCCGCAGCACCTCTGGCCAGGTGTGGTTATGAAGTCCTCCCGGCACCTCTGGCCAGGTGGGGTTATGAAGTCCCCCCGGCACCTCTGGCCAGGTGGGGTTATGAAATCCGCCCCAGCACCTCTGGCCAGGTGACATTTATGAAGTCACCCCCAGCACCTCTGCTCAGGTGGGGTTATGAAGTTCCCCCCGCCCCCCAGCACCTCCGGCCGGGTGGGGTTATGATGGCCCCACAGCATCTCTGGCCAGGTGGGATTATGATATCCCCTAGCACCTCTGGCCAGGTGAGGTTATGATGTCCCCCCAGCACCTCTGGCCAGGTGGAGTTATGAAATCCCCCCAGCACCTCTGGCCAAGTGACATTTATGAAGTCACCCCCAGCACCTCTGGCCGGGTGGGGTTATGAAGTTCCCCCCGCCCCCCAGCACCTCCGGCCAGCTGGGGTTATGATGGCCCCACAGCACCACTGGCTAGGTGGGGTTATGATGTCCCCCCAGCATCTCTGGCCAGGTGGGATTATGATACCCCCCAGCACCTCTGGCCAGGTGAGGTTATGATATCCCCCCAGCACCTCTGGCCAGGTGGGGTTATGAAATCTCCCCCAGCACCTCTGGCCAGGTGACATTTATGAAGTCACACCCAGCACCTCTGGCCAGGTGGGGTTAAGAAGTTCCCCCCAACCCCCAGCACCTCCGGCCAGCTGGGGTTATGATGGCCCCACAGCACCTCTGGCCAGGTGGGGTTATGATGGCCCCACAGCATCTCTGGCCAGGTCAGATTATGATACCCCCCAGCACCTCTGGCCAGGTGAGGTTATGATGTCCCCCCAGCACCCCTGGCCAGGTGGGGTTATGAAATCCCCCCAAGCACCTCTGGCCAGGTGACATTTATGAAGTCACCCCCAGCACCTCTGGCCAGGTGGGGTTATGATGGCCCCACAGCACCTCTGGCCAGGTGGGGTTATGATGGCCCCCCAGCATCTCTGGCCAGGTGGGATTATGATACCCCCTAGCACCTCTGGCCAGGTGAGGTTATGATGTCCCCCCAGCACCTCTGGCCAGGTGGGGTTATGAAATCTCCCCCAGCACCTATGGCCAGCTGTGGTTATGAAATCCCCCCCAGCACCTCTGGCCAGGTGACATTTATGAAGTCACCACCAGCACCTCTGGCCAGGTGGGGTTATGAATTTCCCCCCGCTTCCCAGCACCTCCGGCCAGGTGGGGTTATGATGTCCCCCCAGCATCTCTGGCCAGGTCAGATTATGATACCACCCAGCACCTCTGGCCAGGTGAGGTTATGATGTCCCCCAGCACCTCTGGCCAGGTGGGGTTATGAAGTCCTCCCGGCACCTCTGGCCAGGTGTGGTTATGAAGTCCCCCGCAGCACCTCTGGCCAGGTGGGGTTATGAAATCCCCCCCAGCACCTCTGGCCAGGTGACATTTATGAAGTCACCCCCAGCACCTCTGGCCAGGTGGGGTTATGAAGTTCCCCCCGCCCCCCAGCACCTCCGGCCAAGTGGGGTTATGATGGCCCCACAGCACCTCTGGCGAGGTGGGATTATGATGTCCCCCAGCACCTCTGGCCAGGTGGGGTTATGATGTCCCCCCTGGCACCTCTGGCCAGGTGGGGTTATGATGTCCCCCAGCACCTCTGGCCAGGTGTGGTTATGAAGTCCGCCCGGCACCTCTGGCCAGGTGTGGTTATGAAGTCCTCCCGGCACCTCTGGACAGGTGGGGTTATGAAGTCCTCCGGGCACCTCTGGCCAGGTGTGGTTATGAAGTCCTCCGGGCACCTCTGGCCAGGTGTGGTTATGTTGTCCCCCCGGCACCTCTGGCCAGGTGTGGTTATGATGTCCCCCCGGCACCTCTGGCCAGGTGTGGTTATGAAGTCCCCCCGGCACCTCTGGCCCGGTGGGGTTATGAAGTCCCACCGGCACCTCTGGCCAAGTGTGGTTATGATGTCCCCCCCAGCACCTCTGGCCAGGTGGGGATATAATACCCACCCCCAGCACCTCTGGCCAGGTGAGGTTATGATGTCCCCCCAGCATCTCTGGCCAGGTGGGATTATGATATCCCCCTAGCGCCTCTGGCCAGGTGAGGTTAAGATGTCCCCCCAGCACCTCTGGCCAGGTTAGGTTATGAAATCCCCCCAGCACTTCTGGCCAGGTGACATTTATGAAGTCACCCCCAGAACCTCTGGCCGGGTGGGGTTATGAAGTTCCCCCCGCCCCCCAGCACCTCCGGCCAGCTGGGGTTATGATGGCCCCACAGCACCTCTGGCTAGGTGGGGTTATGATGTCCCCCCAGCATCTCTGGCCAGGTGGGATTATGATACCCCCTAGCACCTCTGGCCAGGTGAGGTTATGATGTCCCCCCAGCACCTCTGGCCAGGTGGGGTTATGAAATCCCCCCCAGCACCTCTGGCCAGGTGACATTTATGAAGTCACCCCCAGCACCTCTGGCCAGGTGGGGTTAAGAAGTTCCCCCAGCCCCCAGCACCTCCGGCCAGCTGGGGTTATGATGGCCCCACAGCACCTCTGGCCAGGTGGGGTTATGATGTCCCCCCAGCATCTCTGGCCAGGTCAGATTATGATACCCCCCAGCACCTCTGGCCAGGTGAGGTTATGATGTCCCCCCAGCACCCCTGGCCAGGTGGGGTTATGAAATCCCCCCCAGCACCTCTGGCCAGGTGACATTTATGAAGTCACCCCCAGCACCTCTGGCCAGGTGGGGTTATGATGGCCCCACAGCACCTCTGGCCAGGTGGGGTTATGATGGCCCCCCAGCATCTCTGGCCAGGTGGGATTATGATATCCCCTAGCACCTCTGGCCAGGTAAGGTTATGATGTCCCCCCAGCACCTCTGGCCAGGTGTGGTTATGAAGTCCTCCTGGCACCTCTGGCCAGGTGTGATTATGAAGTCCCACTAGCACCTCTGCCCAGGTGGGGTTATGAAATCTCCCCCAGCACCTCTGGCCAGCTGTGGTTATGAAATCCCCCCCAGCACCTCTGGCCTGGTGACATTTATGAAGTCACCCCCAGCACCTCCGGCCAGGTAGGGTTATGAAGTTCCCCCCGCCCCCCAGCACCTCCGGCCAGGTGGGGTTATGATGTCCCCCCAGCATCTCTGGCCAGGTGGGATTATGATATCCCCCTAGCACCTCTGGCCAGGTGAGGTTATGATGTCCCCCCAGCACCTCTGGCCAGGTGTGGTTATGAAGTCCTCCTGGCACCTCTGGCCAGGTGTGATTATGAAGTCCCACTAGCACCTCTGGCTAGGTGGGGTTATGAAATCTCCCCCAGCACCTCTGGCCAGCTGTGGTTACGAAATCCCCCCCAGCACCTCTGGCCTGGTGACATTTATGAAGTCACCCCCAGCACCTCCGGCCAGGTAGGGTTATGAAGTTCCCCCCGCCCCCCAGCACCTCCGGCCAGGTGGGGTTATGATGTCCCCCCAGCATCTCTGGCCAGGTGGGATTATGATATCCCCCTAGCACCTCTGGCCAGGTGAGGTTATGATGTCCTCCCAGCACCTCTGGCCAGGTGGGGTTATGAAATCCCCCTAGCACCTCTGGCCAGGTGACATTTATGAAGTCACCCCCAGCACCTCCGGCCAGGTAGGGTTATGAAGTTCCCCCCGCCCCCCAGCACCTCCGGCCAGGTGGGGTTATGATGTCCCCCCAGCATCTCTGGCCAGGTGGGATTATGATACCCCCCAGCACCTCTGGCCAGGTGAAGTTATGATGTCCCCCCAGCACCTCTGGCCAGGTGGGGTTATGAAATCCCCTCCAGCACCTCTGGCCAGGTGACATTTATGAAGTCACCCCCAGCACCTCTGGCCGGGTGGGGTTACGAAATTCCCCCTGCCCCCAGCACCTCCGGCCAGCTGGGGTTATGATGGCCCCACAGCATCTCTGGCCAGGTGGGGTTATGATGTCCCCCCAGCATCTCTGGCCAGGTGGGATTATGATACCCCCCAGCACCTCTGGCCAGGTGAGGTTATGATGTCCCCCAGCACCTCTGGCCAGGTGGGGTTATGAAATCCCCCCCAGCACCTCTGGCCAGGTGACATTTATGAAGTCACCCCCAGCACCTCTGGCCGGGTGGGGTTATGAAGTTCCCCCCGCCCCCCAGCACCTCCGGCCAAGTGGGGTTATGATGGCCCCACAGCACCTCTGGCCAGGTGGGATTATGATGTCCCCCAGCACCTCTGGCCAGGTGTGGTTATGAAGTCCTCCCGGCACCTCTGGACAGGTGGGGTTATGAAGTCCTCCGGGCACCTCTGGCCAGGTGTGGTTATGAAGTCCTCCGGGCACCTCTGGCCAGGTGTGGTTATGTTGTCCCCCCGGCACCTCTGGCCAGGTGTGGTTACGAAGTCCCCCCGGCACCTCTGGCCAGGTGGGGTTATGAAGTCCCACCGTCACCTCTGGCCACGTGTGGTTATGACGTCCCCCCCAGCACCTCTGGCCTGGTGGGGATATAATACCCACCCCCAGCACCTCTGGCCAGGGGAGGTTATGATGTCCCCCCGGCACCTCTGGCCAGGTGTGGTTATGATGTCCCCCCGGCACCTCTGGCCACGTGTGGTTATGAAGTCCCCCCGGCACCTCTGGCCAGGTGGGGTTATGAAGTCCCACTGGCACCTCTGGCCAGGTGTGGTTATGATGTCCCCCCGGTACCTCTGGCCAGGTGTGGTTATGAAGTCCTCCCGGCACCTCTGGCCAGGTGGGGTTATGATGGCCCCCCAGGACCTCCTGCCAGCTGGGGTTATGATGTCCCCCAGCACCTCTGGCTAGGTGTGGTTATGAAGTCCTCCCGGCACCTCTGGCCAGGTGTGGTTATGAAGTCCTCCCGGCACCTCTGGACAGGTGGGGTTATGAAGTTCTCCGGGCACCTCTGGCCAGGTGTGGTTATGAAGTCCTCCGGGCACCTCTGGCCAGGTGTGGTTATGAAGTCCTCCCGGCACCTCTGGCCAGGTGTGGTTATGAAGTCCCCCCGGAACCTCTGGCCAGGTGGGGTTATGAAGTCCCACCGGCACCTCTGGCCACGTGTGGTTATGACGTCCCCCCCAGCACCTCTGGCCAGGTGGGGATATAATACCCACCCCCAGCACCTCTGGCCAGGTGAGGTTATGATGTCCCCCCGGCACCTCTGGCCAGGTGTGGTTATGATGTCCCCCCGGCACCTCTGGCCACGTGTGGTTATGAAGTCCCCCCGGCACCTCTGGCCAGGTGGGGTTATGAAGTCCCACCGGCACCTCTGGCCAGGTGTGGTTATGATGTCCCCCCGGTACCTCTGGCCAGGTGTGGTTATGAAGTCCTCCCGGCACCTCTGGCCAGGTGGGGTTATGAAGTCCCCCCGGCACCTCTGGCCAGGTGGGGTTATGAAATCCCCCCCAGCACCTCTCGCCAGGTGACATTTTGAAGTCACCCCCAGCACCTCTGGCCCGGTGGGGTTAAGAAGTTCCCCCCGCCGCCCAGCATCTCTGGCCAGGTGGGGTTATGATGGCCCCCCAGGACCTCCTGCCAGCTGGGGTTATGATGGCCCCACAGCACCTCTGGCCAGGTGGGATTATGATACCCCCCAGCACCTCTGGCCAGGTGGGGTTATAATACCCCCCACAGCACCTCTGGCCAGGTGAGGTTATGATGTCCCCCCAGCACCTCTGTCCAGGTGTGGTTATGAAGTCCTGCTGGCACCTCTGGCCAGGTGTGGTTATGAAGTCCCCCCAGCACCTCTGGCCAGGTGGGGTTATGAAATCTCCCCCAGCACCTCTGGCCAGCTGTGGTTATGAAATCCCCCCCAGCACCTCTGGCCCGGTGACATTTATGAAGTCACCACCAGCACCTCTGGCCAGGTGGGGTTATGAAGTTCCCCCCGCCCCCCAGCACCTCTGGCCAGGTGGAGTTATGATGGCCCCCCAGCATCTCTGGCCAGGTGGGATTATGATACCCCCTAGCACCTCTGGCCAGGTGAGGTTATGATGTCCCCCCAGCACCTCTGGCCAGGTGAGGTTATGAAATCCCCCCAGCACCTCTAGCCAGGTGACATTTATGAAGTCACCCCCAGCACCTCTGGCCGGGTGGGGTTAAGAAGCTCCCCCAGCCCCCAGCACTTCCGGCCAGCTGGGGTTATGATGGCCCCACAGCACCTCTGGCCAGGTGGGGTTATGATGTCCCCCCAGCATCTCTGGCCAGGTCAGATTATGATACCCCCAGCACCTCTGGGCAGGTGAGGTTATGATGTCCCCCCAGCACCCCTGGCCAGGTGGGGTTATGAAATCCCCCCCAGCACCTCTGGCCAGGTGACATTTATGAAGTCACCCCCAGCACCTCTGGCCAGGTGGGGTTATGATGGCCCCACAGCACCGCTGGCCATGTGGGGTTATGATGGCCCCCCAGCATCTCTGGCCAGGTGGGATTATGATATCCCCTAGCACCTCTGGCCAGGGGAGGTTATGATGTCCCCCCAGCACCTCTGGCCCGGTGGGGTTATGAAATCCCCCGCAGCACCTCTGGCCAGGTGACATTTATGAAGTCACCCCCAGCAACTCTGGCCAGGTGGGGTTATGAAGTTCCCCCCGCCCCCCGGCACCTCCGGCCAGCTGGGGTTATGATGGCCCCACAGCACCTCTGACCAAGTGGGATTATGACCCCCCCAGCACCTCTGGCCAGGTGGGGTTATAATACCCCCCCACAGCACCTCTGGCCAGGTGAGGTTATGATGTCCCCCCAGCACCTCTGGCCAGGTGTGGTTATGAAGTCCTCCTGGCACCTCTGGCCAGGTGTGATTATGAAGTCCCACTAGCACCTCTGGCCAGGTGGGGTTATGAAATCTCCCCCAGCACCTCTGGCCAGCTGTGGTTATGAAATCCCCCCCAGCACCTCTGGCCTGGTGACATTTATGAAGTCACCCCCAGCACCTCCGGCCAGGTAGAGTTAGGAAGTTCCCCCCGCCCCCCAGCACCTACGGCCAGGTGGGGTTATGATGTCCCCCCAGCATCTCTGGCCAGGTGGGATTATGATATCACCCTAGCACCTCTGGCCAGGTGAGGTTATGATGTCCCCCCAGCACCTCTGGCCAGGTTGGGTTATGAAATCCCCCCAGCACCTCTGGCCAGGTGACATTTATGAAGTCACCCCCAGCACCTCTGGCCAGGTGGGGTTATGAAGTTCCCCCCGCCCCCCAGCACCTCTGGCAGGTGGGGTTATGATGTCCCCCCAGCATATCTGGCCAGGTGGGATTATGATACCCCCCAGCACCTCTGGCCAGGTGAAGTTATGATGTCCCCCCAGCACCTCTGGCCAGGTGGGGTTATGAAGTCCTCCCGGCACCTCTGGCCAGGTGTGGTTATGAAGTCCCCCGCAGCACCTCTGGCCAGGTGACAGTAATGAATTCACCCCCAGCACCTCTGGCCAGGTGGGGTTATGAAGTTCCCCCCGCCCCCCAGCACCTCCGGCCAAGTGGGGTTATGATGGCCCCACAGCACCTCTGGCCAGGTGGGATTATGATGTCCCCCAGCACCTCTGGCCAGGTGGGGTTATGATGTCCCCCCTGGCACCTCTGGCCAGGTGGGGTTATGAAGTCCGCCCGGCACCTCTGGCCAGGTGTGGTTATGAAGTCCTCCGGGCACCTCTGGCCAGGTGTGGTTATGTTGTCCCCCCAGCACCTCTGGCCAGGTGTGGTTATGATGTCCCCCCGGCACCTCTGGCCAGGTGTGGTTATGAAGTCCCCCCGGCACCTCTGGCCAGGTGGGGTTATGAAGTCCCACCGGCACCTCTGGCCAAGTGTGGTTATGACGTCCCCCCCCAGCACCTCTGGCCAGGTGGGGATATAATACCCACCCCCAGCACCTCTGGCCAGGTGAGGTTATGATGTCCCCCCGGCACCTCTGGCCAAGTGTGGTTATGATGTCCCCCCGGCACCTCTGGCCACGTGTGGTTATGAAGTCCCCCCGGCACCTCTGGCCAGGTGGGGTTATGAAGTCCCACCGGCACCTCTGGCCAGGTGTGGTTATGATGTCCCCCCGGTACCTCTGGCCAGGTGTGGTTATGAAGTCCTCCCGGCACCTCTGGCCACGTGGGGTTATGAAGTCCCCCCGGCACCTCTGGCCAGGTGGGGTTATGAAATCCCCTCCAACACCTCTCGCCAGGTGACATTTTGAAGTCACCCCCAGCACCTCTGGCCAGGTGGGGTTGAGAAGTTCCCCCCGCCGCCCAGCACCTCTGGCCAGGTGGGGTTAGGATGGCCCCCCAGGACCTCCTGCCAGCTGGGGTTATGATGGCCCCACAGCACCTCTGGCCAGGTGGGATTATGATACCCCCCGGCACCTCTGGCCAGGTGGGGTTATAATACCCCCCCACAGCACCTCTGGCCAAGTGAGGTTATGATGTCCCCCCAGCACCTCTGGCCAGGTGTGGTTATGAAGTCCTCCTGGCACCTCTGGCCAGGTGTGGTTATGAAGTCCCCCGAGCACCTCTGGCCAGGTGGGTTTATGAAATCTCCCCCAGCACCTACGGCCAGCTGTGGTTATGAAATCCCCCCCAGCACCTCTGGCCCGGTGACATTTATGAAGTCACCACCAGCACCTCTGGCCAGGTGGGGTTATGAAGTTCCCCCCGCCCCCCAGCACCTCCGGCCAGGTGGGGTTATGATGTCCCCCCAGCATCTCTGGCCAGGTGGGATTATGATATCCCCCTAGCGCCTCTGGCCAGGTGAGGTTAAGATGTCCCCCCAGTACCTCTGGCCAGGTTAGGTTATGAAATCCCCCCAGCACCTCTGGCCAGGTGACATTTATGAAGTCACCCCCAGCACCTCTGGCCGGGTGGGGTTATGAAGTTCCCCCCGCCCCCCAGCACCTCAGGCCATCTGGGGTTATGATGGCCCCACAGCACCTCTGGCTAGGTGGGGTTATGATGTCCCCCCAGCATCTCTGGCCAGGTGGGATTATGATACCCCCCAGCACCTCTGGCCAGGTGAGGTTATGATGTCCCCCTAGCACCTCTGGCCAGGTGGGGTTATGAAATCCCCCCCAGCACCTCTGGCCAGGTGACATTTATGAAGTCACCCCCAGCACCTCTGGCCAGGTGGGGTTATGAAGTTCCCCCCGCCCCCCAGCACCTCTGGCAGGTGGGGTTATGATGTCCCCCCAGCATATCTGGCCAGGTGGGATTATGATACCCCCCAGCACCTCTGGCCAGGTGAAGTTATGATGTCCCCCCAGCACCTCTGGCCAGGTGGGGTTATGAAGTCCCCCAGCACCTCTGGCCAGGTGGGGTTATGAAGTCCCCCCCAGCACCTCTGGCCAGGTGGGGTTATGAAATCCCCTCCAGCACCTCTGGCCAGGTGACATTTATGAAGTCACCCCAGCACCTCTGTCCGGGTAGGGTTATGAAATTCCCCCTGCCCCCAGCACCTCCGGCCAGCTGGGGTTATGATGGCCCCACAGCATCTCTGGCCAGGTGGGGTTATGATGTCCCCCCAGCATCTCTGGCCAGGTGGGATTATGATACCCCCCAGCACCTCTGGCCAGGTGAGGTTATGATGTCCCCCAGCACCTCTGGCCAGGTGTGGTTATGAAGTCCCCCGCAGCACCTCTGGCCAGGTGACAGTTATGAAGTCACCCCCAGCACCTCTGGCCAGGTGGGGTTATGAAGTTCCCCCTGCCCCCCAGCACCTCCGGCCAAGTGGGGTTATGATGGCCCCAGAGCACCTCTGGCCAGGTGGGATTATGATGTCCCCCAGCACCTCTGGCCAGGTGGGGTTATGATGTCCCCCCTGGCACCTCTGGCCAGGTGGGGTTATGATGTCCCCCAGCACCTCTGGCCAGGTGGGGTTATGAAGTCCCACCGGCACCTCTGGCCAAGTGTGGTTATGACGTCCCCCCCAGCACCTCTGGCCAGGTGGGGATATAATACCCACCCCCAGCACCTCTGGCCAGGTGAGGTTATGATGTCCCCCCGGCACCTCTGGCCAGGTGTGGTTATGATGTCCCCCCGGCACCTCTGGCCAGGTGTGGTTATGAAGTCCCCCCGGCACCTCTGGCCAGGTGGGGTTATGAAGTCCCACCGGCACCTCTGGCCAGGTGTGGTTATGATGTCCCCCCGGTACCTCTGGCCAGGTGTGGTTATGAAGTCCTCCCGGCACCTCTGGCCAGGTGGGGTTATGAAGTCCCCCCGGCACCTCTGGCCAGGTGGGGTTATGAAATCCCCCCCAGCACCTCTCGCCAGGTGACATTTT
The DNA here is from genome assembly GCF_000001405.40 of Homo sapiens. NCBI lineage: Eukaryota > Metazoa > Chordata > Mammalia > Primates > Hominidae > Homo > Homo sapiens. The sequence continues at coordinate 138,994 of NT_187603.1, read as the reverse complement.
GAAGTCACCCCCAGCACCTCCGGCCAGGTGGGGTTAAGAAGTTCCCCCCGCCGCCCAGCACCTCTGGCCAGGTGGGGTTAGGATGGCCCACCAGGACCTCCTGCCAGCTGGGGTTATGATGGCCCCACAGCACCTCTGGCCAGGTGGGATTATGATACCCCCCAGCACCTCTGGCCAGGTGGGGTTATAATACCCCCCCACAGCGCCTCTGGCCAGGTGAGGTTATGATGTCCCCCCAGCACCTCTGGCCAGGTGTGGTTATGAAGTCCTCCTGGCACCTCTGGCCAGGTGTGGTTATGAAGTCCCCCCAGCACCTCTGGCCAGGTGGGGTTATGAAATCTCCCCCAGCACCTATGGCCAGCTGTGGTTATGAAATCCCCCCCAGCACCTCTGGCCAGGTGACATTTATGAAGTCACCACCAGCACCTCTGGCCAGGTGGGGTTATGAAGTTCCCCCCGCCCCCCAGCACCTCCGGCCAGGTGGGGTTATGATGTCCCCCCAGCATCTCTGGCCAGGTGGGATTATGATATCCCCCTAGCACCTCTGGCCAGGTGAGGTTAAGATGTCCCCCCAGCACCTCTGGCCAGTTTGGGTTATGAAATCCCCCCAGCACCTCTGGCCAGGTGACATTTATGAAGTCACCCCCAGCACCTCTGGCCAGGTGGGGTTATGAAGTTCCCCCCGCCCCCCAGCACCTCCGGCCAGGTGGGGTTATGATGTCCCCCCAGCATCTCTGGCCAGGTGGGATTATGATATCCCCCTAGCACCTCTGGCCAGGTGAGGTTAAGATGTCCCCCCAGCACCTCTGGCCAGTTTGGGTTATGAAATCCCCCCAGCACCTCTGGCCAGGTGACATTTATGAAGTCACCCCCAGCACCTCTGGCCAGGTGGGGTTAAGAAGTTCCCCCCGCCCCCCAGCACCTCCGGCCAGCTGGGGTTATGATGGCCCCACAGCACCTCTGGCCAGGTGGGGTTATGATGTCCCCCCAGCATCTCTGGCCAGGTCAGATTATGATACCCCCCAGCACCTCTGGCCAGGTGAGGTTATGATGTCCCCCCAGCACCCCTGGTCAGGTGGGGTTATGAAATCCTCCCCAGCACCTCTGGCCAGGTGACATTTATGAAGTTACCCCCAGCACCTCTGGCCAGGTGGGGTTACGAAGTTCCCCCCGCCCCCCAGCACCTCCGGCCAGGTGGGGTTATGATGGCCCCACAGCACCTCTGGCCAGGTGGGGTTATGATGGCCCCCCAGCATCTCTGGCCAGGTGGGATTATGATACCCCCCAGCACCTCTGGCCAGGTGAGGTTATGATGTCCCCCCAGCACCTCTGGCCAGGTGGGGTTATGAAGTTCCCCCCGCCCCCCGGCACCTCCGGCCAGCTGGGGTTATGATGTCCCCCCAGAATCTCTGGCCAGGTGGGATTATGATATCCCCCTAGCACCTCTGGCCAGGTGAGGTTAAGATGTCCCCCCAGCACCTCTGGCCAGGTTGGGTTATGATGGCCCCATAGCACCTCTGGCCAGGTGAGGTTAAGATGTCCCCCCAGCACCTCTGGCCAGGTTGGGTTATGATGGCCCCATAGCACCTCTGGCCAGGTGGGATTATGATACCCCCTAGCACCTCTGAGCAGGTGAGGTTATGATGTCCCCCCAGCACCTCTGTCCAGGTGTGGTTATGAAGTCCTCCCGGCACCTCTGGCTAGGTGTGGTTATGAAGTGCCCCCAGCACCTCTGGCTAGGTGGGGTTATGAAATCTCCCCCACCACCTCTGGCCAGGTGACATTTATGAAGTTCCCCCCCTCAGCACCTCTGGCCAGGTGGGGTCATGAAGTCCCCCAAGCCGCCCCTGAGGAACAGGCGAGGCAAGGGCCAGCAGGCACTGCTAGCGGGTCGGGACAGCTGCTTCGCTGATGCTGGTTGTGTAGCATGGATGTGTGTAGCGTGACTGTGTTGTGTGGATGGGGCACGGAAATCCGCAGAGACCATCACTGGAGGGAGAAGCTGCAGGGCCGGGAGGGTTCAGCAGGTAAGCAGTTCAGGGTTCCTGGAAAGGCGGGTCCCAATGCATTTGCTGACCGGGCACCTAACGGGCTGCTCTCAAAATCACTGACTGTCACCGAGGCCGGCCAGAGACCCTTATGTATCTGATTCACGATGACACCAGCTAACTCTGAGTACAGTAGAAAACGTACCGTCGGGCAACCAGAAAATGCGCACTCCAGTCCCCACCACGGGACAGCGCCAGGCAGTACCCTCCACAGCCGGAGCTCGAACTGTCGCGAGAATAGCGGTCGGCTTGGAAGTCGCCCGGCGCGGGAGCGCGAACTCTCGCGAGAATGCCGCCAGCTCCGGAGGCGACTGCGGCAGGAGCCCGAGCTCTCGCGCGACAGGCACCAATTCGTTAGACGCGCGCTGCAGGAGCGCGGAACATGGCGCGGCACGGGCCACCGTGGAGTCGGTTGGACGCGCAGCAGGAGCGCGACGTGCGGGAGCTCGTCCGGGGTGTCGCCGGCCTCCAGGACGAGGCAGACCCCAACTTCCAGCTCGCCCTAAACTTCGCCTGGTCCAACTTCAGGTGTGGGGCACGGCGCGCGGGCGGGTTCCCGGCCACAGCCCGGAGCCCGCGCGTGGGTCCCGCACAGCCCGGGGTCGGGGCGCGCTGGGGCAGGGCATGGGGCGGAGGCGGGCGCGGCCTCAGGGAGCCTTCGCAGGCCCTGCCACCGCCTGCTCCCCGCCGGCCAGCGCTCTCGGCGCGGTGCCCTGCGCACCACAGGGCGTGTTACCCGGGACGCGTCCTGATCGTCACGGGGAAAGCGTGAACTGGGTTTCTTGCCGGCCGGCGCGCGCGCCTGCAACCCCAGCGCTCTGGGAGGCCCAGGCGGGACTCCAGGCCAGCTTGGGCAACGTAGCAACTCTATGTTTATAATTTTTTTTTTTTTAAATTAAAGAGATTGTATTCTCACTGACTCCTGCTCCCTGGTCAGCCCAGTGTAAGATCTCTCACCCTGCTCTCCTTTTTCCAAAACGCGTGTCATGACACTGATTTAACCTGTCATTACTGTCTCCTCCACTTCCACTCCAGCTAGAATGCTGCATCTCTGCACAGCTCCTGGCACGTAGCACGCTGAGTCACCTAATACAATTTCTAATGCAGTTTCTCTTGTAACTAATTTTTAAAGACTTACAGAATTTAGATATTTACGTAAAGTGAGATCTCCTATTTTTCTTTATGGGAGATGTAAATTAATACTTTTAGAGTCATTACCCATAATGAAATTATTACTAAAAGAATGTTAATGTTAATATTCTACCTGTTTAATTTCAGTAAAAATCTTCTTGAATAATGAACAGTTTTTCAAAATCCGTAATCTTAGTTACCTTAATGATCATAGCCATAAAGTGTCTAGTTGGCTTATAATAGGAATACGGGGCTTTCAGATTCTTTTAAACCATGCCAAGTTTCTGAAGTAATAAACTGAATTCTAAGTGGAACTTATAAAAATAAACAATGTGTGAAATAGGTTATACAATACAGAAACTTAAATGCTGAAATCCAAGTTATTTTTCTACTAATATTTCTAAATGACAGTAGGCAGATTGTCATCATTTTAGAGCTGGGAGAGACGTTGGAGGTTACTATTTTCATTCACAGATTTCAGGAACTAAATTATAATAGGTAAAGTGGTGTTCCATTCACCCATTTACTGGCCTAGAATCATGTGTTTTTCAGTAGTGTAATTTTATTTAAGTACAGATTGCTCGCTTTGATACTAAAAAATGGAAAACATTTTTTGCATAGGCTATGCTATGTACATATACATTAGTTGCATAGGCTGTGCTGTAATTTTATGATGCTTTAAACCATCAGAAAAATGAATAGTTCATGTTTACATTCTTGAAAATTGTGGACTGGGCGCGGTGGCTCACGCCTGTAATCCCAGCACTTTAGGAGGCCGAGGTGGGTGGATCACGAGGTCAGGAGATCGAGACTATCCTGGCTAACACGGTGAAACCCGGTCTCTACTAAAAGTACAAAAAATTAGCCGGGCGTGGTGGCAGGCGCCTGTAGTCCCAGCTACTTGGGAGGCTGAGGCAGGAGAATGGCGCGAACCCAGGAGGCGGAGCTTGCACTGAGCAAGCTCACTTTTCTCTAACTGAAAAGTAGCATCTCCTTCTATTATGAATGAAGGCAGCAAACCATAGCAGTATTAGCCTACCTATGACTTTATCACCAGTAGAAATCGCATACTGTTTTCACATCAGAGTTGTAGATATTTGTAAATGTTGTTTACTGTTACTTTAATGGTAGTTAATTGGACCTACTGCTAAATCTTGTTATTTAATACTTTCATAAATAACATTTCTTGCCATATCTTAAACTTCTTTAAATATTTGACAACTGTATCTCAGTATAATGGGATTCCTTTGTATTTATTTTTTGGCTTTAAAAATGTTATACAGAGAAGGGGTCCTTAGGCTTCACCGGGCCTCACTATGGCATAAAAAGGTTGGGACCACCTGATGTAGAATGTGTTCAGCTGGACTTAGATACAGGGGCTTATGGGAAGACAGAGGAGCCAGAGGACAAGGTTGGGAGGGTCAGGAAGAACCTGTGTGCTGGAGAAAGGATGCTTGCACAGTCTCGGACACGGTGATTATTTGCCTGCCTGATGGTGGAGGTAACGGAGGACAAGGTACACTCCATTCTGGAAATGTGTAGCTGAGTACAGAGCATATGGGGGATATGGAGGGCCATGAGATGAGTTCACTTACCTGTGTGACAGAGTTGGCATAAGAATTGCATTTTGTCTTTAATAGATTTCATCGTTTCTTGGATGTCAACAGCCACAAAATAGAAAAAACAATCGAGGGGTAAGTCAGTGTGTATATATACGCATCCAGAAATATATGTATTTTCTTATAGATCTTTTTAAGATAGCTTTATAATCTTTTCTTATATTTTAGAATTTATGAAAAATTTGTCATTCATTCTGATCTAAGCAAAGCTGCTAGTTGGAAGAGATTAACGGAGGAATTTCTAAATGCACCACTTCCCAGTATAAAGGAAATAAAGGTATGCCTTCAATTACGAGATCTCCACTGTGTATTTTACTGTTTCCTATCTGATTATCGTCAATTTGTTTCAGTTACTGTTTAAACATTCTATTTTAGTATTATCTACTGGCTAACGGGATCTCTTGGAAATTTACTTAAATATTGCCATCAAACCAGATATGCCTCAGTTTGTGATGAAAGAAAGAGCTTGTTTTTAATCATTTTTTCACCTCAGTCCTACTAAGGAAAGAGAGATCAGAGATTGATACAAATAGTAGCATTGTTTGGGTATCTCAAAACTTTCAAATGGTTTCTCAGCACTTGGCAGTGACTGTCTGTAGATGCTTACTAGATGCCTGGTATACTTTCATATTGTTTGGGGGATTCCCCAAGACCACCTTTTGGCATAATGATTTGCTCAAAGGATTCACAGAACTTAAAAAAAAAAAGCTGTTATCCTCACTGTTAATAGTTTATTACAGTGAAAGGATACAGATTAAAATCACCAAAGGGAAAAGGTGCTTAGAGCAAAGTCTAGGAGAAGCTAGGCACGCATGTCCAAATGTTCCTTCCTAGTGGAGTCACCTGGGGATGCAGTTAATTCTCTCAGTAACAGTATATGACAACATGTGCAAAGTATTACCCTCCACTCCCCCCAGGGCCACTCGGCTGAGCCTTGGTGACCAGCATTTTTATTGGGGGTGGGTCACATAAGCAAGCAGAGCCCACATGACTGACCTTAGCTGCTGAGTCTGTAGCCCCCTAGAGGTCAAACCAAGGATGGCAAGCGTATGGAAACAGCTGTGGGTTCCCTGAACACGGTGGGACCACCTTCCCTAGCTCTGCTGTGACACATCTTGTGCCTACATAGTTCTTTCCCTTTCTCCTGCCTGAGGAAGCTCACGTTTTAATATTAAACTCAGGCACTGTCTCCACACATGCTATGTATTTCAATTCTTTATAGTTCCTTTCTTGTCTCCCCCTTTAAAATGCACATTTTACAGGCATAGGGCTCTGTGTCTGATTTGTTCCCGGACACCTAGAGCACAGTGGACAGTGCATGTTTGTTGAGGGAATCAGTAAGGCTGTGCAGTCTTGTCTGCTTCACTATCCCCTCTGTGTCCACAGCCCCCACCCACTTACACAAGGTGGGATTGGTTATCCTTTTCTCTTGCTGTGTGGCATCTTGGATGTGTTTGTTATGGCAGAGGTCCCCAACCCCCACATGGTGGACGAGTACCAATATGTGCCTGCTAGGAACAGGGCTTCATGGCAGGAGGTGCAGTGGGGTGAGTGAGGATGACTGCCTGAGCTCCACCTCCTGTCAGATCAGCGGTGGCATTAGATTCTCATAGGAGAGCAAACCCCATTGTGAACTGCACATTTGAGGGATCTAGGTTGCATGCTCCTTATGACAATCTAATGCCTAATGATCTGAGGTGGAACAGTTTCATCCTGAAACCAACCCCCACCCAACAGTCCATGGAAAAATTGTCTTCCACAAAACCAGTCCCTGGTGCCAAAACGGTTGGGGATTGCTGTGTGGTGTAGCAATAACTTCACACTTTTTTTCTTTTTTTTTTTTTTTTAAGACTGAGTGTCATTTTGTCACCCAGGCTTGGAGTGCAGTGGTGCAGTCTCGACTCATTGCAACCCCCACTTCCCAGATTCAAGTGATTCTCCTGCCTCAGCTTCCCGAGTAGCTGGGATTACAGCTGCCCACCACCATGCCCAGCTAATTTTTTGTATTTTTAGTAGAGACAGGGTTTCACCATGTTGGCCAGGCTGGTCCCGAACTCTTGACCTCAAGCAATCCACCTGCCTTGGCCTCCCAAAGTGCTGGGATTACAGGCATGAACCACCATGCCGAGCTTCTTTATTATCCTTTTAATGTCTGTGGGATCAGTAGTGATGACCCCTCTTTATTTTCTGATTTTAGTAATGTATGTATACTCTCTTTTTTTTTGTGGTTAGTATGTCTAGAGATTTATTAATGTTATTAATCTCTTCAGCGAATCAGTTTTTGGTTTTGCCATTTTTATTATTGTTTCCTGTTTTCAATGTCTTTTTGTTTGTTTGTTTTTTTGTTTTTTGAGACGGAATCTTGCTCTGTTGCCCAGGCTGGAATGCAATGGTGCAATCTCAGCTCACTGCAGCCTCAGCCTCCCAAGTAACTGGGATTACAAGCGTACACCACCCCGCCCGGCTAATTTTTGTATTTTTAGTAGAGATGAGGTTTCGCCATGTTGGCCAGGGTAGTGTCGAACTCCTGACCTCAAGTGATCTGCCCACCTTGGTTCCAAAAGTGCTGGGATTACAGGCGTGAGCCACCCCGGCCTGCTCTGTTGATATATTTTCAAGCTCATGCCAGTCTACTGGGTGAGCCCATCAAAAGCATTCTTCATTTCTGACACTTTATTTTTCATTGGAACACTTCGATTCTTTGAGTTTCCATCTCACCACTTATATTTCTGATCTGTTCTTCCTTGTTATCCACATTTTTCATTAGCACTCTTAGCATATTAATCATAGTTGTTTTCAATTCCCGGGCTGATAATTCCAACATCCCTGCCATATTTGAGTCTGGTTTGGATGCTTGCTCTGTCTCTTCTGACATACTGTCAGGTGGCCAGTGTTGTCTACCTGGACACCTGAGCCCAGGACTCTGGGGCTTTTATTGGGGGCTTATCTCTTAGGCATAGGACCTGTGTGACTGACCACAATTACTGAAGTTCCAGAGCCTTCAAAGGAAAGCAGGTGTTCACCTTCAGTCACACTGTTTGCGCAAACTATCTAAACAGACTAGTACAACATGGTTCAAGATCTGAGCATACAGAACACATTTGCCAGTTCAGATATTTCAAGAGCTCAGTTACCACAAGCTGGCCAAGGCTTATTCATGAAAATAAGCCCTTTTGGGGGATGCTGAAGGCTTTGGCAATTCAGGCTTGCTGAGTTAATGCATTCCCACACAGCTAATATCCCAATTTAAAAATCAATCATATAAATAAGAAAAGACTGGCAATCAAATAGAAACTTGAACAGAGGAGAATAATACCCAATAAAGGAAAATCAGTAATTTTAAGCTGATGGAAAAGTGCCTACCATTTCATAAGATAAGATAAATGCAAATTAAAGCAACACTGAGAGAATGTTTTTCACCGATCTGATTAATAAAAGGTGTGGGAAACAGGTAATTCTATGCGTATGTATATTTGTATTACCTGTATGGAATATATTTTGGCATTATTTCTCAAAATTCCAAATGCAAACACTCTTTGACTTAGTGTTTCACTTTTTAGGAATTTATTATACAGATAAACTCTTATAATTATGAAACAACAGCCAAGTGTGGTGGCCCATGCCTGTAATCCCAGTACTTTGGGAGGCCAAGGTGGGCGGATCATGAGGTCAGGAGTTGGAGACCATCCTGGCCAACATGGTGAAACCCCATCTCTACTAAAAATACAAAAGTTACCCGGGCGTGGTGGCGCGTACCTGTAATCCCAGCTACTCGGGAGGCTGAGACAGGAGAATCACTTGAACCAGGGGAGGCGGAGGTTGCGGTGAGCTGAGATTGCACTATTGCACTCCAGCCTGGGCGACAGAGCGAAAATCCATCTCGGGGGGAAAAAAGATATGAAACAACATAAGTTTGTGATAGCAAAAGATTGGGAAAAAATCTAAATTTCATTAATAGGGGACTGGTTAAATAAAATATGATACATCTTAGTTAAACTATCAGGCATGTTTAACCTTCATGATACATATTGCCACAGGAGAATAATTTTTAACCATAATGTTATACTCTAAAGACATTTCCGTCGTTTTAGAAATAAAAAGCTGTCATCCACTCAGATCTTATACTTGTTAGAAATATAGAACTCAGATTTCAGATGGCTTTGAGGTTCCTTATGTGTATGCATTTGAGCTATGAAGAAGTTTGAAGGTTAAGGATTATTTAGGTATAACTCACGTTTTCTCAAACCAGGAAAAAAATTGGGGACATAACTGTCATGGAGTTATCTTTACTCAATCTGGTGTAGAAAGCATTTCCCAACCTCCAGAGATTTATGTTCTTTTTTTTGTTTTAAAGACAGATGCACATTATTCCATACTGTCACTTCTTCTGTGTCTGTCAGACTCTCCTTCAAACAGCAGTTATGTGGAGACACCAAGAAATAAAGAAGTGGGTATGTTACTAGATTCCTTAACATATGAGAAGTAAAAGAGAAATTGTTTGATTACTTAGTTGCTAAACACTGAGTTTTATTGAAACTTCTAAAAATCTGTGAAACTAAAGTATTTCTATTGCTTTAGATGCTATCACAATTGTAAAATTTTATTTAAAATGCTGTCAGCCCTCTATATTCTCAGGTTCCAGACCCACAGATTCAATCAACTACAGATCAAAAATATTCAAAATAAATAAATAATAATACAACAGTCTAAAATAATACAATCTTTTAAAAAACTATTTACATAGCATTTACATGATATTAGGTATTATAAGTAATCTAGAGATTATTTAAAGTATACAGCAGGATGTATTTAGGTTATGTGCACATACTACACCATTTTCTGTCAGCCTTGAGCATTGCGGAGGGTGGTGTACCTCCTGGAACCAATTCCCCTCAGATATTGAGGGATGACTGTATTCGTTCTAACTTTACAAACTACCTTCAGCTGTAGAAAGAGAACACTCACCTTTGAGAATGAGTTAATTAAAATGTAAAATGTTTTAGGATATCAATTTATTAAATGTTTCAATATTTTTAAATTTTTATTTCCTGAGTATTTTGAGTCTTGTTAGTCTTTTTTCCTTAGTTTTGAGGTTTTTTTTCAAAGATAGATATAATAAAGCCAATGAAGTTCTTCTGTTACATTTTAGAAAAGAAAGATGATTTCGACTGGGGAAAATACTTGATGGAAGATGAAGAAATGGACATTGGTCCGTACATGGACACACCAGTAAGTGGTAGTAGTTTTGCTATTGAAAATTGAAATACACGCCAGGTGATATAGATGATTTTCATGGGTCTTTCCACCCTAGGTCAACTTAGCTAAAACAGGAACACTCTTCACTAAGCTAGAGTCATTTATTATGGAAGACTGATTAGGATTTCGCACCAAATCATTAGTGGTAAGAAGTTAAAAGGGGCCGGGCATGGTGGCTCACATCTGTAATCTCCTGCTCACTTTCGAGAGGCAGGAGGATTGCTTGAGCCTAGGAATTTGAGACCAGCCTGGGCAACATAGCGAGATCCTGTGTCTATTTTTAAAAAATAAATTCTAAAAAAGTTGTCTGGGCTTGGTGGCTCACAACTGTAATCCCAGCATTGTGGGAGGCTGAGGTAGGCGGATCACTTGAGGCCAGAGGAGTTCGAGAGCAGCCTGGGCAACATAGTGAAACCCCGTCAACTAAGAATACAAAAAATTAGCTGGGTGTGGTGGTACACGCCTGTAATCCCAGCTACTCAGGAGGCTCAGGCACGAGAATCTCTTGAACACAGGAGGTGGAGGTTGCAATGAGCTGAGATCGTGCTATTGCACTCCAACCTGGATGACAAAGCGAGAGACTCTGTCTCAAAAAAAAAAAAAGAAGTTAAAAGGGGTGAGTACAAGTATCCCTTAAGGACCTGTGATCTTGGGACTTTTTGCCACAAAAAATAATTCCATTCCTTATTATTTCAACATTATAGAAAAAAAGAAAAAGTAGTAATCATATTTCCATTCCTATAATAGGCACTTCCAAGAGATTTAGGAAAAAAAAATTTGTTTTTCTGTTCCATGTTGCTTCAAAGTTTTTGCTTTTCTTCAAAGTTTTCTTAGTCTTTTAATGTAAATAGCTTTAAGTGTTATACTCTGTAAAGCTAAAGTGTATCTCTTTTTTAAATCAGAATTGGTCTGAAGAAAGTGAAGAGGAAAATGATCAACAGCCCTTAAGCAGAGAGGACTCTGGAATTCAGGTAGACAGGACACCGTTAGAAGAACAAGATCAAAACAGAAAACTGGATCCTTGTATCAGTTGGAAAGGTATTATGTGTTATGAGGTGCTCGCATTTTCTAATAGACAAATTCCCTAGAAGGAAAGGCAAACTTTGAGATCAGTTCCATGTAATCAAGGTATTGGCTAAGCTCTACCATCCTTATAAAACCAATTTTTAAAACCATTAGTAATGTTTTCTATGATGCTTAAGTAGTAGTACTATAGAATTAATGTTGAATTCATACATGTAGAGTGTAATTTTGTAATTTTTTTCCTATACTTCTGAGAACTTTCTCAGCTGTAAATGTTTCCTTTTTTTTTTTTTTTTTTTTTTTATTGGAGAAGGACTGATTTTGCTAAGATTGTGCCACTGCACTCCAGCTCTGGCAACAGAGCGAGACCCTGTCTCAAAAAAAAATTAAAATAAAAAAGTATAAGGGAGGATATGCATAGGTTATATGCAAATACTATGCCATTTTATATCAGGGACTTGAGCACCTGCAGATTTTGGCGTCTGCAGCATTCCTGCAACCAGTCCCCATTGGATACTGAGGGACAGCTGCATTTATTCCGGACTTTCTAATCTGTGCACTTGGTGTCAGTGTGACCCAGAAACAGACAGACTTTTTTATTTGTGTGGCTTTGTAGTATTATGTCTTAATACATAGATGGCAAGTTTCCTTTCAGCTACTTGGGAGGCTGAGGCAGGAAAATCACTTGGCTCCTTTTCTTTTTTTTTGGAGACAAGGGTCTCACTCTGTTTCCCAGGCTAGAGTGCAGTGGCACAATCTTAGCTCACTGCAACCTCTGCCTCCTGGCCTCAAGCGATCCTCCCACCTCAGCCTCCTGAGTAGCTGGAACTACAGGTGAGTGCCACCATACCCAGTTAATTTTTGTATTTTTTGTAGACACAGGGTTTCACCATGTTGCCCAGGCTAGTCTCAAATTCCTAGACTCAAGCAATTACTCCGCCTCTGCGTCCCAAAGTGCTGGGATTACAGATGTGAGCCACCATGCCCAGCCCACTTTGCTCTTCCCCCCCACCCCTTTTTTTTGAGACGGAGTCTCACTCTGTCGCCCAGGCTATGGTACAGTAGCATGATCTCACCTCACTGCAAACTCCATCTCCCAGGTTCAAACAATTCTCCTGCCTCAGTTTCCCGAGTAGCTGGGGTTACAGGCGTGTACCACACTCAGCTAATTTTTGTATTTTTAGTAGAGACAGGGTTTCACCATGTTGGCCAGGCTGGTCTCAAATTCCTGACCTCAACTCGTCCACCTGCCTCTGCCTCCCAACGTGCGGGGATTACAGATGTGAATCACTGCTCTTTTTCAAAATTGGCTTAGCTATTTGTGAACTTTTATTCTTCTATAGACATTTTGGAAGCAGGGTGGTAAACTTTAAAGAAAAAAAAGGCCAGGTGCAGTGGCTTACGCCTGTAATCGCAGCACTTTGGGAGGCCGAGCTGGGTGGATCACTTGAGGTCAGGAGTTCAAGACCAGCCTGACCAACATGGTGAAACCCCACGTCTACTAAAAATACAAAATTAGCTGGGCATAGTGGCGCATGCCTGTAATCCCAGCTACCTGGGAGGCTGAAGCAGAAGAATCGCTTGAACCCAGCAGGTAGAGGTTGCAGAGAGCCAAGATCACACCATTGCACTCCAGCCTGGGCAACAAGAGCAAAACTTTATCTCAAAAAAAATAAATAAATAAAAAATAATCCAGCTGGAGTTTTTATTGGGATTGCAGAGAATTTATAGATCTAATTTGGGGAGGCTTGATTGCCTTAACATAATAATAGCTACATTTATCGTAATTTTTTATCTTTTACTAGAGTTTGGAAATTTTTTTTAAACATCTCGAGTGTTCATTTGTTAATTTCTACATATGTTATAGTTTTTATTTTTGTGAATGTTGCCTCTTTTGTTTATTCCTGATGTAGAAGAAATAATATTGCTTTCTGTAAGTTGTCCGTATATGCAGCATTTTTACTGAATTCTCATAATAGTTTGTTGATTCATTTGGTTTCTTATATAGATGATTAGTATCATCTGCGAATATTGATGGTTTTATTCTTCCTGCTAGTTCTTATGCCTGTATCTTCTCTGTGACATGATCAAATCTCTTTTCTGGCCCAGCAGCCCAACCCTCTAGTCCGTAGCAGAAGCAACAGCTCATGGGAGTGGGCTTCCTGGATGACTAGGTCTCATCCTAAGGGGGGTTATACCTGAAACTCCTCCGTTAAGTGTGATGGTTGTTTGGTATCAGTTCAGGGTATGTGGCCTTTATCAAATTAAGACAATTTCCTTCTATTACTTTTTTTTTCTAGAAGTCTTTAATTATGAATAAATGTTGAATTTTTATTAAATGCTACTATTTATCCGTGAGATAATCTCATAACTTTTCTCTTTTATCCTAATAATGCATCAATAGATTTTCTGATGTTGAATTATCCTTGAATTCTTCACCTAAACTTGCTTGATCATGTTATTTTTTAGTACATTTTTAGATCGGATTCAATTTTGGATTTGCTTTTTTTTTTTTTTTTTTTAAGACCGGGTCCTGCTCTGTCACCCAGGCTGGAGTGCAGTAGCGTGATCACAGCTCACTCCAGCCTCAACCTCCTGGGCTCAAAGTATCCTCCCACCTCAGCCTCCTAAGAAGCTGGGGCTTCCAGTGCATGCCACCACACCCAGCTAAGTTTGTTACTTTTTTGTAGAGATGAGGTCTCACTATGTTTGAGACCAGCCCAGGCTGGGATTGCAGGTGTGAGCCACCGAGCCCAACAGGTTAGCTCTTTTTTAATGTAGGATTTTTCATCTTTATTCTTTGATGAATTACATGTATCCTGTCTTTGTCTAGTTTAAAGCATCACTGTTACATTAGCCTCATAAAATGTTAGGTGGCTTTCTCTTTTTCTGCTTTTTCAAACAACTTGTATAAGATAGAGGTTATCTAATCCTTCAAAATTTAGCACCAGTCCTGAGACTTCCGTAGTGGTTGGGAAGGTCTTCAGTTACCATTTCAGTTTCCTTAATGGTTACTGGACAATTAACATATACCATTTATATCTTTTTATGTATGTGGCAATTTTTTTTTTTTTTACTTTCTAGTCAGTTACATTTAATTAAATTTAGTATGCATTTCTATATGTGTGGTTTTATTTTATTTTACTTTGTTTTTTGAGATAGGGTCTTACTGTGTCACCCAGGCTGGAGCGTAGTGGCATGATCTCAGATCACTGCAGCCTCAACCTCTTGGCTCAACCAGTCCCCTCTCGTGTCAGCCTCCCGAGAACAAGCACATGCCACCACCCCTGGCTAATTTTTTTGTATTTTTTGTGGAGATGGGGGGTCATACTTTGTTGCCCAGGCTGGTCTTGAACTCCTGGATTCAAGTGGTCATCCCACCCTGGCTTCCCAAAGGGCTGGGATTATATGTGTGAGCCATAGAACCCAGCAGATATATGTGGTTTAAAATAATCATATATACATAAATGTTAGGTAGCTGTTATTTTTAAAAAGCCATTTTCAACTATACGTTTGAATGGAGCTGTAAGTCCAGGTATTGTGACCCAGTATTTTGTTGTTGTTAACTCAAACTGATTACATTTCTTTCAAGCAGATGAGCCAGATGACCGAAGCTGGCTGGAACATCATGTGGTCCATCAGTACTGGACAGCCAGGCCCTCCCATTTTCCTCATAGTTTACATTTGCACTCTAATTTAGCTGCTGTCTGGTAAGAAGCTAAAGTTTTCATTTAATATGATGATAGAAGAAACTTTGATGTTTAAACGTTTGGCTTTGATTTGTGACTTAAGTTCTTCCCTGAAATTTAAACTTGTTTTTGTTTTGACAATTCTTTTTTTTTTGGAGACAGATTCTCACTCTTCGTTGCCCAGACTGCAGTGCAGTGGTCAGATCTCAGCTCACTGCAGTCTAGACCTCACTCAACTAATTTTTTATTTTTTATTTTATTTTACTTTTTTTTGCAGGGGGAGACAAAGTCTCGCTCTGTCACCCTGGCTGGAGTGCAGTGGCGTAACCATGGCTCACTGTAACATCTGCCTCCCGGGTTCCAGCAATTGTCGTCCTTCAGCCTCCCAAGTAGCTGAGATTATAGGTGCACGCCACCATGCCCAGCTAATTTTTATATTTTTAGCGGAGATGGGGTTTTACCATGTTGGCCAGGCTGGTCTTGAACTCCTGTCCTCAAGTGATCCACCTGCCTCGGCCTCCCAAAGTGCTGGAATTACAGGCGTGAGCCAGCACACCTGGCTGGTGTTGAAAATTTTAGTTGAATAGTTTTTAATTATTTGTTATTGAAAATCATTAAATTATAGTATTATTTAATTATAGTCTCTGTTTCCATTTTTTGTTGTTAATTTCAGTGTAAATGGATTGGTATATATTAGGGCATTATTTGATTTCTGTTTTGGTATACTTACTGCAAAAATACACATCTTGTTTTCCAGAAAACAACATTACATAGTTGTAAACATTTGCCTAAATCAGCAATAAACGTAACAATTGTAATTGTTCTGAAAGTGTTTCTCAGAGTATTCTGATTGACATGAAAATATAGGGGGCATTTAAGCCATTTATTATGTATACTTGTTAGTTGATTGCTACTTAAGTTAGCACTAAATTGCAGATATTCTTTGAGATAAGTTATTTACTTACTTAGAAACCTTTCTATTGACATTTATGTTTGCTGTCTCATAGGGACCAACACTTGTACAGCAGTGATCCATTGTATGTTCCAGATGACAGGGTTTTGGTTACTGAGACTCAGGTTATTCGGGAAACCCTATGGTAAGAAATGTTCATTTAATTAATAGTCTTTATGAGACTTGATTACTGAGAAGCAAAAACTTTTATTAAAGGAAACTTTTCAAGCATTTTCACATGCAAACTAGAAAAGGTCCATTAGGTGTGAAGTTCGGACCAGATTTGACTGTGGAGATTGAGAGAGTTTGATATAATTACTTCATTTTCATTTTAAATAATTTAGCATATGATTTACTTAGGTTAGCCCATCTCTTCTTTAACACCTGAGTTCAAAGCAAGATTTGCTACTGATTTTTTTTTTTTTTTTTTGAGACGGAGTCTCACTCTGTTGCTCAGGCTGGAGTGCAGTAGCTCTATCTCAGCTCACTGCAAGCTTCACCTCCTGGGTTCACGCCATTCTCCTGCCTCAGCCTCCCGAGTAGCTGGGACTACAGGAACCCACCACCCAAGCCCGGCTAATTTTTACTTTTTTAGTAGAGACGGGGTTTCACCATGTTAGCCAGGATGGTCTAGATCTCCTGACCTCATGATCCACCCACCTTGGCCTCCCAAAGTGCTGGGATTACAGGCGTGAGCCACCGCGCCGGTAGCTACTGACTATTCTTAATAGGTGGAGTATATCAATGAGGGCCTGTGCCCGTACCTGGAAGCCAGGAATCTAATGCGGCACATGGTGCTGTTACTACTGAAATTCCAAGTCCTGGTGCTCTCACCATAAAGTATGATATTGACATGCTCGCATTCTTAGAAATAGGAAGATCTCTTTGGGTCGTCAAGTATATAGGGGAGATGCTTTGACAACATGTTTTAGACTTCTCTAAGATGATATTGAAATATCTTGAGTCTTAGGGTAATCAGATGAAAAGATTGATGTCTTCCATTTTCTTATTATCTGACCTTTTTGCCCCTAATTCTGAATATTTAATAAAAATTTCCTGAGGTGGGGCATGGTGGTTCACACCTGTAATCCCAGCGCTGTGGGAGGCCAAGGCAGGTGGATCACTTGAGCTCAGGAGTTCGAGACCAGCCTGGGCAACATGGTGAAACCCCGTATCTACAAAAAATGCAAAAATTAGCCAGGCATGGTGACATGCACCTGTAGTCCCAACTGCTGGAGAGGCTGAGGCTGCAGAATCACTTGAACCCAGGAGGTTGTGGCTCCAGTGAGCTGTGATCATGCTGCTGCACTCCAGCCTGGGTGGGTGACAAAGTGAGTCCCTGTCAAAAAAAAAAAAAATGTCCTGGGCATACTGTCATGAATATTTTTCTAGACTTAAAGTACACTCGTCTTTTTTTAATCTCATTTCAGGTTACTTTCAGGAGTGAAAAAGCTCTTTATATTTCAGTTGATAGATGGGAAGGTAACTGTGAGAAACAATATTATAGTAACTCATTTAACACATGTAAGTTATTTGTATTTATGGTAATTTAAGAAATAGGATTTATGTAAACTAGTAATATAATTTTAGAACATTTTACAATATTAAAATTGCTATTGAACTCGTTCTTGCTTCCTCACATGCAAAAAAAAGCTAACTTAAAAATATTTAATATCCAAAAAGAAAAATTGAGTTGTGCATCTTTATAGTACGTAGAGGATTCCTTAATATTGTTTGGAACATATTTAATTTCAATTTGCATTTTCTGCTTTTTATTTGTCATTCTGTATTGTGAAAGTTATATACTGTAATTTTGTTTTGCTTTAAGTACATTTACTTATGTATGTTTTTAAAAATATAAGCCATAATTCTCTAGTCTGTTGAAATTATTGTTCACTTTTTCCTTTGTGTATAAAATTATAAATATTAATCATATTATTACTTTGTCTTCTACTAAACATACTGTTTAAAACAATTGCAAAAGAAGTATTTTACAGCGAGAGGGAAATGAATTTGAATGTTTACAGAAGACCACCTTTGAATAATTGCAGTTTGCTTGTGTTGTAGAGCTGTTTACGATCTGTGCTGGAACAAATAGCAGCATATGGCCAGGTTGTGTTTCGACTCCAGGAGTTCATTGATGAAGTCATGGGACACAGTTCTGAGAGCATGCTGCCTGGAAGTGGGTCTGTTCCTAAGAAGTCAACTGAAGCTCCCTTTAGAACCTACCAGGCTTTCATGTGGGCCCTGTACAAATATTTCATTAGTTTCAAAGAGGAACTTGCAGAAATTGAGAAGTGCATCATCAATAATGGTATTAAATGTTCTTCATCTTTACTCATACTACACGTAACTCATAATTTGAATGCCACTTAGAGTTTTTATTATATAAGATTTGAAAGTTGCCTAGCAGATAAGTAGTTCTCGTGAATGCTTCTTTTAAAATTATTTTAAATTTATATTTTTAAGCCATTCATATCTCTAAAAATCAAAAAACTACAGAAGATTTAGAATGAAAAATCTAAATTATTCTTCCTGCACCAGTACCCCAGCCAGTCAGTTCTCCTCTCCAGAGACAGCCAGGTCCTTGGCTTCTTACGCATCCTTCCAGAAAGAGTTTCAACATACATGAGCAGTGCATATACATATACGCATACCTAGCAGTCATTACACTGCTCTCTTCAAATTTTTCCAGTTTAAATTTTGAGGATAATACCATACATATATGAAGAGCTTCTGTTTTCCTTTTTACAAATTGAGTGTTTCATCATATGGTCGTGTCATAGCCCAGTCCCCTTAATGGATTTAGGTTGTTCCCAGGCTTTTGCTATTGCCAGTAGTGCTGCAGTGATAATCACTTCTACATATCCGTTATCGTACACAGGCAGTGAGTTATCTGTAGGGTAGGTTCTTTTTTTTTTTTTTCATTTGAGACGGAGTCTCGCTCTGTTACCTAGGCTGGAGTGCAGTGGCTCAATCTCTGCTTACTGCAAGCTCCGCCTCCCGGGTTCACGCCATCCTCCTGCCTCAGCCTCCCGAGTAACTGATTACAGGCACCTGCCACCATCCCCAGCTAATTTTTGTATTTTCAATAGAGACAGGCTTTCACCATGTTGACCACCTTGGCCTCCCAAAATGCTGGGATTACAGGCATAAGCTGGGATTATACTGCATCTGACCATGTGGGGTAGGTTCTTATAAATGGAATTGCTGGGTCATGTGTGATTTTCCTAAGTTTTGCCACTTTATGGGGAGGTATAGGTAAATACATTTTTACTGTTGTGAACCAAGTAGATGAATACCTGTTTCCTCACACTTCTTGCCATCTGTGTGTTACCAGACGTTTTGGTCTTCACCAGTATGACAGCTGTAAAATGGTAACCCATGTAGCTTTTTTCCCCTTAAATTTCATTTTGAACTACCACAAAAAATAGTACAGAGAGGCCCTGTGTTCCCATGACCTTGCTTCCCCCAGTGGTAAAACCTTACATAGTGACAGTACATGGTCAAAACTGGGAAACTGACATTGACCCAGCACATTAGCCAAACTGCAGACCTGACATGGTTTCACCAGTGTCGCAGGAACTTGCTTTGAACAGGGGTGGGTGTGGTATATTCATGTATAGTTTATCACATGTCTAGCTCCACATAGCCACTTCCATGTTCAGATCACAGCTGTGCCATCGCCTCCCAGGAGCTTGCTCGTGCAGCCCTTTGTAGGCACAGCCTCCCTCACCCCTCTCTGTAACATTAGCCCATTGGGAGGTGTTTTGTTTTACCTAGTGTAATTTTAATTTGCGTTCTTTTATTATAAGTAAGGTCAAGTGACTTTCTGTATGTTTTAGAATCACTCATCATTCCTTTTTTATGAACTGTCAGTTCCTTTATACATTATTTTTCTGCTGAGTTGTCTTTTTCTCTGTGACTTGCAGGAGTTCTTCCTTAGGGAAATTAGGTCCTTGTGGCATGAGATTAAAATCTACCGTCCTCCATTTTGCCCTGCCTGTCCATAAGCCTGATGATTTGCCAGCATTTATGTCACATTTTAGATGCATGTATTTTTCCTTGCTGTTGAGTTTGATTTATTGATATTTGCAGATACTACAATAACTCTTGCAATAGTGGTGGACAAGTTGGCACCTCGATTGTCTCAGCTCAAGGTTCTGCACAAAGTGTTTAGTACTGGAGTAGCAGAAGTTCCACCTGATACTCGAAATGTCGTCCGGGCCTCTCACCTGCTTAACACCCTGTACAAGGCCATTCTTGAATATGACAATGTTGGAGAAGCCTCTGAGCAAACCGTAAGTGAGACTTCTGCCTAAAGTGTGTGACTCCATGCTGCACAGTAGAGGAGTGATAGACAGCTGATGGTAGTTCTTTGTTGATACTTGAATGATGACTCGTCAGACAGTTCAGAGTTTTTAAATTAACTTCCAAATTTAAGGCTGTAGGAAACTGGCTTTTCAGCTCTAATTGCCAAGATCCTCAGAAGGATGAGGCAAGGACAAGGCAAGCTGTGAGAAGTACCTACCTGATGTGTATAGATATTTACAATAACGCTTTCTTACATAAACACTAACATGTAACTAACATGACATGAGATAGCTGAAGTAGACACATCCACAGAAACAAAGTGGAATGCTGGTTACCAAGGGCTGGGGAATGGGGAGCTGTTGTTTAATGGGTACAGAGTTTCAGTTTTATAACATGAAAAAGTTCTGGAGATTTGTCACAACGATATGAATGTACTTAAAACCTCTGAACTTAAAAATGCTGAGGGTCAGGCACAGTGGCTCGTGCCTGTAATCCCAACACTTTGGGAGGCCGAGGCAGGAGGATTGATTGAGCCCAGGAGTTTGAGACTTGCCTGGGCAACATAGTAAGACTCTGTCTTTAAAAAATTAGTTAAATTAAAATTTTTAAAAATATACAGTTAAGATAAATTTTATGTTATATATTTTATATTGTATTTTAAAAAATACAAATCTAGGCCATGCATAGTGGCTCACGCCTGTAGTCCCAGCTACATATGAGTCTGAGGTGAGAGGATCACTTGAGCCCAGGAATTTGAGACCAGCCCGGGCAACATACTGAGACCCTGTCTCTACAAAAAATTTTTAAAGTAGCCAGGTGTGCTGACACCAGGAATTCGAGACCAGCCTGGCCAACATGGTGAAACCCCGTCTTTACTAAAAATACAAACATTAGCCTAGTGTGGTGGCGAACACCTGTCATCCCAGCTACTCAGGAGGCTGAGGCAGGAGAATTGCTTGAACCCGGGAGGATGCAGTGAGCCGAGATCACACCACTACACTCCAGCCTGGGCAACAGAGCAAGACTCTGTCTCAAAAAAGGTAGCCAGCTCTGGAGGCACATGCCTATGGTCCCAGGTGCTCGAGAGGCTAAGGCAGGAAGATGGCTTGAGTGTGGAAGGTCAAGGCTGCAGTGAGCCATGTTTGTGCCACTGCACTCCAGCTTGGGTAACAGAGCAAGACCCTGTCTCAAACAATATATAGATTTAAAAATAAAAATCTAACTAGAGGCTGTAATTTAGAATGCTACAGTCTTAGTTGGGTATGTACATTAGGTGTATTTTCTAGTTTGTTGGTATAACTTTTTTTCACACCAATTTAATACCATATTTCTTTTTTTCTTTTTCTTTTTTTTTTTTTTTGAGACGTAGTCTTGCTCTGTTGCCAGGCTGGAGTGCAGTCGCACGATCTTGGCTCACTGCAACCTCCACCTCCCAGGTTCAAGCGATTCTTCTGCCTCAGCCCCCTGAGTAGCTGGGACTACAGGCGCACATCACCATGCCCGGCTAATTTTTTGCGGTTTTTTTTTGTTTTTTGTTTGAGATGGAGTCTTGCCCTGTCGCCCAGGCTGGAGTGCAGTGTCATGATCTTGGCTCACTGCAACCTCTGCCTCCTGGGTTCAAACTATTCTCCTGCCTTAGCCTCCTGAGTACCTGGGATTACAGGCGCCCACCACCATGCCCATCTAATTTTTGTATTTTTAATAGAGATGGGGTTTCACCATGTTGGCCAGGCTGGTCTCGAGCTCCTGACCTCCTGATCCGCCTACCTCGGCCTTCCAAAGTGCTGGGATTACAGGCATGAGCCACCACACCCAGCTGTATTTTTTTTTTAATAGAGATGGGGTTTCACCATATTGGCCAGGCTGGTCTCAAACTCCTGCCCTTGTGATCTGCCCACCTCAGCCTCCCAAAGTGCTGGGGTTACAGGCGTGAGCCACCATGCCCAGCCAATTTCCTCATTCTTAATGGATGCTTTGCTAGTAATAGGATTTAGATAGGGAAACCTTGTTCGCTTGCCTGGGCTATCTCAGGATACACCTGCTGCCTCTGTGTCACTTTCACTCTCAAGTTTCCCAGTCTGGACTACAAACAATATGATCATCCCATATTTAGGTGAGTTTTTCTTTTTTCTTTTTTTTTTCTTTTTGTTTTGAGACAGTGTCACTCTGTTGCCAGGCTGGAGTGTAGTGGCACGATCTTGGCTCATTGCAGCCTCCACCTGCCAGATTCAAGCAATTCTCCTCCCTCAGCCTCCCAAGTAGCCAGGACTACAGGCGCGTGTCACCATGCCCAGCTAATTTTTGTATTTTTAGTAGAGAGGGGGTTTCACCATGTTGGCCAGGATGGTCTCGATTTCTTACCTCAGGTGATCCGCCCACCTCGGTCTCCCAAAGTGCTGGGATCACAGGCGTGAGCCACCACGCCCGGCATTTAGGTGAGTTTTTCATAAGGATTTTATAGTGTATGTTTTTGGATTTTTAATTTCTTTGTGCCCCAAAAAACATAGAAATCCGATCACTTTTTTAAAGGCATTTCAGAAATGTTTAAACCTCCTTTTATCCTAGTGACCAGGGAACCCTGAGAGCTGACCGTGCACACTCTCTGCCTCAGGTCTCCCTCCTTTTCTCTCTCTGGGTGGAAACGGTGCGGCCTTACCTGCAGACGGTGGACGAGTGGATCGTGCACGGGCACCTGTGGGATGGCGCCAGGGAGTTCATCATCCAGAGGTGAGCTGCAGCAGAGCACAAGGTCACTGGGGGCTGGCATCACCAGTTTCCTCCCCATGAAAATCAAATGCTTTCGTTAGTTTCAGACAGTACTGAGAAAGCACAGTTCACATCACAGAACTTGTCGTCATCATAGGCAAGTTCTATTTCATTTTTACGGAAGGCATCAGTAATACCAGCTGATTAGAAATATCTTTGTCCAAGTTTTGTCAGTCCGCAACTTTTCTTAAGCAAATTATATTTTTGGATGGTAGTATATTTATGGCTAGCTAGTACACACTGCTTCCCATAAAATGAGTTTAGATGATATCATATGGTTTCAGCTATTTCCATTGTAAATTATCAGTAAAGAGATACAGAAATATTACAGAGTATGCCTCTAATATATTTATTTCTCTGAATTATCTACTGATTTCTTTTACCTTAGTATATTTTACAAAACAAGGAAAATCTTAATCCATTTATGACAATTTCCCTTCAGTTAATTGATTTTTCTGAATAGAATCATATAAACAATGTAGAGCTATTTGTACTCTTTTAGCCCAATTTTAAATTATGCGGTATATTTAGATATATGGTTTCTATTGATAGCTATCCATTGAGCTCATCAGGAAGGATAACTTTAAGTCTTTAGTGTTCTGGAAGGGTAGCAATATGTATGCAATGCTCACATAAGTGAACTGACCCTTCCTTCAACTCAATCTCATATCTGTCACTGTGTTCTGATTCATCAATCTCACATGAGAATTTTTGTGAAAAATAGGACTCTGACTGTTCTTCTAGGGTGATGATTGACCATCATTTTATTGTTAAAAGTAGTCCAGTTAAGAATCTTTGTAGGGAAAATGATAGAGAAGTCTGCAAATTAGTTTCACAGCAGATGGTAAATGGATAAACTTTTATTCTTCTTCTAAAGAGGACCAAATTAGTCATATTTTAAATAATTCCAATTCAGGAAACTATTTCTACTTAAATTTTACTTACACTATTCAAAGTATTTATTCACTTTTCTCTTTAAACTGAGATGAGATTAAAACTGTCCCATTTTGCCTAAAGTTTGCTTCAGTTTACTAATAATTAATACTATGTTTTATAATGTCTGGACAACAAACTAGAACAAGTATGCTGTTTTTAAGAAAGAGAAATAAGAGTTTAAAATTCTTTTGAATCTCTTTAGAAACAAAAATGTTCCAGTTAATCACAGAGACTTCTGGTATGCAACTTACACGTTATATAGCGTATCAGAAAAGACAGAAAATGAAGAAAAAATGAGTGATAACGCTAGTGCGAGTTCCGGCAGTGACCAGGGGCCCTCCAGCAGGCAGCACACCATGGTGTCCTTCCTCAAACCTGTCCTGAAGCAGATCATAATGGCTGGCAAGTCGATGCAGCTGCTGAAGAACCTGCAGTGTGCGGAGAGCACCACCTGCCAGGCAGGAGCCAGAGGTACTTGTTCCGTCTTCCTGTGTCTCTCTTGGTGTTGGGACACCTGACCCTACTCGCTCTTGTCATCCTGATACCTAATTATTTTGTAGTTTGCAAGTCATCAAACCCTCTTATTTCGGTGGCAATTATCGTCATGGTTGAATTAGTAACCATGCTGCTCTTGATTTTTTAAAAGATTGTCTTCATTGAAAACTTTTAGTGCTGTGTTTGAAAAGGCAGTGACGATAAGTTCCACATGCATTTTCCTCACTCTGGATTCCTTAGGACTGGAACTTTAAAAAGTAATCCCCTGCCATTTCTTTTCTTTTATTATTTTTATAAATTGACATAATAATTGTACATATTCATGGGGTACATAGTGATGTTTTGATACATATATAGTGATCAGATCAGGATAATTAGCACTTCCATCATCTCAAACATTTACTACTTCTTTATGTTGGGGACATTCAGTATCCTCTTCTTTGCTATGTGCAACTCTATAATACATTATTAACTATAGTCATCCCATAGTGATACAGAGCACTAGAACTTATTCCTTCCAGCTAGCTATTTGTATCCTTTAACAAATATCTTCCTCTTTCTCCCTTCCCCCTACAAAATCCAGCATCTGGTATCCTGTTCTACTTTTTACTAATACGAGATCGACATTTTTTAGCTACCAGATGAGTGAGAACATGCAGTGTTTAACTTTCTGTTCCTGGCTTATTTCACTTAATGTCCACCATTTCCATCAGTGTTGCTGCAAACAACAGGATTCACTCTTTTATCTTCAAGATATATACATATATATATATATATATATATATATATCTCACAATTTTTTTACCCATTCATCTGTTGTTGGGCACCTAGGTTGATTCCATGTCTTGGCTGTGTGAATAGTGCTGCAGTAAACATGGGGGTGCGGATGTCTCTTTGATATCCTGATTTCCTTTCCTTTGGATAAATGCCCACCAGTGAGATTGCTATATCATATAGTAGTTCTATTTGTAGTTTTTTGAGGAACCGCCAAACTGTTCTCCATGGTGTCTGTACTAGTTTATGTTCCCACCAACATTGTGTAAGAGTTTCCTTTTCTCCACATCCTCACCAGCATTTATTTTTTGTCTTTGTGATAAATAACCATCCTGACTGGGGTGAAATGATACCTCATTGTGGTTTTGATTTGCATTTTCCCTAATAATTAGTGATGCTGAGCATTTTTTCATCTATTTCTTGGCCATTTGTATTACTTCTTTGGAGAAATGTCTGTTCAGATCATTTGCCTTTTTTTTTTTTTTTTTTCCTGAGACAGAGTTTTACTCCCATCACCCAGGCTGGAGTGCAGTGGTGCAATCTGGGCTCACTGCAAGCTCTGCCTCCCTGGCTCAAGTGATTCTCCTGCTTCAGCCTCCTGAGCAGCTGGGATTATAGGCACCCGCCACCACACCCGGCTGATTTTTTGTGTTTTTAGTAGAGACGAGGTTTCACCATGTTGGCCAGGCTGATCTCGAACTCCTGACCTCAAGTGATCTGCCCGCCTTGGCCTCCCAGAGTGCTGGGATTACAGGCGTGAGCCACCGTGCCTGGCCTCATTCATTGAATTCTTTCACTGTAAAATTTGTTTGTTAAACATCTGTTTCTGTTGAATTTCTCATTCAAATCATTCTTTTCCTGATTTTGTTGAGTGTTTATTTGTACTGTCTTGTATCTCACCGAGTTCTCTTGTATCTCACCGAGTTTCCTTAAGATTTTAATTCTGAATTATTTTTCCGGCATTTCCTATATCATTGTAGTCTCTTGCTAGAGAATTATTGGTTTTCTTGGGAGGTGTCATGTTTCTTTGCTTTTTCATGTTTGATGTATTTCTACATTGATTTCTACACATCTGGTGGGAAAGTCACCTTTTCCAATTTTATGGAGTACGTTTTGTAAAGAGTTATTCATATGAATGGGTCTTGGAGTGTGGGTTCAGTGGGATGCATTCACCTTGGTTCTGGACAAATGCAGTAGTATAGTCTCCATGTACTTTCTTCAGTTGTAATCCACTTTAGTGATGTTTGCAAGTGCCTCAGTGGCCTACAGTGAGGGGGTTTGTGGCAACAGTGGCACAGTTGGCTGGGCGTGGTGGTTCACGCCTGTAATCCCAGCACTTTCTTTTTTGAGACAGTCTTGCTCTATTACCTAGGCTGGAGTGCAGTGGCATGATCTCGGCTCA
Source organism: Homo sapiens (assembly GCF_000001405.40). Classification (NCBI taxonomy): domain Eukaryota; kingdom Metazoa; phylum Chordata; class Mammalia; order Primates; family Hominidae; genus Homo; species Homo sapiens. The sequence continues at coordinate 112,589 of NT_187603.1, read as the reverse complement.
CTGCAAACTCTGCCTCCTGGGTTCAAGTCATTCTCTTGCCTCAGTCTCTCAAGTAGATGGGATTACAGGCATGTGCCACCACGCCTGGCTAATTTTTGTATTTTTAGTAGCGATCGGGTTTTACCATGTTGGTGAGGCTGATCTCAAACTCCTAGCCTCAAGCAATCCACCCGCCTCGGCCTCCCAAAGTATTGGGATTGCAGGCGTGAGCCATCACGCCCAGCCAATCCCAGCACTTTCGGAGGCCAAGGCAGGTGGATTACTTGAGGCCAGGAGTTTGAGACCAGCCTGGCCAACATGGTGAAACCCTGTCTCTACCCAAAATATAAAAATTAGCTAGATGTGGTGGCGCATGCCTATAATCCCAGCTGCTTGGGAGGCTGAGGCACAAGAATCACTGGAACCCGGAAGGCGGAGGTTTGCAGTGAGCCAAGATTATACCACTGTACTCCAACCTGGGCAACAAAGCAAGACTCTGTCCCAAAACAAAAAACAAACAGTAGCACAGCTTTGCTGGGATGGGCTTGCTGGACTGTTTCTCAGATTAGGGGTACATGCATGTACACAGTGGTTTGGCCAAGGTGGGGTCTGGCTCAGGGTTTGGGACCACAGGCTGTTACTCTGGCCAGGAACATGAGCATGTGGTTGCTTGGCCAGCCTATAGGTTTATTTGCCTGCCAGCAATGGCCCAAGGGGCTGTTTCTCAGGCCTAGGATGTAGGCACAAAACTGGTTTTCTGGCCAGGGGCTCCATGAGAACAGCCCTCAGGGTCATTTCTCAAGCCTTGGACATGAGCACAGGCTTCTTTGCTCGCCTGGGAGTATGTTTGCTGGGGGTGACCTATAAGGCTGTTTCTTAGGCCCAGGATGTGGGTACAAGGCTGCTTTGCTAGCCTGGGTGCATGTCTGCCTGCACAGTTCAAGGGGCTCTTTCTCAGTCCTGGGACATGGTCACATGGCTTGTTGGCCGTCCTAGGTATGTATCTGCCAGTGGCAGCCCATGAGGCTGCTTCTGAGGCCCAGCATGTGGGTGGAAGGCTGCTTGGCTGGCATGAGGGTGTGATTACTGGGGGTGGTCTTCAAGGCTCTTTCTCAGGTTTGGGATATGGGTGCCAGCTGGCTCAGAACATGCCCACCAAGGGCAGACCACAGGGCTGTTTGGCAGGCCCAGTATGCAGGCCTGTGGCCGCTCTGTTGGCCTGTGACTCCCAGGCGCTGCCTATGGGGCTTCTTCTCCAACCAAAGATGCCGTGCAAGGCCGCTCAAGAAGCCTAGGTACATGCCTGCCAGGGCAGCCTCTGAAACTGTTTCTCAGACCCTGAATGCTGGCCCAGGGCCACTGGGTAGGCCACGGGCCTGTCTGCAAGGGGTTGATGCTGTGGGGCTGTTTCTCAGTTCCTGGGCAAAGGTCTGTAACTGCTTCACCAGCCTGGAGGCATGTCAGCTGGTAGGAAGCTCAGGGGTCTGTTCCCACCCTCTAGAGATGGCACAGCAATTTGGCCAGCTCAAAGATGGGTTTGGTCTGTTGGGGCTGCCAGACTGTTCCTCTGTCTGAAAGTGCAGTGGCAGGGGCTGGTTTTTCTGCTGTGCAGGACCAGAATCACCAGTCGATCCTGGGCCCAGGCTCCACATAGCTGGGGTTGTGGTGTTCAGCCATCCCTGTGGCCTTGGTGGAATGAGGATGGAGCCCCAGTGGCTGGGGTGCAGGAGAGGTGCAGCAGCTACTGGCCCAGAGGAGGGCGTGCTCCAGAGGTGGCTCTGGTCTGAAGATGGTGCCATGCTGCAACAGCTTGGCTCAAAGGGGTGGGTGGGGAAGGCACACCTTGTGCCCCTAACCCGGGGCAAGGCAGCTGCGTGAATTCCCAGCAGCTCTCCAAACTGGGCTCAGAGCTCGTGGGAACTGTGGAATCCTCCTGTAGTAATGACTGTAGGTGTTTGTGGGGGCTGGTGGGTTTCTTCTGCTTACCCTTACCCTACAATGGGAAGTCCTTCTTGACTCCAGACCAGCCTGTTCTGCGAAGCTGCAGAGGCTGGAAGCCTCCACACTGCCCTCCTGGGCCTCCAGTCACCAACACTGTGTCACATTCCCCCTCTGCACTCCAGCACTCGCCCTTCAACTCCAGTCGGATCTTTTTTTCTTGAGACGGAGTCTTTCCCTGTCGCCCAGGCTGGAGTGCAGCGGCGCGATCTCGGCTCACTGCGAACTTCGCCTCCTGGGTTCTCTCCTGCCTCAGCCTCCCCAGCAGCTGGGACTACAGGCGCACACCACCGTGCCCGGCTAATTTTTTTGTATTTTTAGTAGAGACGGGGTTTTACCATACTAGCCAGTATGGTCTCGATCCCCTGACCTCATGATCCGCCCGCCTCGGCCTCCTGAAGTGTTGGGATTACAGGTGTGAGTCACCACCCCCAGCCTCCAGTCGGATCTTAACTGTTGATTCGTTGCTTTGGTCCTCTCTTGCTGTTGGGAGAGGAACACCAGACGTCTCCAGGCAGCCACCTTGCTGGCGACTGGAGTGCAGTGGCATGATCTCGGCTCACTGCAACTTCTGCCTCACAGGTTCAAGTGATTTCTCATGCCTCAGCTTCCCAAGTAGCTGGGACTATAGATGTGAGCCACTACGCCCGGCTAATTTTTTGTGTTTTTAGTAGAGATGGGGTTTCACCATGTTGGCCAAGCTGGTCTTGAACTCCTGACCTCAGCTGATCCGCCCGCCTCTTAAAGTGCTGGGATTACAAGCGTGAGCCACCACAACCAGCCCTTCTGGCATTTCTTAATGCAATGCAGCGTTTAGCCCTTGAGGGCCGTGAACCATGGCTGATAAGAATTTCTTATGAGCAGTTCAGACTCGATCATAAATTTCAAGAAAATGATGCAATTTAATATATTCAAAGTTTTATGCTGTAATCCCAGCACTTTGGGAGGCTGAGGCAGGCAGATCACGAGGTCAGGAGATTGATACCATCCTGGTCAACGTGGTAAAACCCCATCTCTACTAAAAATACAAAAATTAGCTGGGCATGGTGGCATGGGCCTGTAATTCCCCACTACTCAGGAGGCTGAGGCAAGATAATCGCTTCAACCAGGGAGTCAGAGATTGCAGTGAGCCGAGATCATGCCACTGCACTCCAGCCTGGTGACAGAGTGAGACTCCATGTCAAAAAAAAAAGTTTTATCAACTGACTAAAAAGGCTTGGAAGATAAAGATGTGACCTTATTTATACATCTCAATCATCTCAATGTTATGTTAATTATATTATTGTATCTACTTGAAATAAGTAGATGCAATACTTATTTTCACTTTGTGGAATATTTCCTTCTTATGTAGTGAGCTTCCCAGGGCCACTGTCAGAAGTGTTTTTTCCAATGAGACTGCGACTCCTATCAGGGTTACCATAGTGTCATGCAGTATTGTAATAAATTTCAAGTGTCCTGATTAGGATCTTACTCTTTTTTTTTTTTTTTTTTTGAGACAGGTTTCACTCCTATTGCCCAAACTGGACTGGAGTGCAGTGGCGTGATCTCAGCGCATTGCAACCTTCACCTGCCAGTGCTCACGCAGTTCTCGTGCCTCAGCCTCCCAAGTAGCTTGGGACCACAGGCACATTCCACTGCACTCAGCTAATTTTTTTGTAGAGCTGAGGTTTCACCATGTTGCCCAGGCTGGTCTCAAACTCCTGAGCTTAAGTGATCCACCCGCCTCAGCCTCCCAAAGTGCTGGGATTACAGGCATGAGCCACTGCACCCGGACATGATATTATTTAATATTTCTTGGGCCAGGCACAGTGGCTCACGCCTGTAATCCCAGCACTTTGGGAGGCCGAGGTGGGTGGATCACTTGAGTCAGGAGTTTGAGACCAGCCTGACCAACATGGTGAAACCCCGTCTGTACTAAAAAACAAATATATAAAATTAGCCGGGCGTGGTGGCACATGCCTGTAATCCCAGCTACTTGGGAGGCTGAGGCAGGAGAATTGTTTGAACCCGGGAGGCGGAGGTTGCAGTGAGCCAAGATGGCGCCATTGCGCTCCAGCCTGGGCAACAAGAGCAAAACTCCATCTCAAAAAATATATATTATTTTGTTACTATATATAAATATATATATTTAATATTTACATATATTTAATATTTATATATAAATATATAGATTTTGTTACTTAATATATTGTTAATGTTAATATGATTAAACAGAATGTTACTTAATATGATTAAACAGAACTTAGTTCACCTTACATATTTCTTTATGTTTCAGATGCAGAAAGAAAAAGTTTATACACTCTCTTTCTGGAATCTGTACAGTCCCGTCTTCGACATGGAGAAGATTCCACTCCACAGGTTCTTACTGAGCAACAGGCAACCAAGGAGAACCTGATGAAGATGCAGTCCATTGCTGAAAGCCATCTTGAACTGGATGATGTTCATGATCCACTGCTTGCCATTAACTTTGCAAGGTGAGACACACCTGCAAGGTTATCAGTAATTGAAATGGCATCATTTGTGCAATGTTTGCTAACTGTTTATTTCTGGCAGGTAGGGCTAAAAACAAAAACTCTTGTAGGCTATCCTTTCTTTTTTCTTTTTCCTTTTTTTTTTTTGTTTGTTTGAGATGGAGCCTCAGTCTGTCACCCAGGCTGGAGTGTAGTGGTGTGATCTTGGCTGACTGCTGCAACCTCTGCCTCCCAGGTTAAGCAATTTTCCTACCTCAGCCTCCCAGCTACCTGGGACTAGAGGCATGTGCCACCATGCCCCGCTAATTTTTGTATTTTTTGTAGAGACGGGGTTTCCTCCTGTTGGCCAGGCTTGCCTCGAACTCCTGACCTCAGGTGATCTGCCCACCTCGGCCTCCCAAAGTGCTGGGATTACAGGTGTGAGCCACCATGCCATGCCTATCCTTTATAACAAGCAGAATACAAGATGTTGTGCTCACCTACTTCAGATGTATAGTTTGTATTCCATGTCGTTTGTGGAAGTCTGCAGACTTGGCCCTGCCACCATGTGGTACAACTTTTGTCTGTGCCCTCGGGCCCCTGGAAATGTCATCATTTACCCAGAAGATGCTGAAACTCTGGGGCATGAGTGGGCCCTGGACACCCATTGAGTCAGGGTCCCCACTGGCATATAATATGTCCTGGGCTTAAGCTGCTTTTAGGCACTTAGTCCATTAGAGTAAGTCATTAATACCCACACAGTTCCCGGTTGTCTAATGGCCAGCATTTGCTGTGTCCAGCCCTAATCACTAGAAAGACCAGCTCTAGTACCTGACCCTAAGTCAGTGGCAACTTCAAGAGACTGGTTCACTCAAAGGATATTTTTGGGAGAAAGATTTTTCTCTTTCTGTAATAGTTGGTAACTTCAAGACTAAAGGTAAAAATGGAACTTCAGGGTTTTGATTTAAGAGAGTTCTGTTGACAGCAGCTCATAAAAAGAAGACTCACATTTTTATCTTGAAGGATGTATTTGGAGCAGAGTGACTTTCACGAGAAGTTTGCTGGTGGTGATGTATGTGTGGATAGATCATCGGAATCTGTGACATGCCAGACTTTTGAATTAACGCTGAGATCCTGCCTCTATCCTCATATTGACAAGCAGTATCTAGATTGCTGTGGAAATCTCATGCAAACTCTAAAAAAAGATTACAGGTAAAAGAGTAATTTAATTTTGGAAGTAGTAAATAGTTGATTGTACTTGAAGAACAGTTGAGATTATTTTAAAACCTATTTCAATTTTTATTAGAGTAGGAAATGGATATACAGTAAACAATTTTCTAAGAGAAATCAATTGACCATCAATATTTTCTTAACTATGTTTTGAAACTTAATTCTTTATTTCTGAGAATCTTTCCCAAAAGAAATACAGAAAAAGCTTGTAGAAAAATTACAAAGTTTGTTATCAGAATGAAAAACACTAAATTACTTAGTGATAGATGACTAGTTTTTTAAACTATGGCATATCCATAAATATGGCATATACATACCCACATATGAACTTTGTAAAGTTCATAAAAATTATGGCAATTAGGCCGAGCACGGTGGCTCACACCTGTAATCCCAGCACTTTGGGAGGCTGAGGCGGGAGGATCACGAGATCAGGAGATCGAGAGCATCCTGGCTAACACGGTGAAACCCCGTCTCTACTAAAAATACAAAAAATTCGCCGGGCGTGGTGCCGGGCGCCTGTAGTCCCAGTTACTCTGGAGGCTGGGGCAGGAGAATGGCGTGAACCCAGGAGGCAGAGCTTGCAGTGAGCTGAGATCGGGCCACTGCACTCCAGCCTGGGCGACAGAGCAAGACTCCATCTCAAAAAAAAAAAAAAAATTATGGCAATTAAAAAGCAGGATATATAATACGGTAGGAACTAGGTTTTCTTAACACATAGAAGAGAAGACAGGAAAGAAACATTCCAGATATTAAATATTAATGATGGAAATCCACCATAAATGATGGGATTTGGATTTTTTTTTGTTACATTTTTGTGACTGCCCAATTTTCTATAATGTTATAGAAGATAACCTTTCTGATGATGAAAGGAAAACCTATGCTGTTTTTATTATTGGAACAAGTTTAAGAGGTGTTAATATTTCTAATTTTAGTAAATGTAGAATGTAAACTTGTTCCACTAAAAACAGGTTACAAAACCTGTTGTTGATCCAGAATCCTGCCTTACGAATGCCAGAGATCTTAGTGTCACTCATTTTCTCTCCATTCAGGTTGGTAGAATACTTGCAAGCTATGAGGAATTTTTTCTTAATGGAAGGAGGAGATACCATGTATGACTTCTACACGTCAATTTTTGATAAAATAAGAGAAAAGGAAACATGGCAGAATGTGTCTTTTCTTAATGTCCAACTCCAAGAAGCAGTAGGACAGCGTTATCCTGAAGATAGTTCACGGTAAAATATGGACGCCACCTTTATTTAAATTAGTGTAACATGAACTATGTGCCAGTAAGTCTTCTATGAATTACACATATTATTTTATCCTCACTATTCCTATGAGTTTTACTAATATTATTTTACTTATTAGAAAATGGAGGCCAGGCACGGTGGCTCACACCTGTAATGCCAGCACTTTGGGAGGCAGAGGCGGTGGATCACCTGAGGTCAGGAGTTCGAGACCAGCCTGGCCAACATGGTGAAACTCTGTCTCTACTAAAAATACAAAAAGCATGGTGGCAGGCGCCTGTAATCCTGGCTATTTGGGAGGCTGAAGCAGGAGAATCGCTTGAACCTGGGAGGCAGAGGTTGCAGTGAGCCAAGATCATGCCACTGCACTCCAGCCTGGGCGACAAGAACGAGACTCCATTTAAAAAAAAAGAAAAAATTGAGGCAGAGGCTAGCTATGTGACTCTCCTGCTAAACAACAAAAGACGTTGAGATGCCACCATATGGCCAGATGCAGTGGCTCATGCCAGTAATCCTAGCACTTTGGGAGGCCAAGGTGGGAGGATTGCTTGAGCTTAGGAGTTTGCAACCAGCCTGGGCAACATAGTGGGACCTCGTCCCTATAAAAAAAGAAAAAAGTTGCCACCATACGACCTGTCAGGGTCTGATGGCCTCCTTCACATGGCTGGAGTCAGTGCTTCCTCTCCCTGAGCTCCCACACATGAGGTTTTTCAGTCCTGCCTCCTAGAGAATGCCCCTGACCTCTCAGAACTGGCTCAGAACTCCCCAATGACCTCTGTGTCTCTCAGCCTCACTCCCTTCCACCAAAACGGACTTGACCCTCACCAGGGTGACCTCAGACCACCAGCAGTGACTTCCACCACTCATCCCTATGCTCCCCGTGGGTGCCTCCTAAACAGATGGACTAAGCTTTGTCTTAGAAGGGAGAAAGCTATTTACTGTCTGGCTCCATTTTCCCAGCCTCATGTCTTGCACACATACACACCATGTTCTCTTTCCTGTCTTCCTTCGCGTTTCAGGGATTTCAGAATATTTCTGGTGTCTGCTAGTGCTGTCCTCCCGCCCCCCTGTGACATAGTCTCCAGTTCATGGGCCCGGCAGAGGTCTGCTCATTCCTACATCCCCCTTGTCTTCGTGTGCTGCACTGGGCTGGGAGTCCCTGGAGGGAAGAGAGATTGGCTTTCTATTGCCTGCTCAGTGCAGCACCTAACTTAGTATTAGTATTTGGTAGATGCCTACTAAGCACTGAGTGAATGCATACATATCAGGCCATTAAGAGCTAAAAATTCTTTTTTTTGAGACAGAGTCTTGCTCTGTCACCCAGGCTGGAGTGCAGTGGCACAATCTCGACTCACTGCAAGCTCCGCCTCCCGGGTTCATGCCATTTTCCTGCCTCAGCCTCCCGAGTTGCTGGGACTACAGGCGCCCAGCTAATTTTTTGTATTTTTATAGAGACGGGGTTTCACTGGGTTAGCCAGGATGGTCTCGATCTCCTGACCTCGTGATCCTCGAGGATGCCAAAGTGCTGGGATTACAGGTGTGAGCCACCGCACCCGGCAAAGAGCTAAAAATTCTGACTAGTGCCTGTGTCATGGATCAGCCAGTTCATAATCACACACTGCCCTGTGACATCTCTGATTTGGAAGTTAACTCCCCACTTTAAACCTTCTTCATATGCATCCAGGCATCCCCTCTTAGTGCCTCTGTGACTGTGGAAGAGGACATCATTTCTCAGGAACCACTGATGGGAGTATTTTGAGGATTAAATGAGCTAAAGACACATAATAGTGCCTGGCACTTGGACATTTTCATGTCCATGTTAGATGCTTGCTTTCCTCTGTGAGTCACATTCAAACCTGTCTCAGGAACTTGTGGATGAAGCACTGCACAGTGCCTCTGGTGTAGAAGCAGACCCCATCCCATCTCGATGGGGCTCTCGAAGCAGTACTCTCACCACATGCTCGGCTCCGTCGAGCTGCTCTGCTCGTCCTCTCCTGCCCACCCCCAACCTCAGCAGAGGCTTCATCTTCCCAGCCATTGCCTGAAGTTTACTGTCTTCCTCAGCTTCATCCTTTTTCTAATTACTACCATTGTTAAGTGTCTCTTTAACTAAACTCATTGTTTAAAAGTTTTCTCCCTCTGTTTCTAAATCCAAATTTCTGCTCTGGAATATATGTTAGAAGAGATACATTTGTTGGAATGTTTGCATTTCTTTTATGAAATGCAGTATCTTTTGGGGAATATTATGTAAATGAAATACCAGTTATTTTAAAAGAGCATTTTTGTGTGACATAGTGCTTTCACAAACTAAAACTGGAATTTCTTTCTTTAGTCTATCTATATCTTTTGAAAATGTTGACACAGCTAAGAAGAAGCTGCCTGTTCATATCTTAGATGGTCTGACCCTCAGCTACAAGGTATATGCTGATATTCCTTGTATGAACCGTGTTTTCTGCTAACATTAAAACATGCAAGTAATTGGTTACTTTCTAATTTTGTTTTTGTTTCATAGGTCCCATGGCCCGTGGACATTGTTATAAGTTTGGAATGTCAAAAAATTTATAATCAAGTGTTTCTTCTCTTATTGCAAATAAAGTGGGCAAAATATAGTCTGGATGTTTTACTTTTTGGTGGTAAGATTTGTTTTCAGCAGATAAATTGTAATTTTATTTAATTTTAGCCCTTAATAAAAGAGGTTAATGGGAAAGGGAAGCATACGGGGATCTGGAAAAAAAAAAAAAGAAGTTGGTGGTTGTTGATCATTTTTTATGTGTACACAAATGCCAAAATGGTGCGTATTCTAGCAGTAGTTTTATGGACATCAAATGCCTGAAAGAAAGATCAGGAAGTTGTATGTACAGTTGATCTGAAATGCAACAACTTGATTAGGAAAAGTGATACAGGAAACTTTTCCCACTGCACCTTCCAGAGGCACTGAGGTTCGGTTCCTGCCACCCCTGCCAGTGCTTTCTGTGGTGCCAGGACCACATCCGTCAGTGTTTCTGCCAGGCGTCATGGTGCAGTGGGGTTTGAGTTGATGCTCTTTCTGTCCACTTTGCTCTTCCATTGTTTTATAGAACTGGTTAGTACTGCAGAAAAACCACGACTTAAAGAAGGCCTTATACATGAACAAGACACAGTTGCTCAGTTCGGACCACAAAAAGAACCAGTAAGACAGCAGATTCATCGCATGTTCCTCTTAAGAGTGAAGCTCATGCATTTCGTGAACAGCTTGCACAACTACATCATGACCAGGGTTTGTGCCTCTCCCATCTGCTTCAGTTCTATCGTCGTATCTATACAGTTGTTCGTAGAGAATTACTCATACTATGTTTATAAGTAAAAAATACCTACAGACTGTGAAAACGGGACATGTAGCAAATTTGATCATAAAATAACATGGCAGTGGGAGGAATGTTTTTGTAAATATACCGGAATATGTGTATCCAGAGGCTGTTGTCCCTCCAGTCCAGCAGCCCCTGGGGACAGGCACAGCCACAGCTCGTCTTCTGGAATTGCCTTCAGAATGTGCCGCATAGTCCTTTAGGTTTCAATAGTGGTGACAGCTGTCCCTAAAAAATGGCTCCAATGTTTAATAACAGCCAAAATCCACTACGGTGTGTGGGAGGAAGATGCAGCCAGGTTATAGACTTTTTTCTTAAAAACAAGAACTCACTACAAAGTAAATGAAATTATTTTTCTGATACATCTAAAAGCCAGTTCTAGGGGAAGTTCTAAAAGAAGCGTTCAGAAATTGGAACAAGAGCAGTATTATTAGAGGACAGTATGCATTTGGGGTTTGAATTGTTGTTTAGACCTGTTTATACCTGGTCTGTGAGTTCTGAAACCCAACTTGCTTGGGTGAAGTGAGCCACTGAAGCCTATGTTTTGGATGGGAAGGCTATGGCAGAGGGGCTCCATGTTTCCCCTGACTGCATTACTGCCTTCACAAGGTTGGCCTTCATTAAGCCCCTAATTGTTAAGAGTAAATGATAAGAGTTTAAGTTTTTTCTTAGTTTGTTTTTTATTTGAGGTATACTTATACTCATTTTAGAGAAAGATCAATGTATGAGAAAAGGAACTTAAGAAACATAAATTCACTGTAATTATTTGTATAAAAGTAACACATTTACTTGATTTTTTTTTTATCGATGTGTCTTATATACAGCTTAATGTGCTTGCCCCTTCCTGCCAGGAAGTCTGTTAGTCCAGAGTTTGGCGTTCATTCATTCACTGTGCAAGTGGGCGTCCTACAGGATTGCCCCCGCCGTCCTCTTAGGATCAGAACGCCAGAGTATCCAGCCAGCCTTTGAAGAATGGTACTTTATGAAACTGTCTAGATGTACTTATTGAAGGAAGAATTTGAGAGGAGTAGAAGAGCTTAGTAAAAAAGATTTGTGTGCAGCACACAAGTCCTCAAAGAAGGCTGCTGATGAAGCTTTTTATCTTTCTCTTCCAAGATTCTACACAGTACAGGGCTGGAGTTTCAACATCAAGTCGAGGAAGCCAAGGATTTAGATCAATTGATTAAAATTCACTATAGGTATCTGTCAACCATCCATGACCGGTGTCTGCTGAGAGAAAAGGTACATGAGATGTCTCCTGCAGATGTGGCCACTGCTGGGCGAGTGGCGCTGTCTGCGTGCTTTGGAATTTTATGATGATTAAGCTTCTGTCCTGTAGAATATTCTTTAAGGAAGAACCAGATGAAATGAGGTTACAAACAAATGCCCCAGGCCGGCCACAATGGCTCATGCCTGTAATCCCAGCACATTGGGAAACTGAGGCAGGCAGATCTTATGAGGCCAAGAGTTCAAGACCACCCTGGGCAACATAGCAAGACTCTGTCTTTACAAAAAGTTAAAAAGATTAGCAGACATGGTGGTGCATACCTGGAGGCCCAGCTACTTGGGAGGCTGAGGTGGGAGCATTGTTTGAGGCCAGGAGTTTGAGGCTGCAGTGAACTATGATCTGACACCACTGCACTCCACTCCAGCTTGGGTAACAGAGCAAGACCTTGTCTCTTAAAAAAAAAAAAACAAAAAAAAAACAGAAGGAGGAGTGCCCTATTCATAGAAATTGTATCTAAGAGCAACATGAGAACTATGTGTGATAGTCAACACTCACTCTGCGTTACTCTTGGATTCATTTGGAAAATTGTGTCTGCAGTTGCGGAGCAATAGCATGTCCACTTCATGTGAATAGATAGAATTCAGTAATGTTAAAACCATTGCAATTATTTGTCCTAGTTTCATTGGTGAATTTAAATGGCCATCCCAGGAAAAGGTCTTAATAGTTTGTTTTGTTGGTTTGACTGTACTGCTAATATCACTTGTATCTTACATTCAGTGAATGCATGTGCCTGGTCCCAAATGGGCATGGTTCAGAGCCTAGTACCCTTCCATATACACAGAAGGCAGTCACTGTGGTGATGAACTTTTTCTGTGATTCATTTAAAATAGGTAAAAGTGTTGGTATCAGTGTCCAAACCTAGTTACACAGTTTGTGTTCTGTGACTTTGGTCTGCAGGTCAGCTTTGTGAAAGAAGCTATCATGAAGGTGTTGAACTTGGCTCTCATGTTTGCAGACGGTTGGCAGGCAGGCCTGGGCACTTGGCGGTAAGTATGTGATTTCTGCAGCATCTGCACTGTGACCATTTCAGCTTCAGCTTCCCTTTTTTTTAGAGACAGGGTCTTCCCAGCCATTCAGGAGGCTGAGAGGAGAGGATTGCTTGACCCCAGGAGTTCAAGACTAGCCTGGGCAACATAGCAAAACCCAGTCTTTAAAAAAAAAAAAAAAAGTGCAAGTATTTTTTGAGAAGTAAAACATTTTTAAAAATCTGAGGTCTTCTGATTTAAACAAGCAAACATTTTTAGATTATACTCATGTTATGTTGTGTACGTTTTGTTAAATTTTTATCATGGACACCTTCAAACTGAAGTGGCAAAGACAGTGTTGTGAACACCGTGATGGCACCTGCTTCAGCTGTGCCAGTGAGGACAGCTCTGTCATGTCTGTGCCCACCTCCCCAGTCACACTTGCTGAATTATTTTAAATCAAATTCTGGACATCATGCTAGACTATTCTCCAAAGTTGTATTTTGGATGAGCTCTAAAAGATGCTGTGTTTTGAGAGTGTTTGTTATTCACACACATCACATAGGCAAGTGCACTGAATCAGGGGAAGTGGCCCGGGAGCAGCTCCCTCTAGCACTGCCATCCTCTACTGTTAACTCCAGTGTACAGCTCAATATTTTGTTACCTGTCCTGTTTATAAAGTCAGTGCAACAGTAATTCTGCTGTTACTTCCATGAAATAAAAGTGCATGTTTGGTTGACTGTACTTACTCCATGTCAGTAAGGAAGTAAGAATTCATTTGAGTGCTAGTATAATTCGAAATCTCCCATTGGCTGTACTCGGAATCAAGAAACTAAGGTAGTAGATGAAGCCATAGCTGCAGGGATGGAAATAGAAGTCTTCCTCGCTTTATATTGCTGGCTCAAAGTGTGCAAAATATATTTTGCTTTTTTTTTTTCTTTTTTTTTTGTCTCACTTTGGGGTGGAGGAGAAATAACACTGCTGCATATGCTTTGCTGAAATTCAACTCTTTCAGGTTTTTTTACAAATAAATGTGAGAAAAATACAGGGGGTGAGGAACTTAAGAAGTCTATCAACCATCGCAGTTTATGGATAAGTTAATTGTTCCTGATTGAGACTTAAAGCCGAAAAGTGAAAAATTGTAGAAGCAATGTGAAATTTGCTTGAATGCTATTAGATGATATTTTTGAGCAAATGGTGTTGTGGCTGTGTTTTGAAATGAGTCTTTATCTTTAAAGTATACATTTATACTTATGAAATATTCATGACTGTGGTGCTCTGATGTCTCCTGTTTGCTTCTGAATATTGTGGTGGGGCTGTGGAGGTGTAAGCTTGGCATGTGGCACCTGCCATGGCTGGGCAGTGGGCCATGGAAACCCCTTCTGAAGTTCTCTCTTACAAAGTGTTTGATATTTCTTTAAAAAAAAAGAAAGAAAGAAAGAAAGAAAGCCGAGCACAGTGGCTTACGCCTGTAATCCCAGTGCTTTGAGAGGCTGAGGTGGGCGGATCTCCTGAGGTCAGGAGTTCGAGACCAGCCTGACCAACATGGAGAAACTCCATCTCTACTAAAAATACAAAATTAGCCAGGCGTGGTGGTGCATGCCTGTAATCCCAGCTACTTGGGAGGCTGAGGCAGGAGAATTGCTGAACCCAGGAGGCAGAGGTTGTGGTGTGGTGAGCCGAGATCGCTACATTGCACTCCAGCCTGGGCAACAAGAGCGAAACTCTGTCTAAAAAAAAAAAAGGCAGCCAGGCTCCATGGCTCACAACTGCAATCCCAGCACTTTGGGAGGCCAGTGGGGGCAGATCAGCTGAGGTCAGGAGTTCGAGACCAGCCTGACCAACATGGCGAAACCCCATCTCTACAAAAAATACAAAAATTAGCCAGACATGGTGGTGGGCATCTGTAATCCCAGCTACTCAGGAGGCTGAGGCAGGAGAATCACTTGAACCCAGGAGGCGGAGGTTACAGTGAGCCGAGATCGTGCCACTGCTCTCCAGCATGGGCGACAGAGCAAGACTCCATCTCAAAAAGAAAAAAAACCTTTTTAAAAATAATTTCAGATTTTAAGTTTTATATCCTTAATGTGTTCTTTATTTCAAAGAGAATGTATGCTTGTAAACAATAAAAACAAGACTGTATAAAGGAAAAGGGAGTATCTTTGGTCCTCCTAGTTCCAGAACTAGATACTATCTGGAAACAGCACAGTTTTATATCCTAATGAAACTTCCTTTGAAACACTTTGACATTTTTTATTTTAAAGTAGGGTAGGACGTTATGTGTTTTATTTTATAATCTTTAGATTTAGGATTTTAAATAATTAAACCAAAATACATTTGAAATTACTCCACAGATATCTTGAAGCCTACCTATATACCCGCAATGCACTTACTTAATTGAAATTTACTTTTATTCCTAGAATGGAATCTATAGAGAAAATGGAATCTGATTTTAAAAACTGCCATATGTTTCTTGTAACCATTTTAAACAAAGCCGTCTGTAGAGGATCCTTTCCCCATTGTGAGTATATCATGTTAAAATATTTCTACCTCTGTATTTCCTTGTAACTAAGTGTATGTGTCATTGTTTTGTTACTGATCCCATGAAGAATTAGAAATTCTCACCATTTTCAAAACTGAAAAGTCCCTTAGCAGTTGTCCCATGCTTTGAATTGCTTTTTAAGCATTACGGTGAGGTGAGTGTAAGCCTGAGGATCTTACTTTCTGGTATACCATTTATTACAACAGATTTCTAAAACTCCTATTAAATAAAGTTGATGGCAGAATAGATTTCTGTCACACTTCACTATCGTGTAGTTTTTGTAACTATTTCTTTTCAAAATCTAGTCTTTTTAAAATTTTTTTTAGGAATTTAAAGCTCCTGGCCTGGCGCGGTGGCTCATGCCTCTAATCCCAGCCCTTTGGGAGGTTGAGTGAATCACTTAAGGTCAGGAGTTGGAAGACCAGCCTGGCCTACATGGCAAAACCCTGTCTCTGCTAAAAATACAAAAATTAGCTAGGCATGGTGGCACATGCCTGAAATCCCAGCTACACAGCAGGCTGAGGCAGGAAAATTGCTTGAACCCGGGAGGCAGAGGTTGCAGTGAGCTGAGATTGTACCATTGCACTCCAGCCTGGGTGACAGTGGGACTCCGTCTTCAAAAAAAATTTTTTTTCAACATTTAAACCTATTGTTTTAACCTTATTTTTATTCTTCCCACAGTGGAATCTCTAGCGTTGTCACTCATGGCTGGCATGGAACAAAGTTAAATGTCTTCAGCGTAATAAATATCTCCGACTTTGTCATCATACATGTACATTTCCACCATGTGCAGCTGAAAAGTGAGAATATTTTTATTTTGGTTTATTTGTAAAACTTGTCCACAGTCAGCCTGGCACAGTCGCTCATGCCTCTAATCCCAGCACGATGGGAGGCCAAGACAGGCAGATCACTTGAGCCCAGGAGTTTGAGGCCAGCCTGGGCAACATGGTGAAACCCGGTGTCTACCAAAAATACAAAATGTATCCAGACATGGTGGTGTGTACCTGTAGTCCCAGCTACTCAGGAGGCAAAGATGGGAGGATTACTTGAGCCCAGGAGGTCAAGGCTACAGTGAGCCATGATTGCACTACT
Organism: Homo sapiens; assembly: GCF_000001405.40. Taxonomy (NCBI): domain Eukaryota; kingdom Metazoa; phylum Chordata; class Mammalia; order Primates; family Hominidae; genus Homo; species Homo sapiens. The sequence continues at coordinate 96,457 of NT_187603.1, read as the reverse complement.
GCAGTGCAACCTGGGTGACAGAGTGAGACCCTGACTCAGAAAGAACCACTTGCCCACAGTCCAGACAGATGGATTGTAGGTGGGTTTTCTGGAGATTAGTAGATACTGTATAGAGTTGTATACATAAAATTGTGTCAGTAGTACAAAGTGTATATAGGCTGTTTACTCTTATATTTCCTACTGTAAGATACAGATTTATGGTACTGATACCTTTAAATTATATCATATTTTGAAAATGTAATTACTGATATTCAAAATAAATTAAAGGACTTAAAATCATTTTATTATCCTTTTGCTGCTGTCCTACAGTCACAGAAGCTTTTTATATAGAGTTTTACATGTTGTCTTCCCTAAAAGTTGTCTTAGATGTAGCTGTCCTAGAAATGTTTATATTTTGGCTGGGTGTAGTTTCTCAAGCTTGTAATCCTGGCACTTTGAAAGACTGAGGTGAGAGGATTCCTTGAGGCCAGCAGTTTAAGACCTGCCTAGGCAACATATGAGACCCCATCTCTCCAAAAACAACTTAAAAATTAGCCAAGGGCTGGGCACGGTGGCTCACCCCTGTAATCCCAGCACTTTGGGAGGCCGAGGTGGGCGGATCATCTGAGGTCAGGAGTTCAAGACCAGCCTGGCCAATGTGGTGAAACCCCGTCTCTACTAAAAATACAAAAAAATTAGCCAGGCGTGGTGGCCCACATCTGTAATCCCAGCTACTTGGGAGGCTGAGGCAGGAGAATCACTTGAACCCAGGAGGCAGAGGTTGCGGTGAGCCTAGATTGTACCACTGCACTCCATCCTGGGTGACAGAGCAAGACTCCGAAAAAAAAAAATTAGCCAAGCATGGTGGCACATGCCTGTGGTCCCAGCTACTTGGGAGGCTGAGGTGGGAGGATCGATTGAGACCGGGAGGTCAAGGCTGCAGTGAACCATGATTGCATCACTGCACTCCAGCCTGGACAACAGAGCAAGACCTTGTCTCCAACAAAAAAAAAGAAAGAAAGAAATGTATATATGTTTTGTTGTGCCTGAGAAGTTCTACATGGAAAATAGCTTCAACTGATAGCGATAAATGTAAAAGGCCCAACTTCACTTAGGGCCAACTGTTGGTACATACTATTGTTTGGTATTTCCTTGTTTTTTGAAATGTGGAGGCTCACTCTGTTACCTAGGCTGCAGTGCAGTAGCACGATCTCGGCTCACTACAACCTCTGCCTCCTGGATTCAAGTGATTCTCCTGCCTCAGCCTCCCGAGTAGCTGGGATCTCAGGCGTGCACCACCACGCCCAGCTAATTTTTGTATTTTTAGTAGAGACAGGGTTTCACCTTGTTGGCCAGACTGGTGTCGAACTCCTGGCCTCAGGTGATCCACCCGCCTTAGCCTCCCAAAGTGCTGGGATTACAGGCGTGAGCCACTGTGCCTGGCAATATTTCTGAGCAATTTTTGTGAGCTAACCAGTTATATTTTGAATAGAATTATGCTTACTATTAAATTTTTCCATATTTTCTTTTTATAGAGTGAGACTATCTTTAAAAAAAAAAAAGGCCACACATAGTGACTCATGCCTGCAATCCCAGCACTTTGGGAAGCCGAGGTGGGTGGATCATGAGGTCAGGAGTTCGAGACCAGCCTGACCAATGTGGTGAAACCTTGTCTCTACTAAAAATACAAAAATTAGCTGGGCGTGGTGGCACACACCTGTAATCCTAGCTACTCAGGAGGCTGAGGCCAGAGAATTGCTTGAACCTGGGTGGCCGGAGGTTGCAGTGAGCTGAGATCATGCCACTGCACTCCAGCCTGGGCGACAGAGCGAGACTCTGTCTCAGAAAAAAATAAGAAAAAGAAAAAAAATATGAAAGCTAGAACTGGAAACAACAAAATGTGGAAGTTAGGACTAGAAAGCTTCTAGAAGCAAACATGGGAAATTAACACTACAAACTTGGGGTAGACAAAGATTTCTTACATAAAATCAAAAAAGGGGCCGAGCACGGTGGCTCATGCCTGCAGTCCCAGCACTTTGGGAGGTCAAGGTGGGTGGATCACCTGAGGTCAAGAGTTCCAGACCAGCCTGACCAATATGGGGAAACCCCGTCTCTACTAAAAATACAAAAATCAGCCGGGCGTGGTGGCGCACACCTGTAGTCCCAGCTACTCAGGAGGCTGAGACAGGAGAATCGCTTGAACCTGGGAGGCAGAGGTTGCAGTGAGCCGAGATCACACCACTGCACTCCAGCCTGGGTGACAGAGCAAGACTCCGTCTCAAAAGGAAAAAAAAAAAGGAATTATTGGTGAATTGGACATCACCAAAAAACATTGCTAGGAAAATGGTAATACAGGCCACAGACTGGGAGAGAACATTTCCCCTTAGCCCCTTTCAGGAACCATGTCATGCCCAGAGGCAACCACTGTTGCCCAGGGTGTCCAGAAGTAACTATGTTCAGAGTGTATGAAGGCATTTTAAATTAGTAAGACAAGCTTTTTTTTTTTCATTGATGCAAGGTCTTGCTTTGTTGCCCATGCTGGAGCGCATTGGCACAGTCTTGGCTCACTGAAGCCTCAACCTCCGGGGACCAAGCACTCCTCCCTCAGCCTCCTGAGTAGCTGAGACTACAGGTATGCACCACCATATGCGGCTAATCTTTTGTGTTTTTTTGGAAGAGTTGGGTTTTCAGCCAGGTGCAGTGGCTCATGCCTATAATCCCAGCACTTTGGAAGGCCTAGGCAGACCGATCACTTGAGGCCAGGAGTTTGAGACCCGCCTGGCCAACATGGTGAAACTCCATCTCTACTAAAAATACAAAAAATAGCTGGGTGTGGTGACAGACACCTGTAGTCCCACCTACTCTGGGAAGGCTGAGGCATGAGAATTGCTTAAACCTGGGAGTTGGAGGTGGCAGTGAGCCAAGATCACACCACAGCCCTTCGGCCTGGGTGACAGAGCAAGACTCTGATTCAAAAATTAAAGAAAATAAAAATTAAAAAGATGAAGTCTTAACTATGTTCCCCGGCTGATGTGAATTCCTGGGCCCAAGTAGTCCTCTGGCCTCAGCCTCCCAAAGTGCTGGGATTACAGGTGTGCGCCATTGCACCCAGCCCAAGACATTTTTTTTAATGAGCACAAAGAGGCAAGGAAGGCACAAAAATGGCCAATTAAACCGCACGAGCACCACAGCCTCTGGCATGGCTAAAATAAAAAGACCGGCATGTCAAATAATTTTCAAGGATTTAGAGCAACTGGAAATTACAAGATGGTACAAGCACTTGGGGAAACTATATGGCATTTTCTTACAAAGGTTAACATGTATCTACCCCTGAGAAGCAGCAGTTCACCCTTAGGTATTTATCCAAGAGGAATTTTTAAATGCGTCCACGCAGAGATTTGTATCTGAATATTCATAAGAGCTAAAAGCTAGAAACATCCTGACGACGGTGAAGAGGTAGATGGATCAACACTGAAGTATATGCACGCAGTGGAATGCAGTTCCACTGTGAAAACACAGCTCATCCACATAACGACATAAGAGAATTCCAGGAACTTTATGTCGAAAAAAAAGCCAGACTTAAAAGGATCCGTTATTATTCCATTTACATGAAGTTAATGAACTGGTAAAACTAGTCTCCAGTGATAGAAATTGCAACAGTGGTTGCCTCTGGCCATGACATGTTACCTGAAAGGGGGTTGGGGGAAATTTCTGGGGGTGATGGGTGTGTTCTGTGTCTTCATTGGTCCCACAGGTACATGCATGTGACAAAACTCATTGAATTGTATCAAGTGTGGGGCTGGGTGTGGAGCAACTGGGAATTTCTTACATTACTGGTGGAAATGCAGATGGTACAGCCAATTTGGGTTTTTTTGGTTTTTGTTTTGTTTTTTTTTTTTTTTTTGAGACGGAGCCTTGCTTTGTCACCTAGGCTGGATTGCAGTGGTGCGATCTCACCTGGTGTGTGTTTGCAGATGACTTTCCTAGCAGCACATCCCAGGAGGTTTCTTAGGTTACACAATGTCTTTAAAGCTGCAGGTGGCTTTGGGCCAGGTGCCCTCCTATGGGGGACCACGAACAAGGTGGAGCCGGACACCAGTATGGTGCTTCCCAACAGAATCCAGGGGTCACTTCTGTTTTTATAATTGAATGAGTAAAATAGCATCTGAGTGATCTTTTAATTTGTATTTCTTTTATTTATTCTTTTATTTTTATTTTTATTTATTTATTTATTTTAGACAGATTCTCGCTCTGTCCCCCAGGCTGGAGTGCAATGGTGTGATCTCAGCTCACCTCAACCTCTGCCTCCCAGGTTCAAGTGATTCTCCTGCCTTAGTCTCCTGAGTGGCTGGGACCACAGACGCACACCATCATGCCCAGGTAATTTTTGTATTTTTAATAGAGATGGGGTCTCACCGTGTTAGCCAGGCTGTTCTTGAACTCCCGACCTCGAGTGATCCGTCCACCTGGGCCTCCCAAAGTGATGGGATTACAGGCATGAGCCACTGCCCCCGGCCTTATTTTTAAAATATAGATGGGGTCTCGCTATGTTGCCCAGGGTGGTCTCAAACTTTGGAGCTCAAGCACAATCCTGCACTGGCCTCCCAAAGTGCTGGGATTACAGGCGTGAGCCACCGTGCCCAGCCTTGGTACAGCCAATTTGGAAGAGTTTTTCAGTCTTTTACACTGTTAAACATATCTTTATTAAACATATTTTTACAATGTTAAACAACTTACCACCCAGCAATCCCACTCCTAGGTGTTTACCCAAGAGAAATGAAATGTATATTCACACAAAAACCTGTACACAAATGTTTATAGTGGCTTTACGAATAAGTGCCAAAAACTAGAAACAGTCCACATGACCATCAACTGGTGAATGAATAAACAGCTTCAATTTACCCAATGGAATACTGCACAGAAAGGAAAACATGACTTTGTAACAACTTGGATGAGTCTCAAACTGCTTGAGTTTTCTGAATGAAAAGACATCTTTACACTGAATCTAAGAGCTGTTCCTTTGCTCATGTGTGTGGAAAAGCTAAGGCCGTGCTGCACATCGCCCTATCCTATCTGTAAAATGGACTGGGACCAGGCACGGTGGCTCACGCCTGTAATCCCAGCATTTTGGGAGGCCAAGGCAGGCGGATTATTGGAGGTCACGAGTTCAAGACCAACCTGGCCAATATGGTGAAACCCCGTCTCTACTAAAAATACAAAACAATTAGCCAGGCGTGGTGGTGGGCACCTCTAATCCCAGCTACCTGGGAGGCTGAGGCAGGAGAATCTCTTGAACCCAGGAGGCAGAGTTGCAGTGAGCCGAGACTGCACCATTGCACTGCAGCCTGGGCAACAAGAGCAAAACTTCATCCTAAAAAAGAAGGGAAAAAAGACCCTATTGTTGGAGAGATTCTGTGAGACACACCCTTAATCTATTCACAGAGCCTTTAGTGTCACTAAAGGGTACTCTGAGGCAACATTTATTAATCTTTTTGACATCAGAAGCTCAGTGGCTCACACCTGTAATCCCAGCATTTTGGGAGGCCGAGGCAGGCGAATCGCTTGAGCCCAGGAGTTCAAGACTAGCCTGGCCAACGTGGTGAAACCGCATCTCTACAAAAAATACAAAAATTAGTCTGGGCACGGTGGCTCACGCCTGTAATCCCAACACTTTGGGAGGCCGAGGCAGGTGGATCATCTGAGGTCAGGAGTTCGAGACCAGCCTGGCCAACATGGTGAAACCCCATCTCTACTGAAAATACAAGAACTAGCTGGGCATGGTGGTGCATACCTGTAATCCCAGCTACTCAGGAGGCTGAGACAGGAGAACCGCTTGAACCCAGGAGGCGGAGGTTGCAGTGAGCCGAGATCGCACCATTACACTCCAGCCTGGGCGACAGAGCGAGACTCCGTCTCATATTAAAAAAAAAAAAAAAAAAAAAAAAAAAACTTCGGGGGCTGAGGTGGGAGGATTATTTGAGCCCAGGAGGTCGAGGGTCTAGTGAGCTTGATCGTGCCACTGCACTCCAGCCTGGGCGGCAGAGTAAGTTCATGTCTCAAAATAAAAAAGAGTTTCCAGCTGGGCGCGGTGGCTCACACCTGTAATCTCAGCACTTTGGGAGGCAGAGGCAGGCGAATCACGAGGTCAGGAGTTCGAGACCAGCCTGACCAACATGGTGAAACCCTGTCTCTACTAAAAATACAAAAGTTAGCCGGGCATGGTGGCGCATGCCTGTGATCCCAGCTACTTAGGAGGCTGAGGCAGGGGAATCGCTTGAAGCCGGGAGGTGGAGGTTGCAGTGAGCTGAGATCACACCGCTACACTCCAGCCTGGGCGACAGAGCGAGACTCAATCTCAAAAATAAAGAGTTTCCAATCACATCCTGAGCATCGTCTCTAGAGCACATTTTCTTGGCAGTGCCATATAGTTTATCCTTGCTCGATAGTCATTTTCTTATTTTAGCATCATTTGCCGTATGGGGAGGCTAAAACATTTCAAAACCATTAATTCTGTCTCCTTTTTTTTTTAAATCTTTCTCTCAGTTAATGCTCTCCTCTCACATTTTACTATACCCAGCAGGAAGAAACCAGGCAGCATCTTGAATACTTTGCTTGGAAAATCTCATTAGCTAGGTCACCCGTTTATTATGTATATTCTGTCCTATCCATGTAACGTCAGGTAACAGCAGGGCTAAACTTTCTGCTGCTACTTAGTGAAAGTCTTCCTTCAATTTCCAATAACAACATTCTTCTCACTTTCTTTTAAGCCCTCTTCAGCAATGTCCTCAAAGTCCAAAGTCTAAGAACAGTGTGTTCAAAGCACTTTAGTGTCATCAACACTCTCCTCAAACCCTGGTCCCAGAGCCATGCCCACCTGTTAGGTTTTGCTACAGCAGCATCCTCTCTCTGTACCAAAATCTGTATCAGTCCAAGAGCAGAGCCATTAATATACATGTGTGTGTGTGACACACATATACATACATATATATGTGTGTATATATATATTACCCATACACCCATACCTGTGGATAATCGTGGACTTGCTGCAGGGCTTTGCTCTTACACAGTTAATTGTGTAAACTGATTCGTCAGTTTCCATAGGGCTGCCTGTTGTCTGCATCCGACGCTGGAGTCTACTGTCCACAGGAGGTTTGGGAGGGACCTAAACCTGCGTCAGTTCTTGCTGCTTCTGGCCTTGGTGGTGTGGAGGTGCTGCAGAAGCTAGGGCCTCTCATCATGAAGATGAGCCAGATGCCTCCTTCGGGAGCCACAGGATCCAGAGAGTCAATGAAAGTAAAACTTCAGGACTGTCTGGATTTATTACGCCAGGGAGGAAGTTGAGCCCTGGAGACTGTCAGGTCGTACGACTGCAATTCTTCTCAGATTCACTCTTTTCCTCATTGTTCTTGTTCTGTAAATGACTAAGAGAGACCAGAGACCAGACCTCCCCACTTCCAATCACTGGTTTTGTTGTAGATGAACTGCCTCCTTTGCTGTCCGGTACCTAATGTGGACCAGACGGTGCTCAAGACCCTATCACTAGTACAACCTCAGTGTGGAATGTTAAATATGCCTTGCCTGGAAGAAAAAGACCAACTTGACTAATCAGATCATCATAACTATGCATGAAGTCTTCCACAGAAAGATGATGAAATTTTGTTACACTTCCCTAACCTTTGTCTAAATAAGCATTCCCAAACATCTACACTTTGGAACACTGACTTCTGTTCTTTGAGATGGGTGCTTCCCAGGTGGCCCATCCTCAAACTTTTTGCTTGAATAAACTCTCTAAACTAGATTCTGTTCCTTTTGATTATTTTAGGTTGACAAGAAGAAGGCAGTAGTGGCAGTCCTGGCCATGGTGGTGTTAACAGTGTAAGCTGTCAGACCCACAACAACACGTGTGAGCCACAACACAGTGGCAGCTCCCTGCCTCTCCCCAAGCCTCCGCCAACGCCTCCCTCATGGTCTTGCAGAAACACAGGAAGAACTCTAGTAAACCTGGGTCAGCTTAGCCAGCTCCACATGCTGCAAAGCCACCACATCAATTCATGGCATCATTAAGTTAAGAAAGAGTAATTTGGCTGGGCATGGTGGCTCACACCTGTAATCCCAGCACTTTGGGAGGCCGAGGCAGGCGGATCACCTGAGGTCATGAGTTCGAGACCAGCCTGGCCAACATGGTGAAACCCCGTCTCTACTAATATAGAAAATTAGCCGGGTGTGGTGGTGTGCGCCTGTAATCCCAGCTACTCAAGAGGCTGAGGCAGTAGAATCACTTGAGCCTGGGAGGCAGAGGTTGCAGTGAGCTGACATCGCGCCACTGCACTCCAGCCTGGTGAGCGCGCGAGACTCCGTCTCAAAAAAAAAAAAGTAATTTATTATAAGGAAGTCCTTATACTGTTGCCTGTGGCTGCTGTAACACATTACCATAAACCTGGTGGCTTAAAACAACAGATATTCATTCTCTTGAAGTTCTGGAGGACAGAAGGCCAAAATTCAAGGGAGCAATAGGGCCATGGCCGCGCCATTCTTTGCCTCCCCAGTTTCTGGGGGCTGCCAGCATTCTATGACTGTGGCTGTGTGGCTGCTTCACTCCCATCCCTGCCTCTGTGTTCACACTGCCTCTTTCTGGGTCTGTTCTCTGCATGTCTCTTGTAAGCACACTGCTTATTGGATTTAGGGCCCCTTCAGATAATCTAAGATGATCCCATCTCAAGAACTTAGATCTGCTAAGACTCTTTTTCTTCACATAAGGTAACTGTCTTAGTCTGTTAAGGCTGCTATAACAAAGCAGCATAGACTGGGTGGCTCTAAACAGGAGAAATTTATTACAGTTCTGGAAGCTGAGCGCCCAAGATCATGGCACCACAGAGTTGGTGTCTGGTGAGGGAATGGAGGAATTTTAATCCAAAAATGCATGCTGTGTTTCCTGCTCGGGGAGAGCTGTCTCCCTGTTCTGCTGGTATTTGTTTTTCTACCTGTTACTTCTGCTTTCTCACCTTTCCTTGCTGTGCTTTTCCTGTAGTGGTTGGAAGGTGGATGCTCACAGATCCCAAATGCACGTGACCAGTTCTTGGCTCCAGCCTTGGCCTGGGTTCCCCAGAAATACAACCTGAGACAAAGCCGTAGGTGCCTCTACTCTGAGATGGGGTGCAGTGCCCGTAGTGGGAGTCAGAGAGTGCCCTAGCAGGAGGAGGAGAGAGATGGAAGAGGAGGGGAAGAGGAGGGGGAGGAGTGGGAGAAGGAGGGGGAGTGCTGATGGATATGGGGCCATCTCAGTAAGATGGCATTGCTAAGTGTGCCTGCCCCACCTCTCGGGATGTCCCTAGAAGCCATGTGGACTGCATCAGGAAGGAAAGAGAGGAATCTGCCTGTGAGTGCCTCTCATTAGTCAAAGGTGCAGGGAATGTTAACTCTGTGCACAGCTGCATGGTTCATGTGTGATCTCAGAGGACTCTGATGCCTCCTGGTGACAGGGAAGCCCCAGGGCAGGAGGTGAGAGATCCAGGCGGGCACCAGGGAGACGTGTGGTTGGGTTCTTGGTTGGAGTCCACATGTTTTCACTGCAGAAGAAATAAAAGTCCTGAAGTTAGGAGGCTGTGATGTGAGTGAGAAAGTTCCAACTCTAAGCTCCCAACCAAGGTTCCCACAGCGAGTCAACTTGGGTCAGGTGCCCACTCCAGCTTGAACAAGGTGTGGCAAGAAATAAGAGATCAGGTTGTACAAATATAGCAGCTGAGATCATGCTATTGTGGAATGGAGGGATCAGTTAAGAAGGAATTAAAGTTCCTCCTGGTTGGCCAGGCACATGACTTGCACCTGTAATCCCAGCACTTTGGGAGGCCAGGTGGGAGGATCCCTGGAGGCCAGGAGTTCAAGGCCAACCTGGACAACAAAGTGAGACCCTGTCTCTAGATAAATAAATAAATCATAAATTTAAAAAGACAAACCAAGACAAGTATGATTTAAGGGGATATGTATGGGTGCCAAGTTAACAGGGGGTGGGTTGTGGTGGTCTTTTTATTGTGTCAACCTAGTGAGGCTGTCCCAGCTGTTCTATCAAACACACACCTCGTGTTGCTAGAAGGTATTTACTGGATGTGATTAAATTTCATATCAGTTGACTTTAAGTAAAGGAGATGATCCCAGGCAGTCCAGCTGGGCCGGATTCAATGGGTTAGAGGACACTGAGGCAGAGCTCCAGCTTCCTGAGACAAGGCGGAATGGTAGCCCCAAAGCTGTCTGCTTCCTAATCCCTGGGCCGTGTGACTATGTTAGTTTACATGGCAAGAGGAGAATTAAAATTGCAGATGGAATTAGGGTTGCTAGTCCACTGACTTGAGATAGAGACGTTACCCTGCATTATCTGGGGATGTCGTCACACGGCTCCTAAAGGTGGAAGAGGGGACAGAAGCACAGTGTCAGAGAAAGGTGTGAGGCCAGGGCAGCCTGAGGGCAGAGCCAGCTGAGGGCTTTGAGGACAGAAAAAGTCAAGGGAAGGAGCAGGATCCGGGAATGTGAGTGGCCTCTACACCAATATGGAGAAATCCTGTCTGTACTAAAAACACAAAAACTAGCTGGGCCTGGTGGTGCATGCCTGAATCGCTTGAACCAGGGAATCGGAGGTTGCAGTGAGCTGAGATCACGCCACTGCACTCCAGCCTGGCAACAGAACAAGACTCCGTCTCAAAAAACAAACAAACAACAAACAACAAAAAAACAGATTTTTTTTTTTTTTTTGAGACGGAGTCTCGCTCTGTCGCCCAGGCTGGAGTGCAGTCACGCGATCTCGGCTCACTGCAAGCTCTGCCTCCTAGGTTCACGCCATTCTCCTGCCTCAGCCTCCCGAGTAGCTGGGACTACAGGCACCCACCACCACGCCCGGCTAATTTTTTTTGTATTTTCTAGTAGAGACGGGGTTTCACTGTGTTAGCCAGGATGGTCTCGATCTCCTGACCTCGTGATACGCCCGCCTTGGCCTCCCAAAGTGCTGGGATTACAGGCTTCAGCCACCGCAACCGGCCAAAAAAAACAGATATTAATTATCTTCAAGTTCTGGGGGCTGGAAGGCCAAAATTCAAGGCAGCAATAGGGCCTTGCCTCCACCATTCTTTACCTGCTCAGTTTCGGGGGCTGCCAGCATTCTATGACTTGTGGCTGTGTGGCTGCTTCACTCCCATCTCTGCCTCTGTGTTCACACTGCCTCTTTTTCTGGGTCTGCTCTCAGTGTCTCATGTAAGCACACTGCTTATTGGATTTAGGGCCCCTTCAGATAATCTAAGATGATCCCATCTCAAGAACTTAGATCCGCTAAGACTCTTTTTCTTCATATAAGGTAACTGTCTTAGTCCGTCAGGACTCCTATAACAAAGCACCATAGACTGGGTGGCTATAAACAGGAGAAATGTATTACTCATAGTTCTGGAAGCTGAGTGCCCAACATCAAGGCACCACAGAGTGGGTGTCTGGTGAGGTCCCACTGTCTGGTTCTCAGTGGCTGTTGTCTGGCTGTGTCTTCACATGGCAGAAAGGACAAGGCTGTTCTCTGGGGTGTCTTTTTTTTTTTTTTTTTTTTTTTTTTTTGAGATGGAGTCTCGCTCTGTCACCCAGGCTGGAGTGTGGTGGCGCAATCTCGGCTCACTGCAAACTCTGCCTCCCGGGTTCATGCCATTCTCCCACCTCAGCTTCCCGAGTAGCTGGGACTACAGGCACCCGCCACCACGCCCGGCTAATTTTTTGTATTTTTAGTAGAGACGGGGTTTCACCGTGTTAGCCAGGATGGTCTCCATCTCCTGACCTCATGATCCACCCACCTCAGCCTCCCAAAGTGCTGGGATTACAGGCGTGAGCCACCGCGCCTGGCCCCCTCTGGGGTGTCTTTTATAAGGGCACAAATCCCACTCATGAGGACTCTACCTTTGTGACCTGTCAGCTCCCAAAGGCCCCACCTCCTAATGCCATCATCTTGGTGATGGGGTTTCAACATAGTAGTAACAGCCACAGGTTCCAGGGATTTGACACAGGTATTTGCTGGGGGATGCTTTTTCAGTTTACCAGAGCCAAAAATTTGTAGTAATTTGTTGTGACCGTGACAGAAACCTAAAAACAGGACAGTAACTTTCTTTTCTTTTTTTTTTTTTTGAGATGGAGTTTTGCTCTTGTTGCCCAGGCTGGAGTGCACAATGGAGTGATCTTGGCTCACCACAACCTCCGCCTCCCCCATTCAAGTGATTCTCCTGCCTCAGCCTCCCAAGTAGCTGGAATTGCAGGCATGTTCCACCACGCCCGGTTAATTTCTTGTATTTTTAGTAGAGATGGGGTTTCTCCATGTTGGTCAGGCTGGTCTTGAACTCCTGACCTCAGGTGGTCCGCCTGCCTCAGCCTCCCAAAGTGCTGGGATTACAGGCGTGAGCCACCGCCCCCAGCCACAGGACAGTAACTTTCTGATGGCCTGCCCTCCAGATTTCATCCTAGCTGAGCCAGCCCCCATAGTGCATAAGCCAATTCCTTGCAGTAAATCTCCTAATATGTATCTCCTACTGATTCTGCTTTTCTGGTTGAACCCTGACTGACATAATATGCTTGTGTCAATATCAGCCTGACAAAGATGCAGAATATTTCCAAGTCCCCAGAAGTTTCCTACACGCCTCTTTTCAGTCCATCCTATTCCCTGCAGACCACCTCACCCAAGCAAACGATTTAACGATTTCTGACTTCCTTTTCTTTCTTTTTTTTTTTTTGAGACAGAGTCTCATTCTGTTGCCCAGGTTGGAGTGCGGTGGCGCAATCTCAGCTCACTGCAGCCTCCACCTCCTGGGTTCAAGTGATTCTTCTGCCTCAGCCCCCTGAGTAGCTAGGATTACAGGCACCCACCACCACACCCGGCTAATTTTTTGTATTTTTAGTAGAGATGGGGTTTCGCCATGTTGGTCAGGCTGGTCTCGAACTCCTGACCTCGAGTGATCCACCCGCCTTGGCCTCCCAAAGTGCTGGGATTACAGGGGTGAACCACCACGCCCGGCCAATTTCTGACTTCTGTCACCAGTGAGTAGTGGTGCTATCTGTCATGGAAGTTCATATAGATGAAATCCCACAATATGTACATGGTCTTTTGTGTGTGGAAAATTACAGAATAGTTTTGAGGTTCATCTATTTTATAATACTACTTGTATATCCATTTTCTTCCCCTTTTAAAAACTTTTTTCATCATATTGTTTTCCATAGTGGCACCATTTTACATGCCCACTAAGAGTACACAGAGTTCCAATTTCATCATATCCTTGCCAATACTTGTTATTTTGTTTATTTTTATTTTATTATTATTATTATTATTATTATTATTTTTTTTGAGACAGAGTCTTGCTCTGTCGCCCAGGCTGGAGTGCAGTGGCGTGACCTCGGCTCACTGCAAGCTCTGCCTCCCGGGTTCACACCATTCTCCTGTCTCAGCCTCCTGAGTAGCTGGGACTACAGGCACTCGCCACCACACCCAGCTAATTTTTTTGTATTTTTGATAGAGACAAGGTTTCACCGTGTTAGCCAGGATGGTCTCGATCTCCTGACCTTGTGATCCGCCCATCTCGGCCTTCCAAAGTGCTGGAATTACAGGCATGAGCCACCGTGCCCGGCCTATTATTTCTTTTTTTTGAGATGGAGTCTCACTCTGTCGCCCAGGCTGGAGTGCAGTGGCAGGATCTTGGCTCACTGCAACCTCCGCCTCCTGGGTTCAAGCGATTCTCCTGCCTCAGCCTCCCAAGTAGCTGTTTGTTGATAGTAGGCATCCTAATGAGTGTGAAATAGAAAAACACAAGAACAAATCCTTTTGATTTGTTCTTTCCTTTTTATTGCTGAGTAATATTCCATTATATGAACAGTATTTGTTTATCCATTCTCCTATTTGTGCACTTTGGGTTGTTTCTAGTTTTTTGCGATTATAAATAAGCTGGTAAGAATATTCATTATACAGCCAGGTGTGGTGGCTCATGCCTGTAATCCTAGCACTTTGGGAGGCCGAGGCAGGCGGATCACCTGAGGTCGGGAGTTTGAGACCAGCCTGATCAACATGGAGAAACCCCATCTCTACTAAAAATACAAAATTAGCCAGGAGTGGTGGCGCATGCCTGTAATCCCAGCTACTCGGAAGGCTGAGGCAGGACAATCGCTTTAACTCGGGAGGTGGAGGTTGTGGTGAGCAGAGATCACGCCATTGTACTCCAGCCTGGGCAACAAGAGTGAAACTCCATCTCAAAAAAAACAAAAAAGAAAAAACAAAAGACTATTCATTATACAAGTTTTTGTGCAGAGATTAATTTGTATTTCTATTAGGTAAATACTTAGAAGTAGAATTACCATCATAGGAGATATATATGTTGAATTTTATAAAAGACTTCCAATGTGGTTTCTTTCTGAAGTGTGAGTTAAAGTCTTTTGCCCTATTTTTCCTGCATTGTCATTTTATTGTTGTTTGGGTTCTTTACATATTCTGGACACAAACTCTCTGTCTGTTATATGTATTGCAGTATTGTCTTGCAATATTGTCTATGTCTTTTCACTCTTTTAACATTCTTTTGATGAGAAGTTTTAAATTTCGATCAAATCAATTTATCATTTTTTTCCTAAAGGTACTAACCCTACATTTTTGAGAAATCTTGCCTTCCTCTACTCTACCGTTATAAAATTATTCTCTTATGTTTTCTTCTAGAAGCTTTGTATCTTTAGCTTTCAAATTTAGGTCTATGATCCATACACAGCCAGTTACTTTTTGTACATGGTGTTGGGGAGGAAGTTGAGTTTCAGTTTTTGTACATCGTTATGCAGTTATTCTAGCACCATTTTTAAAAAAAGTTTCTTTTATTTTTTTTTTAACACGGAGTCTCTCTCTGTTGCCAGGTTGGAGTGCAGTGGCATGATCTCAGCTCACTGCAACCTCTGTCTCCTGGATTCAAGTGATTCTCCTGCCTCAGCCCCCCGGGTAGCTGGGATTACAGGCACTCGCCACCACACCCAGCTAATTTTGGTATTTTCAGTAGAGACAGGGTTTCGCCACGTTGGCCAGGCTGGTCTCGAACTCCTGACCTCAGATGATCTGCACGTCTTGGCCTCCCAAAGTGCTGGGATTACAGGTGTGAGCCACTGTGCCCAGCCAAAAAAGAGTTTTCTTTCTCCATGGAAGTCCTTTAGCATCTTAATTGAAAACCAATTGACCAAATAATGTGTACTTAATTTTCACTATTCTGTTCCATTGCTGTATAGTAGTCTCATTTCTATAGATAATTCTTCATTGGCTGTTTGCCCTTAGGCCCATTTCCAGAGGCTTTAAATGGTTATTTATTTTATTTTATTTTATTTCGTTCTATTTTTTTGAGACAGGGTCATGCTCTGTCGCCCAGCCTGGAGTGCAGTGGCACGATGTCAGCTCACTACAACCTCCAACTCTCGGGTTCAAGTGATTCTCCTGCCTCAGCCTCAGTGGTAGCTGGGACCACAGGCACCGCCTACTATGCCCAGCTAATTTTTGTATTTTGTAGAGAGGGGGTTTTGTCCTGTTGGCCAGGCTGGTCTCGAACCCCTGAGCTCAAGCAATCCACTGCCTCGGCCTCCCAAAGTGCTGGGATTACAGGCATGAGCCACCGCACCTGGCCTAATGGTTGTTTTTAAATAAGCACTGTACTATACTCACCTATTTTCAGACTATGGTTGACCATGAGTAACTGGAACTCAGAGGAGGGGGACTACTAGTACAGTATAATGAGATATTTTGAGAGAGAGACGAACTACATCACTTTTATTATAGTATACCACTACAATTGTTCTATTTTTATTATTGTTAATGTCTTACTGTGTCTAATTTATTTATTTATTTATTTTTAGATGGAATCTCACTCTGTGAGTCTCACTCTATCGCCCAGGCTGGAGTGCAGTGGCACAATCTCAGCTCACTGCAACCTCTGCCTCCAGAGCTCAAGCAATCCGCCCACCTTGACCTCCCAAAATGCTGGGATTACCGACCTGTGTGTACTTTATAAATTAAACTTTATCATAGGCCTGCATATATAGAAAAATATATAGTCTATACAGTGTAGAGTGTGCTACTATCTGTCCTTTCAGACATCCACCAGGGGTCTTGAAGCTTATCCCCCAGAAGATGAGGTGGGAACTACTGTAAATAATTTTGACCCTTTGAAATCTGATGAGACTTGTTTTACTTCCTAACATATGGTATATTTTGTGAATGTTACGTGTTTATTTGAAAACTTTAATTCCTGTCAGTAACAGCTTGAAGTCTTCAGTACAAAGCGTCTGAACATCTTTCATTCCGTACAATGCATTCTGTATTCTGTTTTGTGGAGGTGCCATTTAGGTATAATACGTTAATTACTTAAAAAAATTTTTGTATCTTTACTTCTTTTTGTGTCTGCCTGTCCTATCAATTACTAATAGAGAGAAGTTCAAATCTCTATGAGTGTGTATTCGCCTATTTCTTCTTTTGATTCTATCCATCTTTGTCTAAATATTTCAAAACTTATTTGATGTATATATGCACTAAAAGTTATTTTTTCTTCCTTTTCTTTTGAGACGGAGTTTCACTCTTGTTGCCCAAGCTAGAGTGCAATGGCACGACCTTGGCTCACTGTAACCTCCGCCTCCCGGGTTCAAGTGATTCTCCTGCCTCAACCTCCCAAGTAGCTGGGATTACTGCAACCTTCGCCTCCCAGGTTGAAGCGATTCTCCTGCCTCAACCTCCCGAGTAGCTGGGATTACAGGCATGTGCCACCAGACCTGGCTAATTTTTTGTATTTTTGGTAGAAACAGGGTATGTTAGCCAGGCTGGTCTCGAACTCCTGACCTCAGATGACCTGCCCGCCTCAGCCTCCCAAAGTGTTGGAATTACAGGCGTGAGCCACCATGCCCGGCCTATTTTTTCATACTTAATTGACCCATTTATTTTTATCAAATGTCCTTTTTATCACTGATAGTGCCCCTTGAGTTGAATTCTACTTTGATATTAATATAATCACTCCACCTTTCTGATTAGCATGTCCTTTTGCATCTTTTTAATTTCAGCCTCTTTGTGTCCTTATATTTAAATTATGTCTTTTTTTTTTTTTTTTTTTGAGACCAGGTTTCACTCTTGTTGCTTAGGCTGGAGTTCAATGGCGCAATCTCAGCTAACTGCAACCTCTGCCTCCCGGGTTCAAGCGATTCTCCTGCCTCAGTCTCCTGAGTAGCTGGGATTATAGGCATGTGCCACCACACCCAGCTAATTTTGTATTTTTAGTAAAGACGGGGTTTTGCCATGTGGGTCAGGCTCGTCTTGAACTCCTGACCTCAGTTGATCCACCCGCGTTGGCCTCCGAAAGTGCTGGGATTAACAGGCATGAGTCACTGTGCCCGGCCAAAATTATGTCTTCTTAAAACAGAATATATTTGGGTCTCGTTTTTAATCCAATGTGACAATTTCTGTGTTTTAATCCATTTACAGTTAGTAAACGGATTACATGTTTAGTCCATTTACATTCAATGTGATTACTAATGTGGTTGAAGTCTAACTGCTTGCTCTTTGTCTTTGCCTTATGTGCTTTTTGCTCCTTCCTTCCTGCTTTCTTTTGGATCAAGCATATTTTTGTATTCTATTTTATCTCTTTTCTTGGATTTTTAGCTGTATTATTTTTTATTAATTGCTCTAGGGATTACAATATTTTATTATTTTAAGACGGAGTCTTGCTCTGTCGCCCAGGCCGGAGTGCAGCGACACGATCTTGGCTCACTGCAACCTCCACTTCTGGGTTCAAGCGATTCTCCTGCCTCGGCCTCCCGAGTAGCTGGGATTACAAGCCCACACCACCATGCCCGACTAATTTTTGTATTTTTAGTAGAGACGGGGTCTTCACCATGTTGGCCAGTGTGGTCTCGAACGCCTGACCTCAGGTGATCCGCCCGCCTCGGACTCCCAAAATGCTGCGATTACAGGCGTGAGCCACTGCGCTCGGCCGGGATTACAATATTTTAAATTATCACAGTATAACTTGAATTTGGGTTCTATCATGTCATCTACAATGTAAAAACCTTTGGAATCTAATTTTGAGACTCCACCCTAGGCACAGAAAAGGAGTAATCTGCTGATTTGAAAATGTGTGGACTGGGAACCAGAATGTTATCCAAAGCCCCTGTTTTGCAGGAATGTGAGAAAGTGATCTCCGAATATTGAGTCAACTGGTAGATTGTCTCAATCCGCTGGTCAGGATTCATTTGCTGCTTTTTGCCTTACCGCAGAGCACAAGCGGGGGTAACCAAACCTTCATAATCTAGAGACCAGACTAGAATATCTGATGCCCATCCTTACTGTTCTCCGTAAGAACCAGGGGTCGCGGATGAATGGGGAGTGAGGTTGCTGCGGCTGAGCGGGGCGTTTAGGGCAGTTTTCCTAAACACGCCTGTGACCAGCTGACTCCACTCAGCGTTTCCGTGTGAGGTATGTTTCTTCACCGGCCTTTCAAGATTGTTTTTTGGCACGAGCTCAAATCAGGTTTTCTTCCGTCCGCCGTTCCCGCAGGTCTGCGCACGGATTTGTCCCTGGTTCCCGCAGGCAATGGGGCCGCAGGGGCCGGCCGGGGGGGTCCCCAGCGGGCTCTGCGCGCCGACCTGCAGCTGGGACCCGCGCCTGGAACCCTCCCGACGAGCGCAGGTGAGCGCCTCCTGCCAAGTGGGGCGGCGCCACACGGGCGTCCTGGGTGTCCCCCTGAGCTCCTTCCGCAGCTCAGGCCAACCCCCGCCCTGACCCGGTGGAGCCCCGGGACAGGGTGCGGACCCCGTTCCTTCGCGCTCCGAACCGGACGGACCCGCAGGAGGACCCCACGCCCGCTCCGCTCCGACCCCGCCGTCCCGCGCAGGCTGCGGTGACCCAGGCCGGCAGGTAGCCAGGGGCTCTCTGCCTGGGAGGACACCTTCGGCGGCTGGCGTGGGGAAAGGGGCCGCCCGGCCGGGGATGCCCCGCCAGGAGGAGGGAGCGGCCGGGGCCGCGGCCGGGAGGGAGGAGCGCCGGGAGGAAGAGGCCGAGCCGGGAGAGCCCCCGCCCCGGGAGGAAGGGGAGGAGGCCGAGTGTTTCCTGGCGCATTCCCGGCCAGCCCGAGTGACTCACTCGGCCAAGGAAACTCCCAGGGCCCGCCCAGGACCCCCAAGCCGCCGCGGACGCAGGTGAGGAACCCCGCTCGCCCGCGCCTGCCCTGCGGCCTCCGCGGGGTCCGGGTCCCCCTCGGAACCTGGGCCGGCCAGGGCGGCGGCGGGGCCGGGACGGACCCCCCCCCCTCCCCCCCAACCCCGGCGGCGCGGCCTCCCCGGCGGCGCGGCCTCCGGGATCGTCCTGGTCCCCGCGTCCCCCAGGTCCCGGCCCCGGGCTCCCGCGCCTCCCGGGCTCCAGGTCCCCGCACTCCCTGCACTGGCTTCCCGGTCCCTGCGCCCCCGGCCTTTCGGCCTCGGCCCCGAGCTCCCCGCCCCCGCGTTCACCGCCTCGCGCCCCCGGATCCCGGATTCCGCGCCCCGGCACATGGCACAGCTCCAGTGGCGAAGGAATACCTTAGTGTTTGACGTTTTTGTTGGAAAGTAAGGAGCAGGCAGATTGTTAATGTTGCACTAAGGTCGCGCAGCAAGATCTGAACCCGTTTTTGTTTCGTGCCCCTGTGAGGAGCGGAGGGAGCCTGGTCCGCGGAGCCATTCCGGGCATTCTTGGAGAGAGGAGTTTTGGGCTTTGTTAAGGAGGCGCGATCGTTACGGAGGCAGCACTGTTTCGCACAAGCATCTGAATTGTGTATTTTAAGGCTGAAATGCGTGAGCTTAATTTGCAGCACATTGTGGGTGTGACAAGAAGGGTGCAAGAATAATCGGGAAACGGGGTTGATGGAACGTGTTTTAAGCTGAGAGGGGCGTCTGGACGGTGTCAGCTCCGCTATTAAGTCCAGTCAGGGAGCGGCTGCTGATTGAGCCCAGCGCCGCGTGGTCGCCGCTGGGGACTGAGGCTCGGGAGCGTTTTTCTGGCGGCGGAGGGCACCGTGGCTGCGCCGGGAGCGGTGGTGTTTCTTGCAGTCGTCCGTCGGACTCCGGAATGAGGCGTGGTCGGAGCCGCGGTGATGCCTGGTGCAGTGCGCACATTGCTATGCTTGACAGCTTGGCGGCAGAGTCCCGGCCAGGCCGGGACCCGCGGGGGCCCCACGCATGCTGCCTTTTCCCTGCGGGTGGCCAGCGGTTTTCCAAGTGATGTCTAGATCTGCAGGCACGGAGCCTGGAAGAACGAGTCACGCTGTGAGTGGGCGCGGGCCGTAGCAGGTGTGCACTGGTAGGGCCAGTAGGGATATAGTGCCGGTGCCCTCACTGCGACCGAGGCGCCCTGGAGTCGTGGCGGAGGACGTTTCCTGCGTTAAGACAGGTGTCTGTGCTGCGCTCAAAGAAAATGTACCCCCTAAGTTTGTGTGTGTGTTTAAATTTATTTTAAACTTTTAGTAAGATTCACTTTTTGGTGTTCAGTTCAGTGAGCTGTATCAGGTGCATGGACTGTAGTGACTTCCACCGCAGTCAGGATACTCAGGAAGGCAGCCTCTCTCCTCCCCGCTCTTGCAGCCGCCTGTCTGTTCCTCAGTCCTCCTGCTTTGCCCATTCCAGAATGTCACATGTGGGCTTGGAGTCTGGCTTGTTTCGCTTAGCATAAGGCGTTGGAGATTCAGCTATGCTCTGGTTTGTCCCTGAAGAGTAAAGATACAAGGGTCTGAAAAGTGTGGCTCTCGGATACAGCCTGAGAGAGAGACTAAAATGATAAAGTGATGAGAAAAATTACAAAACTATAGTTCATTAAAAACATTAAACAGCATAGAACCGTGTATACTAAAAGTGAAATTCCCTCGGTACTTCTAAGTAGTATAATAGTCTTTTCTGTGCATAAGTAATTTTTTAAATAACATAGTGAGATCATATTGCATATATTATCGTCATACATTTTTCACTTAATGATGTTTGGTTACTTAAAGATCTTAGCAATCTTTACATGTTGATATATATAGTATGTACACACAGATTTCCCTCAATCTTTTAAATAACCGTATAGTATTCCTTTTTTTTTTTTTTTTTTTGTGACAGAGTCTTAACTCTGTGGCCCAGACTGGAGTGCAGTGGCGCAAACTCGGCTCGCCACAACCTATGCCTCCTGGGTTCAGGTGGTTCTCCCACCTCAGCCCCCTGAGTAGCTGGGATTACAGGCACGCACCACCACACCCGGCTAATTTTTGTCTTTTTAGTAGAGACGGGGTTTTGCCATGTTGCCCAGGCTGGTCTTGAACTCCTGACCTCAAGTGATCTGCCCGCCTCAGCCTCCCAAAGTGCTGGTATTACAGGCATGAGCCACTGTGCCCGGCCAAATCACTATAGTATTCTGTAGTGTGGATGTTTCATAATTTTATCAGCCTCCTGTTGATTGACATTATAGTTATTTACTGTTTTTCACCACTACAGTCAATGCTTGTGTCTGTATCTTTGTGCACATACTCAAGTTTATAATGCTAAAGGTGACTTTGGGTTTAAATAATAGCTAACATCTCCCTCCCTCCTTTCTTTTCTTTTCTTTTATGTTATGTTATTTTATTTTATTTTTTGTGAGACAGGGTTTTGCTCTTGTTGCCCAGGCTGGAGTGCAATGGTGTGATCTCGGCTCACTGCAACTTCCATCTCCTGGGTTCAAGCAATTCTCCTGCCCCAGCCTTCCGAGTAGCTGGGATTACAGGCGCCTGCCACCACACCCAGCTAATTTTTGTATTTTTAGTAGAGACAGGGTTTTGCCATGTTGGCCAGGCTGGTCTCAAACTCCTGACCTCAGGTGATCCACCCACCTCGGCCTCCCAACGTGCTGGGATTACAGGCGTGAACCACCGCGCCCAGCCAAAACATATTTTATAGTGTGAAGTTTTAACTAACATGTCCAAGCTATTCTCATTGTTTTTCCTATTAAAATTTAGCCAACCCTTAGAGGCCATTGATAAAGCATGGATTAATTACACTGACATAATTTAAAAACCTTATTTTAGCCAGTGCAATAGTATCAGACAAAGAAAGAAAAGGCATACAAATTGGAAAGGGAAAATTGTCCCTATTTGCTGACAACATGATTATCTACATAGAAAATCCAGGGAATCTATGAAAAAGCTACTAGAACTAATTAATGAGGTTAGCAAGGTCACAAGATACAAAGTCAACACACAGAAGGCGACCTTATTTTTCTTTTTTTTTTTTGAGACAGAGTTTCATTCTTGTTGCCCAGGCTAGAGTGCAATGGTGCGATCTCGGCCCACCGCAACCTCTGCCTCCCGGGTTCAAGCGATTCTCCTGCCTCAGCCTCCCGAGTAGCTGGGATTACAGGCATGTGCCACCATGTCTGGCTAATTTTGTGTTTTTAGTAGAGATGGGGTTTCTCCGTGTTGGTCAGGCTGGTCTGGAACTCCCAACCTCAGGTGATCCGCCTGCCTCAGCCTCCCAAAGTGCTAGGATTATAGGCGTGAGCCACCGGGCCCGGCCTGGCGACCTTATTTCTGCATACAGCAGTGCCCCTTATCCATGGGGAGATACATGCAAAGTCAACACTATACAAGCTGACCTTATTTCTGTTTACAACAGTCCTTGTTATCCATGGACGATACGTTCCAATGGAAGCCTGAAACCTGAGATAAGACAGAACCCTCCGTGTACTGTGGTTTTTTTCCCTATACATCTATGCCTATGATAAAGCTTAATTTACAAATTAGGCACAGTAAGAGATTACCAACAATAACTGTTCATAATATAGAATAATTATATACTGAATAAAAGTTATATAAATGTGTTCTCTCTTTCAAAATATCTTTTTGTATGCACTCACCTATTTTTGGAGGGCAGTTGACTGTAGGCAGCTATAACTGGGGAAACAGAAATTGCAGATAATGAAACTACAGGTAAGTGGGGACTACTGTACTAGCAATGTACAATTAGAAAGTTAAATTTGGCTGGGCGTGGTTGCTCACGCCTGTAATCCCAGCACTTTGGGAGGCCGAGGCGGGCGGATCACAAGGGCAGGAGTTCGAGACCAGCCTGGCCAACATAGTGAAACCCTGTCTCTACTAAAAATACAAAAATTAGTTGGGCATGGTGGCGTGCGCCTGTAGTCCCAGCTACTCAGGAGGCTGAAGCAGGAGAATCGCCTGAACCCGGGAGGCGGAGGTTGTGGTGAGCCGAGATCGCGCCACTGCAGTCCAGCCTGGGCAACAGAGCGAGACTCCGTCTCAAAAAAAAAAAAAGAAAATTAAATTTAAAAACACAACATTTCGTTTGCTTCAAAGGAATCAAATACTTAGGTATACATTGAATAAGACTTACAGGATCTGTATGCTGAAGATGAGAGAAATCAAAGATCATTTAAGTAAATGGGGGAACATACCATGGTCAGTGGTTGGAACACTCAACATAGTAAAGACATCAGTTCTCTTCATATTGATCTATAAATTTAACCCAATTCCAATTTAAAAATATTAGCATGCTTTAAAAACAAAAATTTTAAACAAAAATTTTGTTTATTGAGGTATAATATACCTACTTTATAAAATTCACCTACTTTTAAGTATACGTTTGGCTGGCCTGTGAACGAGGGGGTTAGGGATTCCAACCCCCTGTGCAGTTGAAAATCCGAGTGTAACTTTTTTTGAGATGGAGTTTCGCTCTTATTGCCCAGGATAGAGTGCAATGGCACGATCTTGGCACACTGCAACCTCTGCCTCCTGGGTTTAAGCCATTCTCCTGCCTCAGCCTCCCAAGTAGCTTGGATTACAGGCATGCGCCACCACTCCCACTAATTTTGTATTTTTAGTAGAGAGGGGGTTTCACTGTGTTGGTCAGGCTGATCTCGACCTCCTGACCTCAGGTGATCTGCCCGCCTCTGCCTCTGCCTCCCAGAGTGCTGGGATTACAGGCGTTAGCCACCGAGCCTGGCCTTTAACCTTTTTTTTTTTTTTTTTTTTTTTTGAGACGGAGTCTCGCTCTGTCTCGGCTCACTGCAAGCTCTGCCTCCCGGGTTCAAGCGATTCTCCTGCCTCGGCCTCCTGAGTAGCTGAGATTACAGGCACCCGCCACCATGCCTGGCTAATTTTATATTTTTAGTAGAGATGGGATTTCACCATGTTGGCCAGGCTGGACAAGTATAACTTTTGACTTCTCAAAAGTTAAAACTACGTGACTTCCCAAAAGTTAAAACTACGAATAGCCTGCTATTGACCAGAAACCTTACTGATAACATAAACAGTTGATTAACAGAGATTTTGTAAGTTATATGTATTACATACTGTGTTCTCATAATAAAGTAAGCTAGAGAAAAGAAAATGTTGTTAAGAAAATCATGAGGAAGAGGAAATAAACTGACTACTCATCACGTGGAAGTGGATCATCAGAAAGGTCTCCATCCTCAAAAAGCTCACAGTGAGCAGGCCAAGGAGGAGGAAGTGGATGGGTTGGTTTTGCTGTCTTGGGGGTGGCAAAGGCAGAAGTGGAGGGAGGTGGAAGGAGGGGCTAGAGAGGCAGGCATACACCGTGTAACTTTTACTGGAAAAAGTCTGCAAATAAGTGGACCCGCATGGTTCAAACACGTGTTGTTTCAGGGACAACTATACAATAATTTTTAGAAGATTTCTGGAGCTGTGCAACAACCATCACCATAATCCAGTTTTTGTTTGTTTGTTTTGAGACAGGGTCTCACTCTGTCACCCAGGCTGGAGTGCAGTGGTGTGATCTCAGCTTACTGCAACCTCCGCCTCCTGGGTTCCAGTGATTCTCATGCCTCAGCTTCCCAAGTACCTGGGATTACAGGAGGTGCCACCAAGCCTGACTAATTTTTTTGCATTTTTAGTAGAGGAAGGGGTTTCACCGTGTTGGCCAGGCTGGTCTCGAACTCCTGGCCTCAAGTGATTCATCTGCCTCGGCCTCCCAGTACTGGGATTATAGGCATGAGCCATCGTGTCCGGCCTGTTTTTGTTTTTTTAATTTTAATTATTTTTTAAATGGAGATGGGGTATCACTATGTTGCCCAGGCTGGTCTTGAACTTCTGGGCTGGAGCAATCCTCCTTTCCTCCTGAAAGTGCTAGGATTACAGATGTGAGCCACCAGGCCCGGCCTTGCTCATCTGTTGATGGACAGTTAGGTTGATTCCATGTCTTGGCTGTTGTGAAAGGTGCTGCAATAAACATGGGGTACAGCGATCTCTTGGACATACGGATTTCATTTCTTTTAGATATATACCCAACAGTGGTGTTGCTGGGTCATATGGTAGTTCTATTTTTAATATTTTGAGGAACCCCCGGCACTGTTTTCTACAATGGCTATACTGATTTACATCTCCACCAACAGTGTACAAGGGTTTCCCTTTCTCCACACCCTGGACAACACTTGTTATCTTTTGCCTTTTTGACAAGAGCCAGTCTGACAGGTGTGAGGTGATAGCTCATTGTGGTTTTGATTTGGATTCCCTGATGATTAGCGATGTTGAGCATTTTTTCATACACCTGTTGGCCACTTGTACACCTTCTTTTGAGAAATATCCATTCAGATCTTTTACAATTGAGTTGTTTGAATTCTTTGTATATTTTCATTATTAATCCCTTATTAGTTATATGGTTTGCAGATATTTTCCTGCATTCTGTAGATTGTCACTTTGTTGATTGATTCCTTTGCTGTGCAGAACATTTTTAGTTTGATGTAATCCCATTTGTCTATTTTTTCTTTTGTGGCCTTTGCTTTTGAGGCTTTATTTCCTCAAAATGAGCCAGGCACAGAAAGACAAGTACTGCACGATCTCACTCACATGTGGAATCTGAAAACGCTGATGCCACAGAAGAACAGAGCAGAATGGTGGTTACCAGAGGCTGGGGTGGCTGGCGGAAGGGGAGAGAGGAAGATGTTGGTCAAAGGATACACATTTACAGTTAGATACAAGGGGGAAAGTCCAGAATAGGCAAATATACAGAGACAGAGAGTAGACAGGTGATTGCCTGGGGCCAGAAAGCAGGGGAGAGAGGATCAGTGAAGAACGGGTAGAAAAAGTGAGAATAACTGCTAATGGTTAGGGAGTTTCTTCTCCCTTTTTTTTTTTTTTTTTTTTTTGACAAGGTCTCGTTCTGTCACCCAGGCTGGAATGCAGTGGGGCAATCATGGCTTACTGCAGCCTTGCCCTTTTGGGCTTAAGCAATTCTCCCACCTCAGCCTCTCCAGTACCTGGCACTACAGGTGTGCACCATCATGCCTGGCTAAATTTTGGTTGGTTGTTGTTTTGTTTTTTTGAGACGGAGTCTCACTCTGTCGCCCAGGTTGGAGAGCAGTGGCGCGATCTTGGCTCACTGCAACCTCTGTCTCCCAGGTTCAAACGATTCTCCTGTCTCAGCCTCCTGAGTAGCTGGGATTACAGGTGTGCACCACCATGCCCGGCTAATTTTTGTATTTTTAGTGGAGGCAGGGTTTCACCATGTTGGCCAGGCTAGTCTCAAACTCCTTACCTCAAGTGATCCTCCTGCCTCAGCCTCCCAAAGTGTTGGGATTACAGGTGTGAGCCACCGCCTAATTTTTGTGTTTTTTTGTAGAAATAAGGTTTCACCATGTTGCTCAGACTGGTCTCAAACTCCTGAGCTCAGGTGATCCCCCTGCCTGGGCTTCGCAGGGATTATAGGCTAAGCCACCGCACCTGGCCACATTTAAGTCTTTAATTCATTTCGGGTTGATTTTTGTCTATGTTGAGAAGCCAAGGTCTGATATTATTTTTCTGTATGTGTGTATCTAGTTTTCTCAACACCGTTTATTGAAGAACCTATCCTTTTCTCATTGTGTGTTCTTGGCACCTTTGTTAAAAATCAGTTGGCTGCAAATGCATGCATTTATTTCCAGGCTCTATTCTGTTCCATTGGTTTATGTGTCTGTGTTTATGACAATAGTGTGCTGTTTGGGTTACTATATCTCTGTAGTTTTTTTTGTTTTGTTTTGTTTTTGAGACGGAGTCTCACTCTGTCACCCAGGCTGGAGTGCAATGGCGCAATCTTGGATCACTGCAACCTCCGCCTCCCGGGTTCAAGCGATTCTCCTGCCTCAGCCTCCTGAGTAGCTGGGGATTACAGGCGTGCGCCACCACACCCAGCTAATTTTTTTGTTTTTAGCAGAGACGGTGTTTCACCATGTTGGCCAGGCTGGTCTCGAACTCCTGCCCTCAGGTGATCCGCCCACCTCAGCCTCCCAAAGTGCTGGGATTACAGGCGGGAGCCACCATGCCCAGCCTCTGTAGTATATTCTGAAGTCAGGTAGTGTGATGCCTCCAGCCTTGTTCTTTTGCTCAGGATAGCTTTTGCTATTCCAAGTCTTTTGTGGTTCCACACAAATTTTAGGATTTCTTTTTCTATTTGCATGAAGAATATGGTAGGTATTTTGATAGAGACTGCATTGAATCTGTAGATTGCATTGAATCTGTAGATTGCTTTGAATCTGTAGATTGCATTGAACCTGTAGATTGCATTGAATTTGTAGATTGCTTTGGGTACTATCTATTGTTTATTTATTTTTTGAGATGAGTTACCTAGGCTGTTACCCAGGCTGGAGTTCAGTGGTGCAGTCATGGCTCACTGCAGCTTTGATATCCTGGGCTCAAGCGATCCTCCCACTTCAGCCTCCTGAGTGTCTGGGACTACAGGTGTGAGCCACCACGTGCAGCTACTTTTTATTTTATTTCTTTTCTTTTTCTTTTTTCTTTTTTTTTTTGAGACAGAGTTTTGGTCTTGTTGCTCAGGCTGGAGTGCAATGGCGCAATCTTGGCTCACCGCAACCTCTGCCTCCCATGTTCAAGCAGTTCTCCTGCCTCAGCCTCAAGCTACTCAAGCTGGGATTACAGGCGCCCACTACCACGCCTGGCTAATTTTGTATTTTTAGCAGAGATAGGGTTTCTGCATGGTGGTCAGGCTGGTCTGGAACTCCTGACCTCAAGCGATCTGCCTGCCTTGGCCTCCCAAAGTGCTGGGATTACAGGCATGAGCCATCACGCCCAGCCTTATTTTATTTTTTAGTAGAGACAAGGTCTAGCTGTGTTGCCCAGGCTAGTCTTGAACTCTTGAGCTCAAGTGATCCTCCCACCTCATCCTCACAAAGTGTTGGGATTACAGATGTGAGCAACAGCACCTGGTCTATTAATTCTGTTGTTGCCAGTGTTTTTGGTGTCATATCCAAGAAATCATTGCCAAATCTGATGTCATGAAGCATTTCTCCTGTTTTCTTCTAAGAGTTTTATAGTTTTAGATCCGATGTTTAGGCGTTGATCTGTTTTGAATTAACTTTTCTTTTTTGTGTGTGTGTTTGGTTTTTTTTCGAGACAGATCCTTGCTCTGTCGCCCAGGCTGGAGTGCGGTGGCACAATCTCGGCTCACTGCAAGCTCCGCCTCCCGGGTTCAAGCGATTCTCCTGCCTCAGCCTCTCTAGGAGCTGGGATTACAGGCCCCCGCCACCACACCCAGCTAATTTTTTGTATTTTTAGTAGAGACGGGATTTCACCGTGTTAGCCAGGATGGTCTCGATCTCTTGACCTTGTGATCTGCCCGACTCGGCCTCCCAAAGTGCTGGGATTACAGGAGTGAGCCACCACGCCAGGCCAAATTAACTTTTCTGTATATTATATAAGGTAATGGTCCAACATAATTCATGTATGTGTGGATATTCAGTTTTCCTAACACAATTTGTTGAAAAGACTATTCTTTTTCCATTGAATGATCTTGACATCATTGTTGAAAATTGTTTGACCACATATGTGAAGGTTTATGTCTGGGTTCTTTGTTCTGTTTAATTGGCCAGTGTGCCTTTCTTTATGCCAGTGCCACACTGTTTCAATTACTGTAGCTTTATGGTAAGTTTTGAAATAAAAAGGAGTGAAGTCTCCAACTTTGTTCATCTTTTTCAAGATTGCTTTGGCTATTCTGGGTCCTTGGAGATTCCTATGAATTTTAAAATGGGTTATTTTTGCAAAAACAAAGTGCTGTTGGAATTTTCAAAGGGATTGCATTGAGTCTTTAGAAGGCTTTGGATTGTATTGTCATCTTAACAATATTATGTCTTCCAATCCATTAACAAAGATGTCTTTCCATTTGTTTGTATTTAATTTCTTTCAGCAGTGTTTTATATTTTTTAGTGTGTAAGTCTTTCACCTCCTTGATTATATTTTTTTAAATTGAAACTTGTATTTAGCCATTTTGAGACTAATATCTTGAATAAGTAAAATTCATTTACACTACATTCTTCATCTTTTGGATGCTGTTGTACATGGAATTAATTTCCTTTTGGGATTGTTCATTGCTAAAATATAGAAATGCAACTGATTTTTACATGTTGCTTTTGTATCCTGCAACTTCCCTGAATTCGTTTATTAGCTCTAACTAATAATTATTATGGAATCTTTGGGATTTACTACATATAAAATCATGTCATCCAGAGTTTCATGTGTTATGAGGCACAGAGGGACTACCTTTTTATCATAATGTTTGTAGTAATTTTTGTCCGCAGGTCTGTTTTGTCTAATACTTGTCTAATGTTAGTATTGCCACTTCCCTCTCTTTTGGTTACTCTTTGCATGGTATGTCCTTTTGCGTTCTTTTAGTTTCACTGTACTTGTATTTTTATATTTAAAATTTGTTTCTAGTGGATAGCATATAGTTGGTTCATGTTTTCTGTTTACTCTGTAAATCTCTGCCTTTTGATTTGAGTATCTTGTTCATTTACATTTAATGCAAATATGTATGTAGTGGGATTTACATCTGTCATTTTGTTATTTGTTCTCTTTATGTCTTATATCCAGAGAGCTGATGGCCACAGCAGCTCCGGCCTGATTTCTAATAGGAGGGTTATCTAATAGAAGGATTTCAGAGCATTCCAGGGACAAGATTTGCATTTGTATGAATTTTTTTGTGTTAAAAGCCTCTTAGAACATGGTCTCAAGAAATTAGGGATGTGTTTTTCACCATCGTGTTGGTTTAAGCCTGATGTGCATCTGTGCTATTCAGCACAAGCTCACTGGGCATTTGTTTTCCTGGTCGCTCCCCCTCCAACTTTATTACGACTGCATTTCCTTCACGCACAGCCCATGCCGTGGGCTGTGGCTTGGCCCTCCATGGGGGCAGAGGTGATGTCTGTTGAACTGTGGCTCCCAGGTTTTTTAGATGGGAATAAGACAGATGTACAGTGATAGCCGCTGTGACCTTGTCATGCCCTGTTCTTTGCTTTCCCCTTCACATTCACATTTGCATCACAGGGGAGGGGGAAAAAAGCCCAAAACACTCTGAAAGCAGTGGGTTTCATCTTGAAACCTGATTCCATAGCCAAAATTTGATGCTCAGAGCCTGTGTGGTCACTCCTTGCAGTCATGTTTTCCTGGCCAGGACAGTGGGGATGAGTGTTGATTTGTCCTTGAAGATACTCACAGAAGGAGATGTGCTTGCTCTGAAGAACCACATAGCCCCACAGCTGAAGTGGTGAAGTTCTGCATTACATTTGAATCCCTGTCCAAAGCTCAACTTCTCAAGCTGTTCCTAGAAGGACCAGTCTCCACGAAACCAGTGAGCCTTAACACCACCTGGACTCATGGCTCAGTGGGGCCAGCTGCCCCCAGAGATCATTGAATAACTGTATGTGTTAAATTGAGCAGACTTGTGCATATGAACAAAAACTTCACTGACTCTTGAGAGGTAGCCTTGTTCCTGTCAAGGAGACCACAGGGATAAGGTTTTCATATGCACAAGTTGTGTTTTCTTGTTTGTCGTGATGACAGGGTGTGGAGGTGGTAGAGGTGATGTATTAGTCAGGGTTCTCCAGAGAAACAGAAGCAGCAGGATACGTGTGGATGTGCGTCTAGAGAGATTTATTTTAAGGATCTGACTCACAATTGTAGAGGCTGGCAAGTCCAGCGTTTGCAAGGCAGGCCCATAGGCTAAAGACCCGGGGAAAAGCTGATGTTGAAGGCAGCCTGGAGGCAAGATTCCCTCTTTCTTAGGAGAGGTCAGTCTTTTTTCTTTCAAGGCCTGCACTGGTTGGATGAGGCCCACCCAAATTGTGGAGGGTAATTTGTTTCATTCAGAGTCTACTGGTATAGATGTTAATCTCATCTAAAAAGTACTTTCATAGCAATGTTTAGATTGGAGTTGGACCAAAAACTGGGTACCATGGCCTGGCCAAGTTGACACATAAAAGCAACCATCACAGGGATTGATTTTTATTTTGTATTTAAATAATTTGCGTTTTATTTTTATTTATTTATTTATTTTTTGAGATGGAGTCTCGCTGTGTCGCCCAAGCTGGAGTGCAGTGGCACTATCTTGGCTCACTGCAACCTCCACCTCCCTGGTTCAAGCGATTCTCCTGCCTCAGCCTCTTGAGTAGCTGGGATTACAGGCGTGTGCCACCACGCCTGGCTAATTTTTGTGTTTTTAGTAGAGACGGGGTTTCACCATATTGGTCAGGCTGTTCTCAAACTCCTGACCTCAAGTGATCTGCCTGTGTCAGCCTCCCAGAGTGCTGACTTCTTTTCTTTTTGAGATGGGGTCTCACTGTGTAGCCCAGGCTGGTCATGAACTCCTGGGCTCAAGTGATCCTCCCACCTCAACCTCCCAAAGTGCTGGGATTACAGGAGCCACCATGCCCGGCCTTCTTGTATTTCAGTCACACATTTCAGGCTGACCTCACTGGTCACATGGAATTGACTGTGACCTGTGATGGGCACCTGAGAAGCCTCTGGAGCTCTTGGTTGCCCTGATTCTATCCCAGGCCCAGGTGGAGGGCAGATGTGCTGTGTTGTAGCTGCGGGCTGTGGTGGGGTGCTATGTTGTAGCTGCGGGCTGTGGTGGGGCCGGGCCCTGGAAGTGTGTGTGAAGACACAGGCCGGCACATGTCTTCCCACACACTGTGAGCAGGAAAGGTTCAGGTGCCCCGAGTTCTTCCTCTTCACATATGTCGGCCGCACTCCTGCAGACTTAGCCAAGACTACATGGTGGAAAGTGCGATTGGAACTCTGTGCTTCAGGAACTTTGTGATTTCATTTAGTGAGATCTGGGAGCGTGCTCTGAAGTCACCTGTCCTGAGCCCCTCAGCCAGCAGGGCTTAGTCGGGCCCTGTCCAGGCCATTGTCACTTTTGAGGAAGACTCTCCAAGATTTATAAACAGGTGGTGGGTGACCTGCCCATTGTAGTCCATAACCTGTTGCTGCCAGCAGCTCCTGGGAAGGGGCGATAGGAGAGCACTGCCTCCTTGTCCCGTGTCCCAACCGATGCTAGAGCCAGTGCTTCAGGTATTCAGGTACCTCAGGTTGCTTGGAAAAGTTTAAATAAATTATGCTTACTTATTAAGTATTCTCTTTTCATCTTTTATCAGCTTTTTTTATTGGCTCCCCTGCAGAAAAAAAAAAAGGCAGAGGTGATTTTGGGAACTGCGGCGTCCCCTCGGCATCTCTGAACATGCGCCACCGTCTGTGTGTTCATCAACGTAAAGCTGTCTGTTCTGGCTGTTGCTGTCTCATACAGTGTGTGCACCAGATGCTAGCGAGTCTTACACAGATGCTGTCGAGATGTAGGAGGCAGCGTTGCTGTGTCTGCTGCTCATCGTGGGGTCTTTCCACATGCTGCCAAGCGGGTTCCCTTTCTCCACAAACTTGGAGCGAGGGTCTCGGTGGGCTGTCATGGGTGCAGACTCTTAGTTGAGAAATCTTCAGGATGGCATTGCCTTTCTGCAGCCTGTTGTTGGCCACAACTCAGGTCCTTCTTCATCCCCGGCAGGAACAAACCCCTCCTAAGCTTTTGTGTATTTATCTGCTAAGGCTGCCAAAACACAGTACCAGCGACTGGGTGGCCTCACCACAGACATAGTATTTGCTCACAGTTCTGGAGGCTGGACATCCAAGATCACAGTGTGGGCAGGTTGGTTCCCTCTGTGGCCTGTCTCCTTGGCTTGCAGATGGCCGTCCTCTCCCTGCGTCCTTGCGTGGTCTTCTCTCTGTGTGCATCTGTGTCCTAATCTCCTTGTCTTTTTTTTTTTTTTTTGAGACGGAGTTTTGCTTTTGTTGCCCAGGCTGGAGTGCAGTGGCGTGATCTGGGCCCACCGCAACCTCTGCCTCCCGGGTTCGAGCGATTCTCCTGCCTCAGCCTTCTGAGTAGCTGGGATTTCAGTGTGTAGCTGGGATTACAGGCCCACGCCACCACGCCTGGCTAATTTTGTATTTTTTTTTTTAGTAGAGACGGGGTTTCTCCATGTTGGTCAGGCTGGTCTCGAACTCCTGACCTCAGGTGATCCACCCGCCTCGGCCTCCCAAAGTGTTGGGATTACAGGTGTGATCCACTGCACCCGACCTAATCTCCTTGTCTTATAAGGACCCAGTCCTATTGGATGAGGGCCCACCCTGATGGATTCATTTTAACTTAATTATCTCTGTAAAGAACGGAAGCATTCTGAGGTCCTGGGGGTTAAGGCTTCAACACACGAATTTTGAGAGCACACAGTTCAGCCCATAACAGTTTGTTTTGTTAAAACGTGGGCTCTTCATTATCGCCTTTGATCCCCTGGGCCAAGCCCTTGTTGATGGGGCGCCCCTGAACTCTCAGAGCCATGGACTCCTGCTGCTCTGGGGACACCAGGGCAGCGGGAAGGGGCTGGGGCCTGGTGTGTCCGCTACTAGGGAAGCCTAATTCGTTATCCCTGTTAGATAAAAATACAGGTGCTCTAGTATTTGCTTCTGTCATTCCAAGGAATCACAGTCATGCATCACTTACCAACAGGGATATGTTCTGAGAAATGCATTGTTAGGCACTTTTGTCATTGTGTGGGCATCATAAAGGGCACTTACACACACCCAGATGGTACTGCCTGCTGCACGCCTAGGCTCCACGCTAGAGCCTGTTGCTCCCAGGCCGCACGCCTGTGCAGTGTGTTACTGCAGTGAACACTGTGGTTAAGAGTATTTGTGTATCCAAGTTTACGTAAACATAGAAATGGTACAGTGACACCATCTCAGCTCACCACAACCTCTGCCTTCCAGGTTCAAGCAATTCTCCTGCCTCAGCCTCCCAAGTAGCTGGGATTACAGGCGTACGCCACCACACCTGGCTAATTTTTGTATTTTTAGTAGAGACGAGGTTTCACCACGTTGGCTGGGCTGGTCTCGAACTCCTGACCTCAGGTGATCCGCCTGCCTTGGCCTCTCAAAGTGTTGGGACTATAGGCGTGAGCCACCACACCCAGACAGTAATTTAGGATGTTTTTAAGTAATTTTAAGTTTAGAGTATTTTTACGTAAAATCTAGCACTTTTTGGTTACCTGTATGTTGATATGTTTATTAATATATGTGTACACACACACACACACACACACACACACACAATGGAATACTATTCAGCCTTTAAAAAGAAGGAAATCCTGTCATTTGTGACAAGGATAAACCTGGAAGACATTACGCTTAGTAAAATAAGCCAGGCCCAGAAAGACAGATACTGCATGACCTGATTTCTATGTGGAATCTAGAAAATTTGAGCTCATAGAAGCAGAGAGTAGAATGAGGGTCGCTGCAAATAACCCATCTGGGCAGGCAGACGGGGCTGGGGTTGGCATCCATCTCCTGCCGTTTCTCGGCTCTGTGAATTTGGACAAATCACTTTCTCTGGCCCTCAATTTCGCCGTCTCTAAAGAAGGGGTTGAATGAGCTCAGACAGCCCAAGGCTTCACGAAGTGCAAGCGGCTGAGGTGTGCTGGTGTTGAAGGTGATTGAGGACAGGGTGGGGTCCCTTTTTCCCAGAGGGAACATGGAGCCCTGTGTCTCAGGTGCCCGTGGCATCTTCGCCGGCTGCACTTGGTTCCCGACTCCCCGGGGAGCTGCCGGGCAGGGGAAACTGCCCTGCTGGCCTGGGGCACCGTGGCCGAGGTCAGCCAAAGGCCAAGACCTGCCTTCTTGCTGGGGCTGGAGGCTGCTTCCTGCCTTCCAGGCTGCGGAGTCTGCTGGCAGGGCTGCCGGGTGTGTGTGTGTGTGTGTGTGTGTGTGTGTGTGTGTGTGATGAGGTTGCGGAGTCTGCTGGTGGGGCCGCCAGTTGTGTGTGTGTGTGTGTGTGTGTGTGTGTGTGTGTGGTGAGGAGGAGTGGACTCACTCTGCATGGGGGTGGGGTAGGGTTCACATATTTTAAGCTCATCACCTGGCTGGGAAAGTAGCTGCTCTTGCTCCAGAAAGGGAAAAAAAAAAAAAAAAGTATGTGAAGTGATACATATGCGTAATAGCTCGATTTAACCATTCCACAAGGTACACATATATGTAAACCTCTGATTGTATGCAGTAAATATATACAATTTTTATTTGTCAACAATACCTTAATTTATATAAAAACATGTGAATCCATAGTTTCTGTCTCATAATAAATTAGTTTGGCCCATCCACAAAAAACAAAACCCAGCTCTTTTGCAATGATCTGAAGCATTCTGATTATAACACTGATGTTTATTCCCGGGGCTGACTGGGCCTGGAAGGTCCTTTCTACAAGCCGTCCGTATGAAGGCATGGTGTCCAGGCATCTCTCACAACTGGGGGTTAAAAGCTTTCTGCCCAGGAGTGCGTGACTCTGGGCAAAACCTTCCTCTAGGCAGACGCGGGCATGTTGTGGCCGTGCTCTGGCTGGTGAGATGGGTTCAGCCTGCGATACGTGCCAGCGTCCAGCCTGCCCGGGGCCATAGGAGTGAGGGGCGACCAAAACACACTTCCGCTCGAAGAGTCGGGGCAAGTCTGTTTGAGACATTTCCCATTCCTTTCCCTTATGTTCACAAAAAGTTTTCAGGGGGATATTTCATTCTTTCTTATGTTATGTTATGTTATGTTATGTTATGTTATGTTATGTTATTTTTGAAACAGAGTTTTGCTCTTGTTGCCCAGGCTGGAGTGCAATGGCACAGTCTTGGCTCACTGCAACCTCTACCTCCTGGATTGAAGCGATTCTCCTGCCTCAGCCTCTTGAGTAGCTGGGACTACAGGCATCTGCCACCACGCCCATCTAATTCTGTATTTTTAGTAGGGACGGGGTTTCTCCATATTGGTCAGGCTGACCTCAGGTGATCACCCGCCTCTGCCTCCCAAAGTGCTGAGATTACAGGTGTGAGCCACCGCGTCTGGCCTTTCTTACTCATTTTAAATAACTTCAAACTTATACAAAACATTGCAAAAATAAAAATAGGACAAAGAACACAATTCAAACACTTCTCTCTCCACTTGAGGCCCTTTACCTCTAGACACATCAGTGTCTATTTCCTAAGAATGAGGATGTTCTCTTGTGTGCCACAG
Source organism: Homo sapiens (assembly GCF_000001405.40). Taxonomy (NCBI): domain Eukaryota; kingdom Metazoa; phylum Chordata; class Mammalia; order Primates; family Hominidae; genus Homo; species Homo sapiens. Next base: position 60,110 of record NT_187603.1, on the reverse strand, counting down.
GACACTTGTCCACTACTGGCCCTGTTTAGAAAATGCTTGCCGAGCCCTGTGCTGGAGCATGTGTTGCCCAGGTATTCATGTGTAAGAATGTTCCTCAGAGGTCATGACAGCCAAGTGTCTGCAAATGGCATTGGTTCTGAGCAGCAGGAGACAGGACATGTAGCCTGGTTTGTTGGTTGGGTGGAATAGCACGCACACGTCAACATGGTGCTTCAGGAGCACCGCCTGGCAGCGTGCATGCGTCTCGTAATAGCAGTGGGCACAGTATGAATAGGTCAGGTGACTATATATAGATGATATCCCTTTTATAACAGCTCAACTGAAAGGTGCTTTTTAAGAATATAGATGAGCTATGGCCGGGCGTGGTGGCTCACGTCTGTAATCTCAGCACTTTGGGAGGCCGAGGCTGGTGGATCACCTGAGGTCGGGAGTTCGAGACCAGCTTGACCAACATGGAGAAATCCTGTCTCTACTAAAAAAAAATAACAAAATTTAGCCGGGCATGGTGGCGCACACCTGTAATCCCAGCTACTCGGGAGGCTTAGGCACGAGAATAGCTTGAACCAGGGAGGCGGAGGTGGTGGTGAGCTGAGATTGTACCATTGTATTCCAGCGTGGGCAACAAGAGCAAAACTCTGTCTCAAAAAAAAAAAAAAAGAAAAAAAAGAAGAATATAGATGAGATACAGTTTATGCAGAAGAAAGCAGGGGATCGATGCCTGGGGGTGCAGAGCAGGGGCTCACTGTGGATCACAAGCAGGACTCTGCCTTTCGGTGTGGGCAGTGAGTTCGCACGTCTTTGACATCATTAAACATTACTAATTATGGTGAGAGCAGGTCAGAGTCCAAGAATTATTATGTATCTGAGTCCCAGTTTTAAAAATCCTACTACCAATCAGTTTGCTGAAATTTTTATTGATCTCAAGATTACTTTTAAATGAATTATCTGAGATTACCTATAGTAGTGCTGCCTTGACACTGTTTCTCACCTGAGCAGCTGTTTGGCTTCCCATAGTGGCCACAGCAATTTGCAGAAACTGGGGCTATGATTAGAAACTGCTTCCTTCCCTGGGCCTGGGCTGGCAGACTTCTTCCTCCTTGGTAAATTTAGAAGTGAAACAGGAAATTCCAAAGGGAAAAGCTAATATGATAAAAAGTTAAAACTTAGTTTCAAAGAAAATAGTAAGTGAAATGAAAAAGAAAGTAGCTTGACCTGGAAAAAGTTTTGTAGCAATTCTCACAAAGCTTTAATATCTTTAACGTTGTTAGTATAGTAAGTCCATCTGTCAGTTGCTGAGGAAAATACCAAGATTCCAAGGATTTTAAAAAAACAAACAGGCAAACAACCCAAGCTGGCAAGTTACAAATGAAGAAAAACAGGCAGGGGGAAGTGGCTCGTGCCTGTAATTTCAGCATCTTTGGGAGGCTGAGGCTGGAGGATCTCTTGAGCTTAGGAGTTCAAGACCAGCCTGTGCAACAAGGCAAGACTCTGTCTCTACAAAAATTCAAAAAAATTAGCCAGACGTGGTGGTGCACGCCTGTAGTCCCAGCTACCTGGGGGGCTGAGGTGGGAGGATCACTTGAGCCTGAGAAGTTGAGGCTGCAGTAAGCTGTTATCACACCACTGCACTTCAGCCTGGTTGACAGTGAGACCCTGTCTCAAAAAAGAAGAAAAACAAACTGGTTAATGCATAGAAATATGTTTCATCTCAGTGATAATACAAGAAATGAAAATTAAGGCCAGGCACAGTGGCTCATGCCTGCAATCTCAGCGCTTTGGAAGGCCAAAGCCGGCGGATCACTTGAGGTCAGGAGTTCGAGACCAGCCTGGCCAACATGGTGAAACCCCGTCTCTACTAAAAATACAAACATTAGCCCGGCATGGTGGCGAGCCCCTGTAATCCCAGCTTCTCGGGAGGCTGAGGCAGGAGAATCACTTGAAGACAGGAGGCGGAGGTTGCAGTGAGTCGAGATCATGCCACTTGCACTCCAGCCTGGGTGACAGTGAGACTCCATCTTAAAAATAAATAAAATATAAATAAATAAATAAATAAATAAATGAAATACAAATTAAAAGAACATTCAGATTAAATTATAAAAACAGAAGTGACCCCTGGATTCTGTTGGGAAGCGCCATGCTACTGTCCGGCTCCACCTTGTTCGTGGGCCCCCGTAGGAGGGCACCTGGCCCAAAGCCACCTGCAGCTTTAGAGACATTGTGTGACCTAAGAAACCTCCTGGGATGTGCTGCTAGGAAAGTCATCTGCAAACACACTCCAGGCTTTTCCGCCCAGATGTGGTATTGTCAGGCTTGTCTCATGCCTAAGCAGGAGGAGGGCGGGCCGCCCTGAAGCAGGCTGCGGTTCATGCATGGGCCAGTGGTGTTTCCTTCACATGTTCTGGATGTGCAGGTGTTGCTGTAATGGTGGAAAAGATTTATATGACCTCAGTGAAAGAGCTGCTTTCTGCTTTTGTTCCTTTGATGGACAGCTAAATGGCCTGGATACCTTTCCCACAGTTTTCGTGAAGACCCGGAGCTTTAAGATCAGGATTCTGGTTTACCTGAGAAGCTCCCCGTTAGGTCCCTGCTCGGTTCACAGTCACTGGGGATGTTCTGTGGCACCGCCTGCTTATGGAGCTCCTGTCTCTGCAGGACGTCTCCGGCAAGGTGCCTGGGACATCCCAGAGCACGAGCCCGCTGAAATGGGGCACCCGAAGGCACAGACCACCCCACTGCGTGGGACCTGTGAGGTGTCTTGGTGCATGTGGAGGAAGCTGGTGAGGTTGATGCTGGTGTTTCCAGCCCAAGTGTCTTGACAGCAGGACCCTTGATAGAGATTGGGGAGTGAGGTGTAGTGTAGGTGGTAGCTAAGGTCATGGGCTTGACCTCAGGCTGGAGGCAGTAGGGGATCCCAGGAGACACTCTGCCCACGGGCTGGGCACAGTGGTGGAGCCCGGGAGACACTCGGCCCACAGGCCAGGCGCAGTAGGGGAGCCTGCAGCTCCTCGTGGGTGCACTTGGTGCAGGAGAAGGGCTGGGCTGCTACTGGGCTATGCCAGACCCTGGCAGGGCCAGGCCACATCCAGGCCAGCCACGTGGGGATTCGGGGATTCAGGTCCTTACAGGGGAGGGAGAGACAGGAAAAGAACAGGCACATCAGGAGGTGTGGATGCTGGGTGAAGATGATCTGGTGGCTGCCGTGTAGCCTTTGGTCATCAACCTGCACCCTCCTGGGCCCTGAGAGGAGAACCTGAGAGGCTGGTGGGGAGGGGGAGCACGGGGCTCGATCGCCCGTGGCGCCTGTTCCTCAGCCGGGCGCCGCAGGACCCAGCAGATACACGGTCTGTTGGGCACAGTGATAAGGTGGGGGACAAGGTGGGTGGCAGCCAGTTCCCTTTCCTTCAAGCCGCAGGAATCAGAGCAGGCTGAGAGCCCCCAGCCAGAATGGCCAGCGGTGGAATTGCTTTGTCAAGCGCCCGAGGTCATGCTTGGTGCCCAGCCGAGCCCATGGCCTCCTGAGCAGGCGGGACTGCCCGGCCATGCGGGCCATGCCACTGAGGCACGTGAGGCAAGCCACGGGGCTGCGGCAGCTCCCTGTCCCTCTGGGCTCAGTGTCGGCATCTGTGAATGGGGACCCCCACTCTTCTCCTGAGCGTGGGAGCGCCCCCTCTGTGGTGTGACTGTCCTCCCGGAGACCGCCATGGTGGGTCTGCCCTAACAGAAAGAGTAGGTGGAGCGGGAAACGCTGTCTTCTTCCCTTTGTGCCTTTTAAACATGCACTGGATTCGGGTGAAAGATGAAGGAATGGCCGTCGTCGAGGAGCACTCCTTAATTGTTTATGCTGTCTGTGTGTTGCCCAGGTGCACACAGGTGGGAAAGAAACAGCCCCTCCCACCAGCCTGATCCCTACCCAACCCAGGCATCTGCCAGGTGGGCTGATGGAGCTTCCCCGAGCTCATCTGTGTGCCTGGTAGCCCAGCCCTGGGCTGAGGTGCATGTTCTCATTGTCCTGAGGGCCCCACCTGGGGCAGTGGGACTGGTGGATGGCACAGCGGGTCCTCCATGGCCCAGGGGTGTGGGAGATGGAGGGAGGCCCTTGGGTGTTCTATGAGCGATTGAGACTTTATTCTGTGGAATACTGGGCCCCATCTCTGCCTTTTATTAATTATTTTAGCATCCGAATAGTTTTTTTCATACAAATTTGACAGATAAAGACAGAACTGCTCTCCCTTGCCCTCCTGGGGCACTCTGGGGTTTCATGGCGCATGGTTTGAAAACCACAGCTGTAGGCAGAGAGAGCCAGTGAAAGCGTGAGCAGGAGAGTGACAGGAAGAGAAGCAGAGGTGAGTGCAGGTTTGGCGGTGCCTGGGGGATCAGAGGGAAGCCTGGGGGAGGGCGATGTTAGGAGGTTGTGAGACCACTTGGTCTTGGGAGACCCCTCCCAGAGGCAGCCTGACCCTGGCCGAAGGGGCTGCAGCCCCAAGGTGGGGGGCGGAGGCCATGTGGCGTGGAGACGTGCTCTCTTTCAGGGTTCCTTGGCACACTGTTTTAGATGTCAGCACCTCATTGTGATTTTCAAACTTGATTTCTGTTTCTCTGTTGATGAGGCTGTTCTTTTGAGCTGGTTTTGAGTGGCCGCTTTTGAGGATGGAATTTGAAGTTTTTGTGCATTAAAGAAAGCAGATTACCTCACACCTGTAATCCCAGCACTTGGAGAGGCCGAGGCAGGCAGATCACCTGAGGTCAGGAGTTCAAGACCAGCCTGACCAACATGGTGAAACCCCGTCTCTATTAGAAATACAAAAATTAGCCAGGTGTGGTGGCGGGTGCCTGTAATCCCAGCTACTTGAGAGGCTGAGGCAGGAAAATTGCTTGAACCTGGGAGGCAGAGGTTGCAGTGAGCCGAGATTGCGCCAGCCCGGGTGACAAGAACGAGACTCCATTTCAAAAAAAAAAAAAAAGCAAATTACTTCAGTAATAAAGCTAGTCTAGAAGATGTTATATTGGTTTTTAACTATGCACTGTTTGCCTTGCTGGTCATGACAGCCTGTTTCTGTGCTGCAGCCGTGCGGTCAGGCCGTTTAACCTGGGGAAAACCAGCTGCAGCCATGCTGGCGCGGTCCCCTGCTTCCAAATACAGAAGAGCACATTCTTTCTACACCTGGGAGAGAAAGGGACAGCAAAGTATGCTTTTCTTCTTCAGATGATTTATTTTATGCCTATTTTACATGAACAGCTTGCACAAAAATATTGGAAGTTTCTACTTTTCTGGGAAGTGCCATCATTTTGCATATAGAAGAGGAAGAAAATCAGCTCATGCCTTGTGCACGTTTGCAGAAACATTTCATAGTTTGTCTTTGTTTGATTATGCTGTTTAGCTGGACAAGTGGAATGCTTACAAGTTGTAACATTTTTTGTTTTTTGAGATGGAGTCTTGCTCTGTTGTCCAGGCTGGAGTGCAGTGACACGATCTCGGCTCACTGCAAGCTCCGCCTCCTGGGTTCACGCCATTCTCCTGCCTCAGCCTCCCTAGTAGCTGGCACTACAGGCGCCCGCCACCATGCCTGGCTAATTTTTTGTATTTTTAGTAGAGGTGGGGTTTCACCGTGTTAGCTAGGATGGTCTTGATCTCCTGACCTCGTGATCCACCTGCCTCGGCCTCCCAAAGTGCTGGGATTACAGGTGTGAGCCACTGCGCCCGGCCAATTTTTTGTATTTTTAGTAGAGATGAGGTTTCACCGTGTTAGCCAGGATTGTCTAGATCTCCTGACCTCGTGATCCGCCTGCCTCGGCCTCCCAGAGTGCTGGGATTACAGGCGTGAGCCACCGTGCCCGGCCACAAGTTGTAAAATTTTTAAATGACTGGTTTAGAAATGCTGGGAAGACCCTCTTTCTAGCAAAGCATCTCTCCACCTGTCTCAGTGCGGGCTGCAGTGGCGGGAGTTAGCGTCAGCGTGCCGCCTGCCACAGCACTGCCGCCTGCGTGGCACCGACGCCTTCGCTTCTGCATTTTCTGGATTGTGGCTTCTCCACATTTTGCAACCTTGGTGTTGAGCTGTCTTGGCAGTTTCTATTTTAACACCTAAAGAGATGACTGTTCGGTCCCTGTGAAAAACTCCCTCTTGACCTAGGGTGGAAAGAGAAGTAAATACGTCTCAAAAGTTTATCCTCTAATGTGGTAAAATACAAGGTCCCTCCGTGGCCAGGGGCTGGCTGGAGCGGGCAGTGCACGTTGTCCCTGTGTGTGCAGCCACCATTCTGCTGTGTGCTCGCTGGCATCTTGGGAGCCTGGGCCCGGCCAGAGTGGCCGCATGCACACTGCTGTCTCGGGGCGGCAGTGGGGCCGTGGGGCCATCTGGATGGTGTGGCCACCCGTTCCCCCTTTACCAGCCCCCACCCTTCCTGGCCACCTGCCCCGAGCCTCCCCTGAGATGCCCCGTCTCCAGAGCCCCTGACTTGTTTGACTCCTTTGTTTTGTCTGGTGTCCAAGGCCGGTTTCCCACGGGGCCTGTGTTCTCCCAGGGATGCTGGCTTATTGAAGACACACACTCTCACACACATACACACTCACACATACAAACTTTTTTTTTCCTTTTCCCTTTTAATCTCTTGGCACCACCTCTGCTTCCAGGTTAAAGTTAGTCTTGGCTGCTTTAATTTCCATTTGTTTTTGCAGCCTAGTAGTGTCTTTTTTCATTTTCAAGACTGTTGAGTTATGCCAGGACTCAGGGTTATGACCTACTGACTGAGCTGCCTGCTGAGCACGAGAGACATCTCTTTCTTCCCAGCCACCTGCCCTCATGCTGCTCAGACACAGGGAAAAGGACCAAATCACATTTATTTATTTTTTTTGAGACAGAGTCTCACTCTGTCGCCCAGGCTGGAGTGCAGTGGCGCGATCTCAGCTCACTACAACCTCCGCCTCCTGGGTTCAAGTGATTCTCATGCCTCAGTTTCCCAAGTAGCTGGGATTACAGGCACCTACCACCATGCCCAGCTGATTTTTGTATTTTTAGTAGAGGAAGTATTTCGCCATGTTAGCCAGGCTGGTCTCAAACTCCTGACCTCAAGCCTCGGTCTCCCAAAGTGCTGGGATTAGAGAAGTGAGCCACTGTGCCCAGCCCCAAATCACATTTAAAAAAAATTCTGTTGATTCACTGTTCTTTTGAATCATGTGTTTGAAGCATGTGATGATTGTGAGGTTTTACAAAAATCACCCTCCCATCTCCTGGGATGTCTGCTGTGTGGAGAAGTGAGGTCCAGGGTCTCTCTGGGAACTGGGTTCCCCAAGGGCAGCATGGGGAGGCACTGGCTGATGCCCTGAGCCCGTGAGCTTGCAGGGGGAGTGTGGCGAGGGCTGGCCACATCTAGATGGGTTAAAGACCAGGAGCCTGGGCGGATCTGCCCGTTTTCTAGTTGGTGGAAGCACTGGTGCATGCCTCCTTTGCCTTTGCCCCTTGGCCTGCTGTCTCCAACTTTCTCCAGCATCTTCAGGGCTCTGCTGGGGCCAGCAGGGCAGGAGAGGGGTTGGGTCCTTGACCCTGCTCCCCTGCCTCCCCAGCCCCTGCTGCCTGCCCACGCCGGGGCAACTCTGTCTGTGGCTCCAGCTCCGTGCTGCCTCTGTCCTGCCCCTCAGGCCTAAATCGGTCTCCAGCACCTCACTCGCACTTGGAAAGTGGCCATCTGTACCTCTGTGCCTCTGGCCTTGACCCCCTGGGTGGGCACCCGGCACTGGGTCAGGGCGGTTCTCAACCTTGCTCTGTGGCTGTGGGCCCTGGGGCAGCTGGCGACCCCATCCAGCCTCCCTCCACTCATTTGCCAATGTGTCAGGGTGGCCTCCACCTTAAGGCAGCTGTGAGGACCACTTCTTGAGACTGCATCTGTGTGGATCTGAGGCTGAGGGGCAGCCAGTGACATGTGGAAGAAAGGAGGTGGACCCATGGAGCCCCCAGCATGCCCTGTAGGCACTGCCCTTCAAGTGGGTGGCACTGGGAACCTTTGCCTCCTGCCCACCGTGGGTCCCTTGAAGCCCATCTGGGGTTCCACGATCCAGCAGGTGAGTGAGGTGTGCAGCATGATGTGAGCTCAGACACGGAGCCAGTCTGCCACCGCCCGGTGGATGTTGCTCACTCTGTAAACTGCCCTGCAGCTGCCTAGAGCAGAGGTGCATCCCGACCCATGAGACACTCAGAGATTGACCCGGGACTCTGAGGACATCACTGGAAGAGCAGCCAAGTATGATGATGTCCTCCTTTGAAATCTTTATTTTTAAAAACTCTTAAATTTACAAAATAAACGAACTGATGGCTTATTAAAACAGCAGTTCCCCTACCATATTTAAATTCATTTTTATATCTTGACAAGCTATAGGATTTGGAATCAAACATGAGGGTTCAGAACTGCTGCTGATAGAAAATCAGTCAGGGAAGGAAAAAACATCTCTTTATGTTGTTCAATGACATAAACCGAGGGTGGGCATGTTATTTTTGGGTCGGTTCGCCGCCTGGGGAGGCCGGGGGCACAGGCAGCTGGAACTGTGGCATGGTAGCGCCTTGTGACCGAGCTCATGCAGGTCTGGCTGGCTTGTTTTGTTCCCAGCAGTGTGCTCTTTCTGCATGGAGCACGTATTATTTTCATGATCAGCAAAATACCAGCTCGTGTGGGTTCTTACCCGGCAGACAGCGCAGGGAATCTGCGTCCCACCTGGGTGACTCCGTCCTACCTGTTCTTGGCTCTGTGTTCATTTGCCAGGGCTACCATTAACAAAACACCACAGATCAGGCAGGAATTTCTTTCTCTCAGTTCTGGAGCTGGGAGTCTGAGATCAGGGGGCCAGCAGGGTTGGCCTCTCTTGTGAATGGCCACCTTCTCTCTGTGTCCTCTCGTGGTCTTCCCTCTGTGCCTGGTCACGCATTGCCCTGCTCTGATCAGGCCCCAAGCAGTGGACATCAATGTACCTGTCCACACGAGCTGAACGAGCAGAGACAGAAATGCGATCCTATTGTTTTTGTTTTTGTTTTTGTTTTTTTGAGACAGTCTTCGCTCTGTCACCCAGGCTGGAGTGCAGTGGCGCGATCTTGGCTCACTGCAAGCTCCGCCTCCCGGGTTCACGCCATTTTCCTGCCTCAGCCTCCCGAGTAGCTGGGACTACAGGCGCCCGCCACCACGCCTGGCTAATTTTTTTGTATTTTTAATAGAGACGGAGTTTCACTGTATTAGCCAGGATGGTCTCGATCTCCTGACTTCGTGATCCACCCGCCTCGGCCTCCCAAAGTGCTGGGATTACAGGCGTGAGCCACTGCACCAGGCCCTGATCCTATTGTTAAACTCTAAAGTGCTGGCTAGTAGCACCGGCAGAACAGTTTGTATGCCGTTCCAAATACGTGACTTTAATTATGCTGTTGGATATTTGCACTGTGGCAGCCACTTATAAAGGCTGGTCAGATACAACTGAGGCTCCATTCCAAGGGCAGTGGACACTGGCTTTGCAGTGACCAGGCCAGACCTGGTGCTCCTGCCTGGGAATGGGGGCTTCTTAGACACAGAAGGAGACTAGAGGCTGTGCTGGATGCTGGTGCTGGGGGAAAATCCCTGTGGGACGTGGCATTCATGGGAGGACAAAAGGAGGGCCGGAAAAAATCCCAGGGTGCAGGCGGCTGGAGTCACGCATTGCCTTTGTTCTCTAGCAGTGGGGTGCAGGGTCCGCTGGTGGCAGTTAGAGAGCAAAGTAAATGCACTTGAAAGAGCTTTGGGAGGTGGAACTGTGAGGAGTCAGAGAACAAGATGGGATGAGACATGAGCTCTGATGTGCCTGTGTGGAGTGGACACCGCCAGGGCCCCCACGCTGGCTCTGTAGGTGGCACCCAGGCCAGACCCTGCACCCACGCTGCCAGGGCTGAGACCTTGGAGACTTGGATTTAGAGCTGATTACTCCAAGTCCGCCTAACAGGGTGAGGCAGAAGCTGTGCAGATTCGCATCTATGGAAGATGCACGGACGGAGAGCCCTTGGAAGCGGGCCGGGCCCAGGCCGTGTGCGTGCGGTGACAGCTGCTTGGCATCACACACCAAGGCGGATGTGGGAGGGCTGCCTATGATCATGAAAAACCTGAAATATGAAAATGTGAAGAATAGGAGAGAACAGCAGTTTGCCACAGCAGGGCCCTGGCCAGCACTCCGCACGGTGCTCTGATGACTTGAGAAATTTTGTGGAAGCTGGGAGAAAGAAAGAGCTTACAAAGCAGTTTGTATGACAGTATCTTGTTTTTGTAAGGGACAGTGGGATGATTGATGATAGGTTTTCTTTTTCCTTTTCCATGTTTTCTGATTAATCAGCATCAAACATTGCTATTTTTGATTGTAGTAAAATATGCATAACATAAACTTTACCCCCATGTTTACCTTTTTTTTTTTTTTTTTTTTTTTTGAGATGGAGTCTCACCTCACTCTGTCGCTGGGGTTGGAGTGCAGTGGTGCGATCTCAGCTCACTGCAACCTCCGCCTCCTGGGTTCAAGTGATTCTCCTGCCTCAGCCTCCTGAGTAGCTGGGATTACAGGCACCTGTCACTATGCCCAGCTAATTTTTTGTATTTTTAGTAGAGATGGCGTTTCACCATATTGTCCAGGCTGGTCTCGAACTCCTGACCTCGTGATTCGCCCGCCTCGGCCTCCTGAAGTGCCAGGATTATAGGCTGGAGCCACCGCGTCCTCCCCCATCTTCACCATTTTAAGTGTATAGCTCAGTGGCGTTAAGTACATTTCACCTTATTCTGCAACCACCACCACTGTCCAGCTAGAGCGTTTCATCTTTCCAAGCCGAAACTCTGTATCCACTAAACACCAACTCCCCAGCCCAGCACGCAGCCCCTGTCACCACTGTTCTCCTTTCTGTCTCTGAGTTTGACCACTTTAGGTAATTCATATGAGTGGAATCATGCGGCGTTTTTTCTTTTGTGACTGGCGTATTTCACTTAGCCTAAGGTCGTTAAGGTTCAACCATGTTGTAACTTGTCAGAATTTCCTTTCTTTTAAGGCTAACATTCCACTGACCACATAAATACTGTTATTTTTATACAAAGAAAGAAGTCTGCAAGCACTGGCTTGGAACAAGCTGCGCATCTGGCGTTTTTCCATGGGTTCAACAAGCTGCGTATCTGGTGTTTTTCCGTGGGTTCAACAAGCTGCGCATCTGGCGTTTTTCCGTGGGTTCGACATCAGTGGTCCCTGCTGTGGATCACAGCTGACGCACGAGCAGTTCTCCCCCGAGCCTGTCTGTGGCGCCCCTCCCCACCTTCCTCCACCATGGGGTCATCTTGGCCTCTCCTGGGCAGAGGCCGGGGAGGAAGGCGAGTCCCTGTGGGTGCTGCGCGGGGTCAGGGGCTGTTGCCATGTGGGATCTGTGGCTTCCCAGGGTGCTCGGTCCGACCTGTCTTCTTGTTGACCCGCGTGGGGCCCGGGCATGACTGGACACGCCCCCAGGCCTCTCCTGGCACTATCTGGGTTCAGGCCGCAGAAAGGGCAGACTGCGGGACTCTGGGCTGGAGTCGCAGGACACGGGCAGCCCCTATGGGGCCGAAGCACGTCCTCAGGCAGCCTGGCCCCTCCGAGCGGCATCACCCTGAGGTGCCTGCGTGGACACCAAGGGCAGGCCCCCCATGCTGGCTCTGCAGGCAGCGCTGGGGCTGGACCCTGCACCCACCCGGCCGGGGCTGCCCTGCACTGCTCCTTTCTGAGGTGTGTGGAACAGGAAGCTGTGATGTGGAGGGAAGTGGACGAGAGTTTCTGCTACATGTAGATTTCTAGTGAGGAACATGCAGCAGTGACCGGCTGCGGTCGGGGGCGTTCCCTTACGTGTCGGGGAGGTCCAGGTGGCTGGCGGTGCGGCCGGTGCCTCTGTTCTCCCTCATTTCCAGTCAGTTCCTGAGAAAATGGGTGGCGTCTCCAGCCGCCATTGGGGATTGGCCTGCAATTGTTTCCATGTATCTGTGGAACCGGCCCAACACCCCGCGTGGATGCCTGAGCCTGGAGACTGTACTGAACCCTGCGTAGTCTATGTTTTTCCGTACTTGCATACCAGTGACGAACTTTAATTGGTAAATTAGGCACGGTAAGAGATTACAATAATAATAGAACAGTTGTAACAATATACTGTCATAAAAGTTATGTGAACGTGGTCTCTCTCTCTCTCTCTTGCCCTTTGGTGCCCGCCGTGAGATGGCGGTGAGATGGGCGGCGCAGGCATTGCAATGCAGCCTTAGGCCGCTGCTGACCTTGACCAGCCTGGCCATACCGCTGCAGTCCCATGCTGGCGACCCAGCCGGCTACTGTGTGGCTCACAGGCGGGTCGCACATACAGCGTGGACACGCTGGACAAGGGGATGGTTTGTGTCCTGGGTGGGAGGAGCAGGACGGTCTGAGAGTTTATCATCCTACTCAGAACAGCGCACAGTTTAAAACTTACGGAGTGTTTGTGAATGGAGTTTTCCGTTTAATATTTTTGGAGTGCAGTTGACCTCTGGTCATTGAAATCGTGGAAAGTGAAACTGAGATTCGGGGGTGGCTATGGCATTTCTTCTTCCAGCTCTGTCAGCTTGTGCCTAGTGTAACGTGAAGGAAGCTTTTTGGCCGGGTGCATTCACATTGAGGGTTGTTCTGGCTCCTTGGGGAGCTGACCCCTTCCTTCTCTCTCTCTGATGAGTTCCTTGCTCGGAGGCTGGCTGGGTCTGGTGCTGACAAAGCCACCCCAGCTTCCTTTTGGCCAGCGCTTGCCTGGTTCACCTTTTTCCCCTTTTGCTTTCGACTTACCTACCTGTATCAGTATATTTGAAGTAAGTTTCTTGTAGATGGCATATGGTTGGGTTAGGATTTTATTTATCTGTTCTGACAACCTCTTCTAATTGGTGTTTTTAGATTATTATGATAGTGTAATTATCAATGTGTTTCGATTCAGGTCTACCATTTTATTATCTGACTTCTGTTAGATCACTATCTTTATCATTGCTCTATTTCCTTTTAGGTTTTTAAAAACATAGTATTCTGTTTTAATTTATTCTAAATTATATGTTATCTATTTTGCTTTGGATAGCTTTTTTAAAAAGTATGTTAATTTTTCTTTTTTTAAAAGAGGCAGGATTTCACTGTGTTGCCCAGACAGGCCTTGAACTCCTGGACTCAAGTGATCCTCCCTTCTCAGCCTCCCAAGTAGCTGGGACTGCAGCGCCTGGCTGTACAGCTTTCTTCGGTGGTTGCTCTAAGGATTTCGAAGTCCATGCTTATTAACATTTCATATTCTGCTGAGGATCTGAAAAGTCTGCTTTTTACTACTTCTAGTGGGACATAGAAATCTTACCCCATCCAGGTTTCCCCTCCCCCTTTTAGATTACAGTTGTCTTGTTTATATGATTTATACAATTATATACCTAGAAATATTTTATAATTTACTTGTTATGTATTTGTGTAATTTACATTTATGTACACTGAAAGGCCCATTAGACAGTACTTTGATTTTTGCTTTTAACCGCCAAGCACTTTGGAAGAGCTGTGGGGTCGTTGTGTGTCCTGCGCCCTCGCCGCTTAGCCTGCCTACTGCCTCTGCTTTGTGGTTCGTAGCCCATGCCTCCTTCCACCTCCCTTCCTGTCAGCCTGTACCGCTGGCCAGCATGCTCTTTGTTTTCCTCCTCTGCCCACGTCCTGGCTTCACCTTCCTTCCTGGAAGACACGTTCCCATCTTGAGGGAGGATCCCAAGTTGGCACCTCCCCCCTTTAGGCTTAGGCGCATTGTGCCCGCCTTCCGGCCCGCCTGGTCCCCGCTTTAGGCTTAGGCACATTGTGCCCGCCCTCCGGCCTGCCTGGTCCCCGGGGGGAATCCGCGGCCCTCCCACTGTTGCTCTGTGCTCTGCTGAGCGTCATTTCTCCTGCTGTTTTCAAGATCCGTTTTCCTTTATCTTTAGTGTTCAGCAGTTTGACCGTGATGTGTCTGGGTGTGGATTTCTTGTTTGTCTTGTTTGGGATCCATAGAGCTTCTTGAATCTGTAGACAAAAGACTTTCTCCAAATTTAGGGTGTTTTCTGTCATTTTTTTCAGCTGTTTTTCATCACTGCTTGGTTTCCCCTTTTCCTTTTGCACTCTCATGGCACAGATGTTAGACCTTCTCTCTTGTCCCGAAGATCCCCAAAATTTTTTCAATCTTTTTTCTCTCTGGTATTCAGATTAGAAAACTTAACATTGCTCTATCTTCAAGTTCACTGAATCTTTCCTGAGGTTTTTTTTTTTTTTTTACATTTCAGTAGTGTGTCTTTTAGTTTTGAAATTTCCATTTGGTTCTTCTTTATATCTTGTTTTGTTTGCCTTTTGCTGATTTCCATTTTTTCATTCAGTTTGGGAGTGTTACAATCGTTAGAGCATTTCATAGCACAGTAGTTGCTTTAAAGTCGGGTGGATAATTGCAGCACCTGTGTTATTTTGGCATCTGTTGATTCTCTTTTCCTGTAGGAGCCCATACGTTCCTCGTTCTTTGTGTGCTGAGTAATCTGGGCTGTAAGTGGATGGTTGGATGTTATGATATGAGATCTGGGTCTTGTTAAAATCCTAGGAGGATGTTGATATTTTTATTTTAGAAAGCAAACACCCTGAGGAGACTTGGGCTGTGGTTCTGACTTGCCTTCAGTGGGTGGCAGCTCCATGTCAATTCTGGCTTCACAGCCTCCTGCACTGCCACTTGGACTTGCCCCCTGTGTGCCGCTGGTGGCTGTCTGGCTGTGGTCTCAGGGTTTGGGGTGTGAAGAGGATCAGATCCACACCCCTGCAGCTTGAGGATGGGCTTGAAGCTCATGAGCAATTTTGTCGGCTGGCTCTTCTGAGCTGCTTCCTCTCCACACTGCCACTGGGGCTTCCTGGGTCCCTGGAGAGCTTCCCTTCTCCACCCTCAGCCAGTGCAGTGGGACTGACTACCCGTTCCACTGTGCACCTCCATGCCTGCGCCAGTGCTGGAGGAGGGATTTGGGGCTCCTTCTGTTCAGTGTCTCCTCCAGGCCACCTGCTGCTCTTTCCTTCATAGAATGTGGCTCAGCTGCCCCTGGTCCCATCCCAGGGCAGAGCTCCTCCTGAGTACCCTTGAGACTGGAGCAGATTCAGCAGAAGGCAGATTGCCCCCTCTCCCTGGAGCTGGCTCTGAAGGTGTGTTTAGACGATGTCTGCCTTCATTTCTGCACCTCTGCTCCAGCTGCGGTGTGGCACTTTCTGTCCCCTGCGGCAGCCCCATACTCCTTGCAATCTCAGCCTGTCTGTGCAGCTAGACAGCTGGTGTTGGGCGGCAGGGCGCTCGTCTTTTCCATGTCAGGCCCTAGTGTGTTTGGAGGCACCACCTGGGAGGTGGCTGCATTTAGGGAGGCTCTGCTGGGCAGATGTGGCATTGGAGAGGTGCTGCCCCTCCAGCACTTTGAGGGGGTCGTCAGACCCTCGAGAGAGTCCTCAGCACCAGCAACTCAGGACGGCGGCCCCCATGGTGGGAAGGATGGCAGGAACCATGTGCCCCATACTGTGACCCTCCTGGAGGCCAGGAGAGCCTGTTCTCAGCGAGTGTGGAAGGATAAGCTGCACAGGGCCTCCCAGCCTGCTGGCCCACGTGCCCTGAGAGAGACACGCAACTCCCAAGGACTGATCATGCCCCTGTCAGCCATGTCCGGTGCCCTCGGGAGAGCGGGAAGGGGTTAGAGGCCTGGGTACCCAACCTCGAAGCTTGTTGGGTGTCCCCTCCTTCTCCTCACAGAACAGGGGTCCTTATGTGTTGTTCCAGCCCAGGATGGCGGCCCAGGTGACTCTGGAGGACGCGCTGTCCAACGTGGACCTCCTGGAGGAGCTGCCCCTGCCTGACCAGCAGCCCTGCATCGAGCCCCCGCCATCCTCGCTGCTCTACCAGGTGGGTGCCCAGCAGCTGCAGGGCGTACAGCCTGTGCTCCGACCCCACATGATGTTTTTCTCTTCCTTTCCTTCAGCCAAATTTCAACACTAACTTTGAAGACAGAAATGCATTTGTTACTGGCATCGCAAGATACATTGAACAAGCCACCGTCCACTCTAGCATGGTAATGTTGCGGTGTGTCTTTGTTTCTCTCTGCAGAGAAGGGCGTGTTTGAAGGACAGATGTATACTTTTTGGTATTATCCCAATAGACTATGCAGTGAGGAAAAAGAGAAGAAAATGAATGAAATGCCTTATATTTTTAAGACAGTCTTTGCTTTTCTTAGTATAAAAACAATACATGCTGGTTCTGAAAATTCAATGTCTCTGGCCCAGAGAAAACCTTTGTCAGCGTTTCAAGGGTGCGCCTGCCCTGTTAATGCTCATTCCCTCTCCAGATCTGCACCCACACACACCAGGTATGTGCCCATATGAGATTTAGATTTATAAATGAATTGCATTGTTATTATAGTTCTGCTTTTTTTTTGAGACAGAGTCTTGCTCTGCCACCCAGGCTGGAGTACAGTGGCGCGATCTTGGTTCACTGCAACCTCCGCCTCCCAGGTTCAAGCAGTTCTTGTGCCTCAGCCTCCCGAGTAGCTGGGACTACTGGCGCCCACCACTACGCCCAGCTAATTTGTGCATTTTTAGTAGAGACAGGGTTTCACCATGTTGGTCGGGCTGGTCTCGAATTCCTGACCTCAAGTGATCTGCCCACCTTAGCCTCCCAAAGTGCTGGGATTACAGGCATGAGCCACCACACCTAGCTAGTTCTGCATTTTAATGATCTCATCAACAGGTTTTCTTTCTTTCTTTTTTTTTTTTGAGATGGTCTCACTCAGGTTGCCCAGGCTAGAGTGCAGTGGTGTGATTAGGGCTCACTGCAGCCTCAACCTCCCGGGTTCAAGCAATCCTCCCACCTCTGCCTCCTGAGTAGCTGGGACTACAGGCACACACCACCATGCCCATCTACTTTTTTGTGTTTTTTGTAGAGGCGAGGTCTCACCATGTTGCCCAGGTTGGTCTTGAATTCCTGGACTCAAGGAATCCGCCTGCCCAGCCTCCCAAAGTACTGGGATTACAGCCTGAGCCACTGCACCTGGACAAGAATATTTTCATGCCATGAAAATGTGCTAGAGAAAGCAATCCTTAATGGCTACGTAAACCATTTTGTAAATGTCCACAATTCAACTATTTTTGCGCATTGACTTCCTCTTTTATGTCGTATAATAAAAAAATGCTGTAGGCTGGGCGCAGTGGCCCACGCCTGTAATCCCAGCATTTTGGGAGGCCAAAGTGGGCAGATCACCTAAGGTCAGGAGTTCGAGACCAGCCTGGCCAACATGGTGAAACCCTGTCTCTCCAAAAAAAAAAAAATACAAAAATTATCCAGGCATGGTGGTGCGCACACCTGTAATCCCAGCTACTCAGGAGGCTGAGGCAAGAGAATTGCTTGAACCCGGGAGGCAGAGGTTGCAGTGAGCTGAGATCGTGCCACTGCACTCCAGCCTGGGGGACAGAGCAAGACTCGTCTCAAAAAAAAAAAAAATACTGTGATGAACGTCTCACTAAATAAAGGCTAGATTTAAGAGCATCTATTTGATTTTTTCCAAAGGAAACGATGTTAAAGAGTGGAAAGCAAAAGCAGTTTTACAGCAGTGATGACAGTCCTCTTCCCATGGACTCTCTACCTAGATTTTAAGTGCTGTGGGCGTGCTCCTAACTTTTCCTCCTGCACACCCGGGGCTGGCAGCCCTGCCTCTAGTCCTCTCTGGGACCGGGAGGCCCTGTGAGCCAGTGAGGAGGCCATGGGGATCCTGTGTGTGCTCACACCGGGCAGGGCGTCTGCCCTGAGCCCTTCCTCTGTGTTCCTAACTGCAGGTCTCATGGCCAGCAGGTTGTTGAGGGCTGGGTGGAGCCAAGGTGTAACGCCTGTGGCACCCCTCAGAGATGCCTGCGTGTCACTGACACCCCTCTCGCCTGCAGAAGCCATGGGGTGTTTTGGGTGGTTATTGTGGCCCCCAGCGCCGCACCTCAGTGTCACTAGCTTCTGGCAGCCGTCTCTTGGCACACAGGCCACAGTGCTTAGGATAGTTTGTGGCGCTTTGTCTGGATTTTAGCAACTGGCATCTGCTTTTCATGCTAGTTCCCCCGCCTGCCTTTGATTTGCCCTGTGTTCCATTGCAGAACGAGATGCTGGAGGAGGGCCAAGAATATGCTGTCATGCTGTACACCTGGAGGAGCTGCTCCCGGGCCATCCCACAGGTGCCACGCTCGCCTGGCTCTTCCCCTCCAGCCACACCCTGCCAGGCCCCTGCCACACCACACCCCTGCCCCTGCCATGCCTGGCCCACTCTCCTCCCAGTTCTCACCCCACAGCAGGGCGGGATCACTAGCTCTAGAAGCCCAGCGGCTGCTTCTGGCTGGATCAAAGCCTCTTATGTCATCCTTGTTCCTTTATTCCCAGGTGAAATGTAACGAGCAGCCTAACAGAGTGGAAATCTACGAGAAAACCGTGGAGGTTCTGGAGCCTGAGGTCACAAAACTGATGAATTTCATGTACTTCCAGGTAAAATGGCAAATAATCTGGGCGGGGTGTAACACCGAGGGGTGGGTTGCTGACCCCTTCCTACCCATCACTGTCACTGTGAACACCCTGAACAGAGTGCCTGCAAATTAAAGCAACCAGTTTCTGAGACAAAAGGGACCAAGCCTTTGACAGTCTAAAGTTCCTCATGCCCTTTCGGAATCAACGCTCCTTTTGTGGTTCACTTCTCTTCTCTGAGAGTGATTTTGTGTTTCCTTCATGGAGCCTGCTTTCTGTCAGTTTCAAGTACAATGCTTTGACTTTTTGCCAGTTTGTACTTTTTTTTTTTTTTTTTTTTGAGACAGAGTCTTGCTTTGTCGCCCTGGCTAGAGTGCAATGGCATGATCTCGGCTCACTGCAACCTCTGCCTCCCAGGTTCAAGCGATTCTCCTGCCTCAGCTTCCTGAGTAGCTGGGATTACAGGTGCCCGCCACCACGCCCAGCTAATTTTTGTATTTTTAGTGGAGACAGGGTTTCACCATGTTGGCCAAGCTGGTTTTGAACTCCTGACCTCAGATGATCTGCCCATCTTGGCCTCCCAAAATGCTGAGATTACAGGTGTGAGCCACCACACCTGGCCAATTTGTACTTTTGTTTTCGTCTGCTCTTTCAGGTATTTTCTTGCTGTTAGCCTCACCCTGACTGTCCATTCCTGGTGGTCCTCGCCCTGGCCTTGGTTAGGCAAGAAGTAGCCACATGGAAGGGGCTTGCTGCTTTTTAAAGAAGTATTTTGGAAACATCCAGATTTTTTATGATGATGTCCTTCAGCAAAGGGAGGAGATGGAACTAACTGGGAGATGAATTTTTGTTTTACCTTGAAAGTTACCAAGAGGAAAAAAATCTCTCCCAGTTTTCACTTCTGAAAGTTAGAACATCTGAATTTTACAGGCGTTTTATTGGAGCATTTTGCTCAGTAATTTTGCTGGAATAATCAGCAAGATTTTGTTACTTTAGTGATGTAGTTGGTAAAGTGCAAGTCAAGTAATGATGGTGCAGAGCAGGCAGTGGGAGCTGCTTTCAGGAAGGGGTCTGGTTGCCCACATTGTAAACACTTCGGCCTGGAGCCTCACTGGGCAGATCGTTTCTCATCGAGGAGCAGTGACTGCAGGTGCTTGAAGGAGGGACATGGGCTTGGCTCCTCACTGACCTGCAGCTTTCTGCCCTCCTGCTTCCTCTGCACAGAGAAATGCCATTGAGCGTTTCTGCGGGGAAGTGAGGCGCCTGTGCCATGCCGAGAGGAGGAAGGACTTCGTGTCAGAAGCCTACCTGATCACACTGGGCAAATTCATCAACATGTTCGCTGTGCTGGACGAGCTGAAGAACATGAAGTGCAGTGTGAAGAACGACCACTCAGCGTACAAGAGGTGAGCACCGGCCTCGCGCACTGCGGGCCCTCCCGAGAGCACCCAGCTCAGTGGCCTGCCTTGTGCACAGCAGGTGTGCGTCTTTGTTTGCTGAAGTCGTCACTTCTGGTAGGCAGCAGCTACGTCTCAGTGTCAGGGCTGTGTGAGCACCTGCTTCGAGGGATAAGGTGAGGGGAGCCAGCAGATAAGTGCATATCGTGGCTTTGCACAGCTAGAGCAGGCTCTTCGTGCCCTGGCTGTCCTCAGATGTCACAGAGGACCTTCGAGCCCCTGGGAAGACAGACATGCACAAGATGTAGGCCTAGCTCACAGAGCACAGGCATCTGGCTCAGGGAGCATCTTGGCAAGGGGGCAGGTGGCCTCTGCAGCCTACCTTGGGCGTTGGGGCTGCAGTCCTCGGTGCCGGTCACTCGCCAGCGGGGGTCCCCAGCACATGAGCACCATCCCAGCAATGTGCAGACGTGGCCCGTGCACAGTCACAGGGTGTCTCGTGGTCACACTGCGCTTCCAGATCCTCTCCCTGGTGGTTTTCTTTCTGGATGTAGAGAGCTTCTGGAGAAGCTAGCCTCTGGAGAGGCTGGCAAGACGAGCGGAAGAGGCAGGCATGGCCCAGTGTGTGCTTCTGGAGCAGTGTGGGGCAGTGGGTGGCCGATGGGCATTTGGTGACACTCGGCGCGCTGCCGACCGGCGTTCGGTGACACTTGGCGCGCTGCCGACCGGCGTTTGGTGACACTTGGCACGCTGTCTCCTGATGCTCTTGCTCTGCTTCATCTGTGCTCAGTGCTTTTGAAGACATGTTTTGCTGGAATGAGATGCTAATTTCAATTTCCTCTGCTAAGTAAGGCATCTTAGCTCTAAAATTAAATTCGAAGAGACCTTACTTTGCATCTGAATATGCTCTAGTTATGTTGCATTTTAAATCATACAACTGTTGCTATGTCTTTATTTAAAAAACCCACTTGGGACAAAATGAGGCAGCAGTAGGAGTCAAGCTAGGTCAGGCAGAATTTTAAGCCTCATTCATGTGAAATAATGCAGTGTTCCATTTATCACCTAAAATCATCAGCTCTGCACAGAAGTCTAGATCTTCAGAACTAGAGAAAGGTCTCTGGGGTTGACCTGTGAGCCCCTCTTGGGGCAGAAGTCTGAAGGGTCCCTGTTTGATAACAGCATCTGTGGGAATCTAGCATCGAGACTCACTGGTCGGAGTGGGCTCCTGGTCCCAGCCGCCCAATCCAGTAGCTGTGTGATTTTAAGCAGCCTTCTCAGCCGCCGTTTTGGCTTTGTCAGGGAAATGGGGGAGGTGGTTTTCAATATTTAAAAGTATTTAAAAGTTGTGTGTGTGTGTTGTTGTTTTTTTTTTCCTTTTAGCACTAGCACCTTTATTCTAAAGCCTAGTCTGTAAAACAGTTTACAGATGGGGCTGCTGTGTGCAAAGCTGGGGGAAGGAGGGTTTCCCCTCTAGCGTCTTCACCACCTCCAGGTTCCCCTGAGCACCAAAGAGTGGGCCTGGGGCAGTTCCGTAGCTCTTACTGCTGCCTCTTCCTCTGACCTCTATCTGGGACCCCTGTTGGTTAACCTTCCCAGACCATCACCCCCACCCCTCCCAAGACCCCCACCACACACACACGCATCTAGCTCTTTTGGCACCTGCTCGTGGCTACTAGTATAACCTCTTTTAAGTGTCAATGCCAAGATAACTCATATGGTTATGGTGAGGCTTGAGGAAAATAGAAAACAGTATCCTTGACCCTTTCCTTAGTCTCCCCACCCGCCACCTCAGCAGCTACTCAAATCAATAAAGCAAACATGGCCAGGTGCGATGGCTCACACCTGTAATCCCAGCACCTTGAGAGGCTGAGGCAGAAGGATCACTTGAGCCCAGGAATTTGAGACCAGTCTGGGTAACATAGCAAGACCCCATCTCTAAAAAAACAAGAGCAAAAAAAACTAGCTGGGTGTGGTGGCATGCACCTGTGGTCCCAGCTACTTGGGACGCTGAGGTTGGAGAATCACTTGAGCCCAGGAGGTAGAGGCTGCAGTGAGCTGTGATTGTACCACTGTATTCCAGCCTGGGTGACAGAGTGAGACCCTGTGTCTATTTAAAAAAAAAGGAAACATGGTTTTTTCTTTTTGAGACAGAGTCTCACTGGCCCAGGCTGGAGTGCGGTGGCACGATCTTGGCTCACTGCAACCTCTGCGTCTCCTGGATTCAAGCAATTCTCCTGTCTCAGCCTCCCGAGTAGTTGGGATTACAGGTGTGAGCCACCACACCGGGCTAATTTTTATATTTTTAGTAGAGATGGGGTTTCACCATGTTGGCCAGGCTGGTGTTGAACGCCTGACTCAAGTGATTTGCCTGCCTCCTTCTCCCAAAATGCTGGGATTACTGGCATGAGCCACCATGCCCCGCCCTGGAAACATGTTTAAAAAGGCAAGGAATGTTACTGTATCAGTTAATATTACGTTTAACTGTATGCAATTGTTTAAAGCCCAGATAAATAACAGTGGCTTTAAAAAGATTGCAGTTTATTTCTCTGTCTCCTGAAAAGTCCTGAATTGGGTGGTCTGCAGCTGATCGAGGCTCTACGGGACCCAGGGCTCCTGTGGTCCTGCGGCTCCGCTTCAGGTGTTGCCTCCTGGTCCTAAATGGTTGCTTAAGCTCCAGCTGTCATTTCTCCATTCCAGTCAGCAGGCAGAAAGTGGGGAAAGATGGGCTCCATGCTTCCTCATGAGTAAACTTTGAGTGCTTGTCAGTATCTTGCATTATATCTCATGGCCTAGTCCTTGGTCACTTGGCCACAGCTAGCTGCAGGGTGGGCGAGGCACACGGAATGTGTGGGGCTCCCTGGAATGTGTGTTCCACAGAAATGCAGGGCTCGTTCCTAAGGAGGAAGGGGAGGAAGTGAATGTTGGTGTAGGTTATCAGCCTTTGCCTTGGTAACTCTTAAAACTAAACCCCCAAGGTTCTGGGTTGCACAGACCTATCCTTATGTGGGCCGTTTCCACTGAACTTTCTTGCGGGACAGTCCTAGATGATCAGAATCCTCACACCCCCACCTTCACCCTGCCCTGCCAGACCTCGCAGGCTTAGCATGGCCTTGCAGTATTGTATTGTTGGGCCTCACGTACGGGTGTAGCTACAAATTGGTGGCAGGCCAGGGCTCTGTCTCAGGACCTTGGACACCAGTGGTCCCTGAGGTGGCCTGGGGAGGTGTGGTCCAGAGGGTTCCCAGCAGAGAACCTCAGCAGTGCTGGCCGGCTTCATGGCAGGGCTTGTGGGAGTCACGGAGATGGCAGTGGCCCTTCTCAGACTCGGGGTCCAGGAGCCCTGTGCCCCCTAGATGAGGTGGGCGTCCACCAGTATAGGGCAGAGACCAGTGTGCAGGGACCCTGCAGGGAGCCGTCGGCTGTGACCAGCAGGGTGGAGAGCTGTCCCAGCCTGTGCAAGACACGTCTAAGTTGGCAGAAGACTGACCTGGAGTGCAGGGCCAGAGACGCCTGAAAAGGCTGAAATCATAGCTGGCTTCTGAGATTGACCCACATTTCTGCAGATGACTTTAGGGGAAAGGGATCCCACTCGAACCAGGCTTTTTTTTTTTTTTTTTTTTTTTTTTTTAATGTGGCACGTTGGTGCATTTTGGGATGAATTCTTTTTGTTTTCAAAGGGCCGCTCAGTTTTTACGTAAAATGGCAGATCCACAGTCCATCCAGGAATCGCAGAATCTGTCCATGTTCCTGGCCAATCATAACAAGATCACACAGGTAAGGCTGGTGTTTGCACACTCAGGTTGATGGGCCAAGCAGCCGGCCGGGCGCCGGGCCCATGCATGAGTCTCTTGCTCTGTGTTTCAGTCTCTGCAGCAGCAGCTCGAAGTGATTTCTGGCTACGAAGAGCTCCTGGCAGATATTGTGAATCTGTGTGTGGATTACTACGAGAACAGGATGTATTTGACGCCCAGTGAGAAACACATGCTTCTCAAAGTACGTGTGTGGGGACGCTAGCCCGTGGCACTGCCGAGGGACAGCCTTACTCTTGTCAATAGGCTGTGCTTTATCTAGAATCCTTTTGACAGCTGTGTCTTATTTGCATGCTGTCATGTGTGAACAGCGTCCTGCCCTTGCACACAGCCTGCACAACAGGCTCTCAACACACCCCATGAGTGTGTCACACACTGACCCTGGGAGAAGGTGCTGGCCAGGAGGTCCGGGTCAAGGATTCTCAGCTTTTTTTTTTTTTTTTTTTTTTTAAGCTGCTTTTCGTTTTATTCTCAAGGCAGGGTGTTGCTCTTGCCCAGGCTGGAGTGCAGTGGCACAATCACAGCCCAATATAGCCTCAACCTTCTGGGCTCAAGTGATCCTCCCACCTCAGCCTCCTAAGTAGCTGGGACTACAGGTGCACGCCACCATGCCTCGCTAATTTTTAAATTTTTTGTAGAGAGAGAATCTTGCCATGTTGTACAGGCTGTTCTCAAACTCCTGGGCTCAAGGGACCCTCCTGCCTCAGCCTCCCAAAGCTCTGTGAATACAAGCTTGAGCCACTGCCCTTTTTATTTTTTTTTTATTTTTGAGACAGGGCTTTGCTCTTTCACCCAGGCTCCAGTGCAATGGTGCGGACACAGCTCACTATAGCCTTGACCTCCTTGGCTCAAGTGATCTTTCTGCCTCAGGCTCCTGAGTAACTGGGACCACAGGCACTTGCACCAATGCCCAGCTAAGTTTTTGAATTTTTGTAGATATGAGATCTCACTTTGTTGCCCTGGCTGACCTTGAACTCCTGGGCTCAAGCAATCTTCTTGCCTTGTCCCCCGCAAAGTGCTAGGATTACAGGCATAAGCCACCATGCCCCGCCAGCTTTGTGACAGAAGTTATCCAAGATTCTACTTGTCAAGCATGTGATTCCTAGGACTTTGATACCTTGTGTCACATAATTAAAGTAGCCTTTTGTTGGTTCACCATATTCTTTATTATTCTGTTCAAATTAGGAAGCTTTCCATCTGTGTTTCTCATGGGAAAGATGGGCGGCAGTTTGGCTGTTCCCTTTGCTCTCTTCTCCACCTCTGCAGGGTGGCCTTGGGGGACCCTTTGCTGGGTGTCCCACCAGCCCAGCCCCCAGACTCCTCCTGAGCAGGGGAGCACTGTCCACGGAGTGCTTTGTGACAGCAGAAACGTTGTGTCTGCACCGGCTGGTGTGGGAGCCCTGGCCATGAGCCCCTGCGGAGCACTGGAGCACGCAGGTGGCTAGTCCACGTTAAGAATTTTTAGTTTGTGACTGGGCACGGTGGCTCATGCCTGTAATCCCAGCACTTTGGGAGTTGAGGTGGGTGGATCACTTGAGGTCAGGAGTTTTACACCAGCCTGACCAACATGGTGAAACCCCATCTCTACTAAAAATACAAAAAAAATTAGCCAGGCGTGGTGGTCATGGGCGCCTGTAATCCCAGCTACTTGGGAGGCTGAGGCAGGAGAATTGCTTGAACCTGGGAGGCAGAGGTTGCAGTGAGCTGAGATGGCACCACTGCACTCCAGCCTGGATGACAGAGCCAGACTCCATCTCAAAAAAAAAAAACAAAAAAAGAATTTTTAGTTTGCATACACCGAAACTTAACTGGTTACATGTGGCTGCATATTGGACATTACTTTTAATGGCAAAAAAAACGCAATTACTTTTGCACCAGCTTAGTAGCTCTAGAATATCCCTACCGCTTGGGTTAGGCTAGGGGAGAGGATTTGTTTTTTCCGCTTTTAGCGACTGACCTGGAAGCCCAGCCCCGCTTTGTATCCCAGTTTCACTGAGGATAAAATGATGCATTTCAAGCACCAGACAAGCAGCCTAAAGATAGATCTTTGTGATCTATTTCAAATTGTGCCTTCAAAGTCATCAGCTGTAACAGTGTAAGTCCTTATGGGTAGTGAAATTCTCAGTTCTGAGCTTTGTCGCATCATTCATTTTGTGGCTTTTCAGGTCATGGGATTTGGTCTGTACCTGATGGATGGGAGTGTCAGTAACATCTATAAGTTGGATGCCAAGAAAAGAATAAACTTATCCAAAATCGACAAGTACTTCAAGGTGAGTTACATGTTTTTAGATCAATGTTTTTATTGATTTGTGTGCACTTTGAATTTTGGGGAAGTGAGCCCCTGTGTGACTGTGATCTATATCAGGAAACGCTGGGGCTGGGTGGAGTCTGGGGCATGCACGTTCTCCCGTCTGCAGAGGTGACCGCGCTTTCTCTTTCCTTTTGCCCTGTGCTGGTTTTGCCTGGGTGGAGCTTTATACAGATGGAATTGTGCTATTTGTACTCTTCTGCGTCCAGCTGCTGTCACCAGCCTCTTGTTTGTGAGGTGCATCCTGGAGGAAGCCCGTAGCTACAGCTTGTAGCTTTCGGTTGTGGTGTAGTTTTCTATCTGATGACTACACCGTAACTTATCCGTTCCAATGTTGGCGGGCTCTCGGATGTTCCCAAGTTTTGGCGCGTCCAAACAGTGCAGCTCTGGTCGACTGTCCTCTGTTGGGTGCATACCCAGGAGAGGGACCGGGGGTCACAGGCCTGATCTGTTTTCAGTGTCAGTAGTTACCTGCAGCCTGATGACGCTCCAGCACAGCTGTCCTGATCTCCGTTCCCATCAGCAGTGAGAGAATGCGCCGCTGGTGCCACATCAGTACTTAGCACTGCCTTTTTGGGGTGGGGGGATATCCTGAGGATGCGTACAGCATTGAGATTGTATTGGCTAGTGTTTCATTGTATTGGCTAGTGTTTCGTTCATGTTTCCCTAATGGCTTTCCATGTTATTAGCGTGTTCCCTTCGTGATGTGCCACTTCAAGTGTTTTGCTCTTTTTTCCCTATTGATTTACAGTTCTTTATATATTCTGGATACATGTCCTTTGTTGGACACAAGTGAGTTTTTTTGTTTGTTTGTTTTGTTTTGTTTTTGAGACAGGCCCTCGCTCTGTCATCCAGGCTGGAGTGTAGCAGGCCTTGGTGATTTCTCCCACCCCAGCCTCTCAAGTAGCTGGGACTACAGGTGCTTACCATCATGCTTGGCTAGTTTTTAAACTTTTAGTAGCAACGAGATCTCCCTATGTTGCCCAGGCTGGTCTCGAACTCCTGGCCTCAAGCAGTCCTCCAGCCCTGGCCTCTCAAAGTGCCAAGATTACAGGCCTGAGCCACTGCACCTGGCCTTACATTTTAATATACATGTATTCTCCCCTAAGAGGCCTACCCTTTCACTTTTTCCCAGCTTTATCAAGGTGTAATTGACAAGTAAAAATTGTATGTTTATGGTATATGGTGTGATGTTTTGATACACATACACATTGTGAAATGATGAATTCAAGCTAATTTAACATGTCCATTACCTAACACACCATTTTTTTTATTTTGTGATGAGAACACTTAAGATCTACTCTTTTAGCATATTTTAAGCATTCAATGCATTGTTATTAACCATAGCTACTGTGCCATAGATGAGGTCTTCAGAACTTAACTATGCTGCGGAATTGAAACTTTATACGCTTTGACCAGTATATTCCCTTCCTCCTCCTGCCTCCAGTAGCCTTTTCGCGTTCTCGATGGTGTCATTTGCTGAACAGAAGTTTGTCATTTTCATGTAGTCTCATATATGAATCTTTTCATTAATGTCCACCTAAATAAATCTTTGCAGCCATCCAGCTCATGAGACGTTTCTGCTGTGTTAGCTTCTAGAAGCATTCTGTCTCCTTTTTCACCTAGATCTAATCCCCCTGGAACTGACTTCTGCGCGTGGTAGGAGGTAGGGGTTTCGTGTCCTTGGATCTTTCCCAGTATGGCTTCCCAGTTGGGCCTGCCCATTTATTGCAAAGCCCATTGTTCTGCAGTGCTGCTAAGGTCATGAATCTGTCTGTGGCTCTGTCCAGGTTCTCTGTCCTGTCCACAAGCCTCCATCCCTGCTCCAGGGCCACACTGCCTTAATTGTTGGAGCTTTCTAACAAGACTCCTAATCTGGAAGGGTGTGTCTTCCAGTTTTGTCCTTCAGGATAGTCTCAGATATCATCCCTTCACCTTTGGAGATGCACGTTAGAATTGATTTCCTGATTTATACACACTATCCCCCCAAAACCATTTTTTTTCTTCTGGAATATTGACTGGGATTGATTATAGATCTATTTTGAGAGAATGGACATTTAAAAAATTTGAAGCCTTCCTAGGCACAAACATGATCATTTCTCCATTTACTGAGAACTTTTTCTAGAATTTTCGGGGTAGTACTTTTGTTTAGAGGTCTTGCACATTTTTTGTTAGATTTACTGATGCATTTTTTTTTGGATGCTGTTGCAAAGTATTTCTCTTTAAGTTTTTGTATTCTGATTGTTGCTAGTATATAGAAATGCAGTTGGCTGGGCACGGTGGCTTATGCCTGTAATCCCAGCACTTTGGGAGGCCGAGGCGGGTGGATCACGAGGTCAGGAGATCGAGACCATCCTGGCTAACACGGTGAAAACCCGTCTCTACTAAAAATACAAAAAAATTAGCTGGGCATGGTGGCAGTTGCCTGTAGTCCCAGCTCCTCGGGAGGCTGAGGCAGGAGAATCTCTTGAACCCTGGAGGTAGAGGTTGCAGTGACCCAAGATCACGCCACTGCACTGCAGCGCAGCCTAGTAACAGAGTGAGACTGTCTCAAAAAAAAAAAAAAAAAAAAAAAAAAAAGGGCTGGGTGCGGTGGTTCACGCCTGTAATCCCAGCACTTTGGGAGGCTGAGGTGGGTAGATCACGAGGTCAGGAGATTGAGACCATCCTGGCTAACACAGTGAATCCCATCTCTACTAAAAATACAAAAAATTAGCCGGGTGTGGTGGCGGGCGCCTGTAGTCCCAGCTACTCGGGAGCCTGAGGCAGGAGAATGATGTGAACCTGGGAGGTGGAGCTTGCAGTGAGCCGAGATCACGCCACTGCACTCCAGCCTGGGCGACAGAGCGAGACTCTGTCTCAAAAAAAAAAAAAAAAAAAAAAAAAAAAAAGAAAGAAATGCAGTGATTTTTTTTTTTTTATGACTGTGGATCTAGCAACATGGTAGGTTAATTTTAACATTTGAATAGTTTTTATAGATGTTGGTTTTTAAATTGTATTTTGTTCCTCTCAAAGCGAATGTAGAAGTTACTTATAGTTTTTTTTTTGTAATGAATCATTTGCAGAGGTAGCATTCAAGCCGAAGTAATTATTAGCATTAGTCAGTTTCCTTGTGCTTATGTATTTGGTGACTAAATATACATAATGACTCTATTTTTTTGTTCTTTGAATACAGCAACTCCAGGTGGTTCCGCTATTTGGGGACATGCAAATAGAACTGGCAAGATATATCAAGACCAGCGCCCACTACGAGGAAAATAAATCTCGGTAGGAGGAGAGGAAAGCTGCCTGGTTTGAGCTTTCGGCAGTGTCCTCATTGTGCGGTTTTCAAACATCCTGCTTATTTGTCTAGAGATAACACTGTTAACATTCTCAGCCTGGAATTAAATGTCCAGTATTGCAGCCTTTGCCACATGCGGCTATTTACATTTAAGTTTATTGAAAAATACAATTGAGGCCGGGCGCGGTGGCTCACGCCTGTAATCCCAGCACTTTGGGAGGCTGAGGCGGGCGGATCACGAGGTCAGGAGATCGAGACCATCCTAGCTAACACGGTGAAACCCCGTCTCTACTAAAAATAGAAAAAATTAGCCGGGCGTGGTGGTGGGCGCCTGTAGTCCCAGCTACTTGGGAGGCTGAGGTAGGAGAATGGCATGAACCTGGGAGGCGGAGCTTGCAGTGAGCAGAGATCGCGCCACTGCACTCCAACCTGGGCGACAGAGCAAGACTCCGTCTCAAAAAAAAAAAAAGAAAGAAAAATACAATTGAAATTTTAATTTCCTTACGACAGCCACGTTTGAAATGTTCAATAGTTAGTGGCTACTGTGTTGGACAGCACAGATACAGAACACTTTCATCATCCTAGGGATTCCTATTGGACAGTGCTGGGTGATAGTCTTTATGTTTAAAAAGGTTGTCTTAAAAAAAAAGAGAGGGTGGGGCGCGGTGGCTCATGCCTGTAATCCCAGCACTTTGGGAGGCCGAGGTGGATGGATCTCTTGAACTCAGGAGTTTGAGACCAGCCTGGGCAACACAGTGAGACCTTGACTGTATGAAAAAATACAAAAATTAGCCGGGCATGGTGGCACACGCCTGTAGTCCCAGCTACTCAGGAGGCTGAGGTGGGAGGATCACTTGAGTAGTCTAGGAGGTGGAGGTTGCAGTGAACCAAGATTGCACCACTGCAGTCCAGCCTGGGCAAGAGAGCAAGACCCTACCTCAAAGAAAAAAAGAAGAGACTGACAGTGTGTCAGATGTGACATCTGCAGACAATGTGGCCCTAAATCCTAAACTGTGTACCATCTTACTCTGTGAAGAACTATAAAGATCCTCAGCACAGTTCCAGATGCTGGCAGGCACTCCTCCCCACTGCAGACTCTACAGAGCCATCTGAGCCTCAGGGGAGGCTTTCATTGACTTTTGCCAAGCACTGTGCCCGTAGCCAACCTGCAGTCACCATTCAGCCATGATTTTGACAAACGAAGTTGCATCTCAGTCTCAGGGGTCAAGAAACCTTTTCAGTAAAGGACACATAACAAGTATTTTAGGCTTTACAGGCCACAGGTGGTCTCCTTCGGATATGCTTCTGTGTTGTTTTTTTAAACAACCCTTTAAAAACATAAAAGCCATTTGTGTGGCTCTGGTGCCAAACAGGCGTCCTGAGCTGCCCCAGTGCTGTGGCCTGCCGGCGCCTCCGCAGGTAACGCGGGTGCTTTCTCTCTGCACAGATGGACGTGCACATCCTCCGGCAGCAGCCCTCAGTACAACATCTGCGAGCAGATGATCCAGATCCGCGAGGACCACATGCGCTTCATTTCGGAGCTGGCGCGCTACAGCAACAGCGAGGTGCGCCCCGCGACCTGGAGCTGCACAGGCACCCGAGGGTCGCCTGTGTGTGTTTGCACCCAAATCTTAGGTTTAATTGCTTTGAAAAACAGTTTACTACCAGATACGATCATATGTCACATAATGACAGGGACAGGTTCTGACAAATGTGTCATTAGGCAGTTTCATCATTGTGGGAACGTCATCGTGTCCTCATGCTAGCCTGGATGATACAGCCTGTGGCACAGCTAGGCTGCAGGGTACAGCCGATGGCTCCTAGGCCACACACCTATGGAGCACGTTGCTGTGCTGAAGACTCTGGATAGTTGTAACACAATGGTATGTATTTGTGTATCTAAACATATCTAAACATAGAAAAGGTACAGTGAAAAGATGGTATTATAATCTTATGGGACCACCGTTGTATATGCTGTCATTGACCAAATGTGGTGCATGACTGTACTTCAAAAGCACCCATTATAATTGACAAGGCAGTGAAACTAGTGTTCTCTCTGTTCAGCTGTACAAAAAGCTTTTTTTTTTTTTTTTTTTTTTTTTTTTTTTCAAAAAAACATTATAGGGATCCCAAGAGAAAGGACAGAGATGAGATAATTAATTGATTAAGTGGCATTTCCTAGTCTAGTACTGTGATTCCAAGCAACTCGAAAGATGGTTGGAGAGAAGGGAGGACACTGGGAAAGGAAAGGGTGATTCTGACCTGGGGCCCCTGTAAGCCTAGAAGGGAAGAAGTCCTGAGGCCAGAGGTGAGCAGGAGCCTCTGGGTGGCTGTCAGAAGACGTCCCAGGGGCATTGGGTCCATGTGTCCAGGAGGTGGGCCTGGAGTTGGGTGCAGAGAACAGGTGCTTTCTCTTTAGTTCCTTCCAGCTTTGCAGCTGGGTTTGCCATGTTGTCATTTTGGCCACTCCCATTCTCCTCACTCACCCAGGTTGACTCCGAGCCAGCACTGCTGGCATGTCTGTGCTGCAAATTGCTGGCAGGGACTGCGGGTTTTAGGGCATATACGCAGGCTGCTTTGCTGAACTGGTTAGTCCCTCAAGGGTCTCAGGAGGACCATTAACCTTAGCGGGGACAACTCTGTGGATGTTGGCCCCACCCACTGCAGGACGATGAGCACCCTGTCCCCCACCCCCCATGGTTACCAGTCATCATCATGTAACCAAACTGACTGACAACCCAGTAGTCCAGGTATGTTGGGGCACCTGCTGCTTCTAACACAGACCCCTGGCAAGCGTTTGGGCATGTCAGACAAGGATGCTGTCCTGGGTGAGTCAGTGAGTGAGTGGCGAGCGAGTGGGAGGCCTAGGACAGTACTGTGCACTGCTGTGGCCTTTATGAACACTGTGTGCTTAGGCTGTGCCAAATTTTTTAAAAGGCTTTTTCTTTCTTTAATAACGAATTAGCCTTAGCTTACTGTAACTTTTTTACTTTATAAACTTTTTACTTTTAAAAAGAGCTTTTTGGCTTTTGTAACAACACTTTGCTTAAAACACAAACACACTCTATACCTGTGCAAAAATATTTTTTCTTTATCTCCTTATTCTGTAAATTATTTTTCTACCAAAAAGTTTTTGTTTTTTTCCTTTTGAGCTTTTTCGTTAAAAATGAAGACCCAAACACACACATTAGCCTAGGCCTACACGGGGTCAGGATCATCAGGACATCACTAGGCAGTAGGAATTTTTCCACTACGTTAAGATTTTATGGGAGCACCATCATGTGTGTGGTCTTGTTGACTGGAGCATCCTTAGGTGGCATCTGACTGTAATTGTTTCTCTGGCATTGTCTAAGGTAACAAATCAGTTTTTTTCGGAGTACAGTTTTTTTTTTTGTTTTTTTTTTTGGGTGAGACGGAGTCTTGCTGTGTCGCCCAGGCTGGAGTGCAGTGGTGCAATCTCGGCTCACTGCAAGCCAAGGTTCACACCATTCTCCTTCCTCAGCCTCCCGAGTAGCTGGGACTACAGGCACCCACCACTACGCCTGGCTAATTTTTGTGTGTGTGTTTTTTTGTGGTTTTTTTTGTGTGTGTTTTTTGTGTGTTTTTTTAGTAGAGACACTGTTCTAGCCAGGATGGTCTCAATCTCCTGACCTGGTGATCCACCCGTCTCGGCCTCCCAAAGTGCTGGGATTACAGGCATGAGCCACCGCACCCGGCCTCTGAGTACAATTTTAAAGTGATTCGACTTTAGGTTTGTTGATTTTCTTTTTTCTGAAAGCTGAACATCCTGGTGAATGACGCCAGCATAATTTGATTTATGTCATTATGTCATAATCTAGTCTTTTTTTTTTTGTTTTTGAGGTGGAGTCTTGCTCTGTTGCCCAGGCTGGAGTGCAGTGGCGCGATCTCGGCTCACTGCAAGCTCCGCCTCCCAGGTTCACGCCATTCTCCTGCCTCAGCCTTCTGAGTAGCTGGGACTACAGGCGCCCGCCACCACGCCCGGCTAATTTTTTTGTATTTTTAGTAGAGATGGGGTTTCACCGTGTTAGCCAGGATGGTCTTGATCTCCTGACCTCGTGATCCGCCCGTCTCGGCCTCCCAAAGTGCTGGGATTACAGGCGTGAGCCACCGTGCCTGGCCTTTTTTTTTTTTTTTTTTTTTTGAGACAGAGTCTCTCTCTGTTGCCCAGGCTGGAGTGCAATGGTGTGATCTTGGCTCATTGCATCTTCCACCTCCCGGATTCAAGCAATTCTCCTGCCTCAGCCTCCCAAGTAGCTGGGACTACAGGCGCACGCCACCATGCTTAGCTAATTTTTGTATTTTTAGTAGAGACGGGGTTTCACCATGTTGGCCAGGATGATCTCCATCTCTTGACCTTGTGATTCGCCCACCTCAGCCTCCCAGAGTTTTGGGATTACAGGCATGAGCCATTGCACCCGGTCATAATCTAGTCTTAAAAGAGCAATGCCAGCACTACTAATTACAGTGACTAGAAATTGTTTTATGATTTGTTTTGCAGGTGATTTTGCCCTTGAGCTTCTTACTCAGGGTACTTTTTTTTTTTTTTTTGAGATGGAGTTTCGCTCTTGTTGCCCAGGCTGGATGGCGTGTGATGGCGGGATCTCGGCTCACTGCAATCTTCGCCTCCTGGGTTCTAGCAATTCTCCTGCCTCAGCTTCCCGAGTAGCTGAGATTACAGGCATGCAGCACCACGCCCAGCTACTTTTTTATATTTTTGGTAGAGATGGGGTTTCACTATGTTGGCCAGGCTGATCTCGAACTCCTGACCTCAGGCAATCCACCTGCCCCGGCCTCCCAAAGTGCTGGGATTACAGCATGAGCCATCGCACCGGG
This sequence comes from Homo sapiens, assembly GCF_000001405.40. Lineage (NCBI taxonomy): Eukaryota > Metazoa > Chordata > Mammalia > Primates > Hominidae > Homo > Homo sapiens. The sequence goes on along the minus strand of NT_187603.1, from coordinate 25,962 downwards.
CCCCTCACTCAGAGGATTTTAAGTCACACCGTGGTGTTTAGAGCTGCTCAGGGTCCTCTCAGTGGTCATGCTGTGAGCTCCATGCAGGTTCCCGCCATTGTTTCATTTTGCTTTTGACTTCTAGGCATTGCATTTCCGATCTCATTTAATTCTGTGTCCTAAATATATAAAATATTTGTGTGGTTCTAATATCACATCTATAAAAAGGTATATTCAAAGAAGCCTGCCTTCTCCACGGTGCCCCTTCCTCCCCATAGGTCACATGTTTAAATTTAGGGGGTGGTTATATGATAGAAGCAAACCCACGTGACTTGTGTGTTGCCCTTCCCCGGCCTAGTGGAAGTGCGCCAAGCCCACGCGTGTAACAGCCCCGCGCCCAGCCCGCGGTCCCCCAGGCGGTGGCTGTGGCAGCGGCCTGTCCCTTGCTCTGTGCTCTGCAGCACGCCCTTGGCCGCCATTTTCCCGGGAGGAGGGTCCAGCACCCACAGCATTTCTTATTTTCTTTTTATTTATTTATTTATTTATTTATTTATTATTTTTTGAGACGGAGTCTCGCTCTGTCGCCCAGGCTGGAGTGCAGTGGCGCAGTGTCGGCTCACTGCAAGCTCCGCCTCCCGGGCTCACGCCATTCTCCTGCCTCAGCCTCTGAAGTAGCTGGGACTACAGGTGCCCGCCACCATGCCCAGCTAATTTTTTTGTATTTTTCAGTAGAGACGGGGTTTCACCGTTTTAGGATGGTCTGGATCTCCCGACCTTGTGATCCGCCCGCCTTGGCCTCCTGCATTTCTTATTTTCACACGTGTGACTTTGGGGTGGATTCTCATGGTGGATCCCGGGATGGGGGGAGCTGGGTGGGGGCGCTGGTTTCTCACGGGGCCGTGCCCGCCTTGTGCAGGTGGTCACGGGCTCGGGCCGCCAGGAGGCCCAGAAGACGGACGCGGAGTACCGCAAGCTCTTCGACCTGGCGCTGCAGGGCCTGCAGCTGTTGTCGCAGTGGAGCGCGCACGTGATGGAAGTGGTAGGCCCCGTCCCCGACCCCAGCCCCGCTCCAAAGCTGCCTCGGGCACTTTATTCACATTAACTTTTGGTCTTTGGGCTTTTTATCTTTGGCCCTAGAAAGACGAGAATATCTATCAGTAGATATGTTTCCAAGGTGATTTTAAGTACATTTCATTTATGTGTGTAATAAATGAAGGGCCTCCTTTTTAAAAAAAATCTTGATAGAATTAAATTTGTACCATTGTGATTTTCTTTAAGTCGCTCTTTTTTTGAGATAGTCTCACCCTGTCGCTTAGGCTGGAGTGCGGTGGTGCAAACATAAGTCCCTACAGCCTTGACTCCCCACCCCAAGCGATCCTTCTGCCTCAGCCTCCCAAGTTGCTGGGACCACAGGTGTGCACCACGGCTCCCGGCTAATTTTTTTTTTTTTTTTTTTTTTTTTGAGACGGAGTTTCGCTCTTGTTGCCCAGGCTGGAGTGCAATGGCGTGATCTCGGCTCACTGCAACCTCTGCCTCCTGGGTTCAAGCGATTCTCCTGCCTCAGCCTCCTGAGTTAGCTGGGATTACAGGCGCCCACCACCACTTCTGGCTAATTTTTTTGTGTTTTTAGTAGAGATGGTATTTCACCATGTTGGCCACACTGGTCTTGAACTCCTGACCTCAGGTGAACTACCCGCCTCAGTCTCCCAAAGTGCTAGGATTACAGGCTTGAGCCACCGCACCTGGCCTAGTTTTTTGTTTTTTGGTTTTTTTTGTACAGGCAGTCTCGCCGTGTGGGCCAGGCTGGTCTCAAACTCCTGGCCTCAAGCCATCTGCCTGCCTGGGCCTTCCAAAGTGCTGGGATTACAGGCGTGAGCCACTGTACCTGGCCAAGTCTCATTTTTTCATTTAAATTTTATTTTGCTTTAAATATTTACTTGTATTGATGCATAATAGGGGTACATAGTTTCAGGATACATGTGATAATTTAATACAGTCATACAGTTTGCAAAGATCTAATTGGTGTGCTTGGGATGTCCATCGCCATAAATATTTGTCCTTATGCCAGAAAAATTCGAGTTCTTCCCTATCTATTCTGAAATGTACCATAAATTATTTTAATTAATAGTCACCCTAACTGATCTATCTAACACTGTCTTATTTCTAATATCAGACTGTACATTTGTACCCATTAATGTCGCTTCACGCCCTGCATTTTTAAGATAACATTTTCTCTTTGGAGCTCCAGCCATCAATGTCTTTTGTTGAACATTAGTAAATTATTTCTGGTGCCATATAAAGATTTGGATACCTGTAAGCAATGAAAGATTTTCCCTTTTGTGATTTATTTTGATCACATAAAAATTATCAAATTGGAAGAGTACATGGTCATTTGAAAGGCAAAATCTTTATTTACTTACTTATTATTTTATTTTTTGTAGAGATGAGGCCTCACTATATTGCTCAGGCTGATCTTGAACTCTTGGGCTCAAGTGATCCTCCTACCTCAACCTCCCAAGTGCTGGGGTCATAGGCATGAGCCACTGTGCCTGGCCCAGAATCCTTTTTAAAATGATGATGAAATGCCAGAGTCTTAGATACTCAGCACTCACTATCCAGGCCATTTTGCCGGGTAGATTTTTTAAACGAGAGGTTACAGGGCCAGGGTCTTTTGCCCATCTGTGGAGATGGACGGTGTGTGCGCCCTCATGTGTGACTTTCAGAATGCAGCAAAGGTTTGAAGGCTGGCCTGGCTTTGGCCACCATCGTGTGAGTCAGACCAGAAGCCAGGCGTTTTGCATGCAATATGGAACACCTCTGCTCTTTCGGCCACCACAGTATTCCTGGAAGCTTGTGCACCCCACCGACAAGTACTCCAACAAGGACTGCCCCGACAGCGCTGAAGAGTACGAGCGTGCCACGCGCTACAACTACACCAGCGAGGAGAAGTTTGCCCTAGTGGAGGTGAGGATGCTCGGCCGCTCGCTCTTCCTCATGTCGCTCTAGCTTCACACCATCTTCTCTGTCAAAAGCAAAAACATGAACAAAACTGCCTGTTTACTCATTGCTTCTGTGTGGGCACCCCTTTCCATCTGGCAGAGTAGTCAGAGTAGAACGCATTAGAGAAACAGTGGTTGTCGGTCCTGGGTCTGCACTGAAGCTCCCTGGGTGCGAATCTGGACTCCTGGACCTGCGTCTGGATGGAGAGCAGTGTCGGGTGCGGGGAAGGGAGGTGAAAGAGATGTGGCCCCTGCTGAGAGAGAAGAGCTGTCTTGCTCTCCTGTGAGGCAGGCGCTGCACTCCCCTCGTGAGCCTTTCCATGGGCAGCTCTTCATTCCAGCATCAACTGGTATCTTTTCTTTCATAGCTGTGCTTTTCCTGTGCTGTTTGAGAAATCTTTGCATACTCTCAGGTCGTGAAGGTATTCTGCATTGCTTTCTGGATACTTCACTCTGCTTTCACACTGAGATGCGAAATTCACCTGAAATTCATTTTTGAAACAATTCCGTCCAACCCTCACGCTGCCACCTTTGTAGCTGGTCACGTGACAATGCATGTGTGGCTGTGTTTCTGCTCTGCTCTAACCCAGTGTCAGTTGCTGTCGGTATCCCAGCACCACTCTGTAGCTTTGTAGTCATCTACCGTGTATGAGAAAGCACGTCTTTCTGTCTCCTAGACTTCCTTGGCTATTCTTCCCCACTGTAGTTTCATATTCATTTTAGAATCAGCTTTTCCCATCCCACAGTGAGGATTTTAATCAGGATATGAACAATCCTATGGATCATGACAGAATTGACAGAAGTCTCATACAGTTGGCCCTCAGTGTTCTTGGGTTCCACCTCCATGAACCAACCTTGGGTCAAAAATGTTCAGAAAGAAAAAATAACACTACAACAGTAAAAAGTAATAAAAATGTTAAAAACCACTGTTTTGGCCTCAGCCTCCTGGACTCAAGCAATCCTCCCACCTCAGCCTCCCCATTAGCTGAAACTATAGGTGCATGCCACCACACCTGGCTAATTTTTATATTTTTGGTAGAGATGGGGTGTCACCAAGTTGCCCGGGTTCGTCTCAAACTCCTGAGCTCAAGCAATCCACCCGCCTCAGCCTCCGAAAGTGCTGGGATTGCAGGTGTGAGCCACTGCGCCCAGCCAAAATTTTCTGATTTTTTGACATAAGGTTTTTCATAGTAAATTCTCATCTTATTTTGGTAGAAGCTTTTTTTTTCACATAACCATACAGTTCACCCATTTGAAGTGTAAAAGTCAATGCTTTCAGCACATTCACAGAGTTGTACAGTCACAGTCAAATTTAGAACAAATATAAATGCCAGCCCATTATCAGCCACCCTTCATTCTTCCCTCCCTCAACCGTATGCAGCCACCACTCTGCTTTCTGACCCTGTAGATTTGCCTGCTCTGGGCATTTCATATGAGTAGATCATACCATATGTGGCCCTTTGTGACTGGCTTTCACAAAGCATAATTTTCACTTAGCATAATTTTCCTTTTATTTTTCTTAAGATGGAGCCTTGCTCTGTCACCCAGGCTAGAGGGCAGTGGCGTGATCTCAGCTTACTGCAACTTCTCCCTCCCGGGTTCAAGCAATTCTTGTGCCTCAGTCTCCAGAGTAGCTGGGATTACAGGCACCCACCACCACGCCCGGCTAATTTTTGTATTTATAGTAGAGACAAGGTTTCACCATGTTGGCCGGGCTGGTCTCAAACTCCTGACCTCAGGTAATCCGCCTGCCTTGGGCTCCCAAAGTGCCAGGATTACAGGCGTGAGCTACCGTGCCAGGCCACTTAGCATAATTTTCAAGATTCACACAGGTATCACTGTTTTGTTCTGTTTATTGCTGAATAATATTGCATTACATGGATATGTTACATTGTATTTATCCATCCATCAGATGATAGACATTTGGGTTATTTCTACCTTTTCACTACTATGAAGTTGCTGAGAACTTCTTTTTCTTGTTTTTTTTTTTTTTTTTTTTTTTTTGGAGACAAGGTCTCACTCTGTCACCCAACTGGAGTGCAGTGGCAGGATTATGGCTTATTGCAGCCTCAATCTTCTGGGCTCAGACAATCCTCCCTCCCCAGCCTCCCAAGTAGCTAGGACCACAGGCACAAACCACCATGCCTGACTAATTTTTAAATTTTTTGTAGAGATGGGGTCTCACTGTGTTGCCTAGTCTGGTCTTGAACTCCTGAGCTCAAGTGATCCTCCTGCTTTGACTTCCCAAAGCACTGGGATTAGAGGTGAGCCACCATGCCCAGCCTCTATGAGCTTTCATGTGCGGGTTTTTGTGTAGATGCTGGTTTTCATTTCTTTTGATTGTATAGCTAGAAATGCAATTACTGGATCATAACAGCACATTTAGCTTTTGAGGAACTACCAGATAGTGGCAGCACCATTTCTCCTTCTTACCAGCAGTAAGTGAGGGCTCCAGTTTCCCCACATCCACACCAAACTTGTTATTGTATGTCTTTTTGATTCTAGCTATCCTAGTGGGTGTGAGGTGGTATCTCATTTCATTGCGCTTTTGATTTGCGGTTTTCTAACAACTAAGGATGTTAAACGTCTTCTTATGTGCTTGTTGGCCATTTGTGTGCATTATTTGGAGAAATGTCTCTTCAGATCCTTTGCCCATTTTTAATTAGGTTATCTTTTTTATTATTGAGTTGTAACAGTTCCTTATACATTCTAAATATCAGTTCCTTACAGCCATAGGATTTTCAGTATCTTCTCCCATTCTATGATTGTCCTTTTAGTTTCTTAATGGAGTCTTTTGAGACACAAAGTGTTTGAATTTTGATTATGTTTGATTTATCTGTTTTTCTTTCGTTGCTTATGCTTTTGGTGTCATATATAAGAAATCATTGTGTAACCCAGGTCATGATGATTTACTCCTGTGTTTCCTTCTAAAAGTCTTTTTTTTTTTTCTTTTTTGAGACAGAGTCTTGCTCTGTCACCCAGGCTGGAGTGCAGTGGCATGATCTCAGCTCACTGCAACTTCTGCCTCCCAGGTTCAAGCAATTCTCCTGCTTCAGCCTCCCAAGTAGCTGGGATTACAGGTGTGCGCCACCACACCCAGCTAATTTTTGCATTTTTAGTAGAGACAGGGTTTCACCATGTTGGCCAGGCTGGTCCTGAACCCCTCACCTCAGGTGATCTACCCGCCTTTGCCTCCCAAAGTGGTAGGATTACAGGCATGAGCCGCCACGCCCAGCCTCTTCTAAAAGTTTTATAGTTTTAGCTCCTAACTTAAACCTAATTTAAATATATGATCCATTTTGAGTGGATTTTTATACAGCGTTTGACAAGGTTGTGTGAGGGGCCCTCCAGACCACCCTCCATCCCCCTGACTGGCTGGGAGGACTCACAGGGCTTGGTAGTTGTTGCACTGAAGGTTATGACTCCTTGCAGCCAAAAGACAGAGTCAGATCAGCAAAGGGAAAAGGCACAGGAGTGGAGTCCAGAGAAGACAGGTGTAAACTTCCAGCTGTGCCTGCTAGTGGAATTGCACGGGACGTGCTTATTTCTCCCAGCGATGATGTGTGACAGCACACACAAATTGTGGCTCACCAGGGCAGCTCCCCAGAGCCTTGGGGTCCTGGGTTTTTACTGGGGGCCAGTCACGTGGCTGACCTTGGCTACTCAGACTCTAGGTCCTCAAAACACACACAGGAGGTCACTATTAGTCACCTTGTTAGCAGAGACTGATCAGACTGGTACAGCAGTAGGCCCGGGGCCCCAGGCACACAAAAACATAATCTCTAGGCAGGACACTCCCAAGGTTCAGAGCTGGTTCCTGGGATGACTTCAGCCAGTCCTGAAGATGGGCCTTTCTTGGGGATGTGCGGAGTTTCATTCTCCCCAGCCTGCTGAGTTAACCCTTTCCTGCACAAGGGTCCACCTTGATTCTCTCGCATGTGCAGATACAGTTGTCAGTACTATTTGTTGAAAAGATGATCTTTCCCCATCAAATTGTTTTGGTACCCTGTTGAAAATCAATTGTAAGTTAACTTCTGGACTCTTAATCCTATCCCATTGACCTCTGTCTATCCTATGACAGTATTTTTTCATAATCTCTTAATCTGTCTATAAACTGCTAATGTCCCCTTTTTCATTCTTAATGCTGGTAACTCGTGCTTCTTTTTTTTTTTTTTTTTTTTTTGAGACAGAGTCTCGCGTGTTGCCCAGGCTAGAGTGCAGTGGCACAATCTCAGCTTACTGCAACCTTCACCTCCCGGGTTCAAGCTACTTCTGGCCAATTTTTGTATTTTTAGTAGATACAGGGTTTCACCAATGTTGGCCTGGCTGGTCTTGAACTCCTGACCTCAAGTGATCCACCCTCCTTGACCTCCCAAAGTGCTGGGATTACAGGCGTGAGCTACTGTGCCTGGCCTGCTTCTCTGTCTTTTTTTTCTTTGTTATTCTTGCTAAGCATTTGTCAGTTTTACTGTTTATTTACTGAACAGCTTTGTCTTTGTTGATCACCCTTGATTATACACTTGTTTTCTGTTTCATTGTTACATTTATTTATTTATTTATTTATTTATTTATTTTTGAGACAGAGTCTCGCTGTGTCACCTAGGCTGGAGTGTAGTGACGCCATCTCAGCTCACTGCAACCTCCACCTCCCAGTTTCAAGCAGTTCTCCTGCCTTAGCCTCCCAAGTAGCTGGGACTACAGGTGTGCACCACCACACCAGGCTAATTTTTGTATTTTTAGTAGAGACGGGGTTTCACCATATTGGCCAGGCTGGTCTCGAACTCCTGACCTTGTGATCCGCCTGCCTCGGCCTCCCAAAATACTGGGATTACAGGCATGAGCCACTGCGCCCGGGTGCTTTTAGTTATTTTTCTTCGATTTTGGGGGGGTTTATTTTGCTGTTTTCTATAAATTAGTGATGAATGTTTGATAAGTATTATGATTTTTATCCTTTTTAGTTTTCTAATGCGTGCATCTAAAGCTCTCAGTTTGCTGTTAACTTGCCTTTTCCTTCTTCCTGTAAGTGTGAATATGTAGGATTGTTATGTTCACTTAAATGGGTTTTTCCTCGTTTGGTTTTTTAAATAGAACTTTTCTTTTTTGTTGATTGGAAAAACAATATAAAATCATCAGTTTTCCAAAGTAAGCATGCTGAAAACACAAGCATGGCATTAGGAAGGCACAGTGCCTGCGGCGCCATCACAGAGATGGCGCTGAGCAGCTGGGTGCGTTTTCTTCCAGACTTTTTCCTTTCTAAAATTTTCATTATTTTAATTGCATATAGACCATGAGTCTTACATGAAAGCAGTCTATTTGGAAATTCTTTACGTTATAGAAGGATGAATTAAAAGCAGACTGTCAACTTTTCCACCTGAAAATTTCATGAAAAAGAAAAGCACCAAAATCATATAAGCCATGTTTCAAGTACTTGTCAGACACGTCTTCATTTACCCATGAATCAGGCTGTTTATAAAGCCATAATGAGGAACTCAAAAGGTGTGAATAAAACCAGAAAGTGATAGAGGGAGACTGTGTGAAGCCTTGGGGAAACACATTTGTGTTCTTGCTAAGTGAACTTCAAACCAACAGATTTAATAAAAGTAGGAAGATGCCTAGCCAAGCATGGTAGTGCATGCTTATAGAACTAGTTACCCAGGAGGCTGAGGCAGGAGGATCGATTGACCCTGGGAGTTCAAGGCTGCAGTGAGCTATGATCATGCCACTGCACTCCAGTCTGGGCAACAGAGTGAGACCCTGTCTCAAAAAAAAAAAAAAAAAAAAAAAAAGCTGCCTTAATTTTGAATCTGTCAAATACTTAATTTCAAAAGGTTTTTTTTGTTTGTTTGTTTTTTGTTTTTTTTTATTACTGTGGACTGAAGACCATTTTCAGATGTTGAAGTAGGGTTTTTGTTTTGTTTTGTTTTGAGACAGGGTCTCGCTCTGTCACCCAGGCTGGAGAGCAGTGGCATAGTCATGGCTCACTGCAGCCTCGAACTCCTAGGCTCAAGTGATCCTCCTGGCTTAGCCTCCCGAGTAGCTGGGACTATAGGCTCATGCCACCACACCTGGCTAATTTTTAAATTTTTTGTAGAGATGGGGTCTGGCCATTTTGTTCGGGCTGATCTTGAACTCTGGTCTCAAGTGATTCTCCCGCCTCAGCCTCCCAAAGTGCCAGGATTATGGGTGTGAGCCACTGTGCCTGGCCAAAGAAGGGTTGTTAAGATTTTCCCAAATGTATTAGTCTTAGGTACAGCGTTCTAGTTAAAAGATAAAAAGAAGTGAATTATGTTTCACTGGTGCTATTAAATGTTCCACTTTGGTGTCTTATATGTCAGACATCCACACGGCAGGGTGGACTTGGGGTAAGTGTGTCTTGCTCTGCCTCACTTGCTGCTTTCAGAGAGATTTCTAGGCCTCACATAGCTATCATGAAGTTGGCTGTAGAAATATTTATAAACGGCAAAAGCCGTAAGAAAGCTCATGCAATTGTAAAGGTCATACTTGGTTTGTGACCTTCAATTGTTTATTCAGAAAGTAATAAAGCACACTGTCATGACAAAATTACTGTCTGGAAACAGGGAAATAATGAGCCCTGGCACCATTTTTCTGTCCCAGGAATTCCTCTGGAAGCTCTTTGTCATGTAATTATGTTCCATCAGAGTCTTCCAGGCTTTTTCTGTGAATGGTAGTTCACTGCGCCTTTGTTGTGAACAATATGGGATTTGGACTACAACCTCTTGTAACTTCTTTTTCTAGTAATATCATGCCTGCTTTCCTGAGTCTTTTTCTTCTTTCCTATTTGAATTCCATCACAGGAGGGTGTGCTGGGGTGGATGCATGTGTGTTTCGAGTCAGATGCATCCCTGTCCTCCAGGTGCTCATGGTCTGATGGGGAGTCAGATGCGGGCACAGTTCCATTGACTATGGCTTTGGAGAAGACGTTTTGGGGCAGGGCAGCTGCAGGGCATGAACGCGGGAGGGCGTAAGGTGCTGTGGGCGAGGAGGAGCAGCCCCCGGCATGTGCCAGGCAGAGGAGGCTTGGTGCCATCCCTAAGAAGGGCCGTCCCTGTTGCTGTGTCCCCCGCAGGTGATCGCCATGATCAAAGGCCTGCAGGTGCTGATGGGCAGGATGGAGAGCGTGTTCAACCACGCCATCCGGCACACCGTCTATGCCGCACTGCAGGACTTCTCCCAGGTGACCCTTAGGGAGCCGCTGCGGCAGGCCATCAAGAAGAAGAAGAACGTCATCCAGAGGTCAGCCTTCCCCACGCCCTGTGCCCGCTGTGCCCACACGTCCTCGGATGAACTTGGATTCAAACAACAGGAGCGTTAAATTCTCAAAAATGATTTCAATATATTTATCTTCAACCTTCAGATGCCCTCTTGGTGAATTACCTCTAAAAGTAATGCATGGGTCCAATTATTAACCCAAACAATGGACAGTAAGTCAGCTGCCGAGTGTCTAGGGAGTCTGAGGACCCCGGGACAAGGTGCATTTATCCCAGGCTCGCGGTGCCTGTGGTTCATGCATGGTGCCTTATGGGGGTCTCTGCACGGTGGAGCCCTGTTGGTGATGAGGCTGTGTTCCAAACCAGTCGAGAGACATGGCCAGGCTCTGGTCATGTGGGTGACTTCACATTCCTGTTGGTTACTGGGGACAGCCAGCTGCGGGCAGGCGGGGCCCAGCTCTGCTCCGTGCGGAGGCTGTGTTCTGCCCTCTCCCTGCCCACAGCATGACTCAGAGCCACCTCACTGCTGCCCTGGGCTAACAGATGCGAACTGGAGCTCAGGGCAGTCTTCTGGGGGTAGTAATACTCTCCAGAAGGCAGACTCCTTTTTAACTTTCCTGTTGAGCTGGTCCATTACCACATCCCTCCATGGCCCCCAGAGGAATTTGTATTTTCATGGGGGCTGTTCTGAGAGCCTTGTAGTTGGGTGAGGAGATGGTGTGATTGTGAGGCTGGAGGTCTCGGCCTCTGGGCCTTGCTGATCACTTGGTGGGGTGTTCAGTGTCCTGCAGGCCATCAGGAAGACCGTGTGTGACTGGGAGACGGGGCATGAGCCCTTCAATGACCCAGCCTTGCGGGGCGAGAAGGACCCCAAGAGCGGCTTCGACATAAAAGTACCACGCCGCGCCGTGGGACCCTCCAGCACTCAGGTTCTCGTCCCTTGAGCCCCGCCTGCACCTCTCCCTGGGGGGACCCACCCTGAGCTGTGAGCGGGTGGGGCTGGTGAGGCCCGGGTTAAATGAGGTCCTCGCTGCCTGCTCAGGCAGAGAAAGTGGCGCCTGTGGTTTCTGCTGCTCCTCTGTTTCCCACCCAAGTGAGTTGGGAGCGTGAGGAGACGTGCCTTGATTGTCAGATGTGTCATGTGCACTAAAAAGGAGTCTGACTCCATTTCAACTCCCATCCCAAAAATGTGGGCACAAGTCCACGTGTCTGTATTCATTCTGTGTTTCTTGATGGGTGTTTGAATGTCTGTATAATTTTTACGTTGGGTCTGCAAATGACTGTAGATGGGGCATGGGAAACTGTGAGGTGCTGCTTGCGTGTGTCATGGTCCTAAGCTGCCCACTGTCCTCTCTCCTGGTGTGTTCAGGCCTCCCCGAGGTGCTTCTCACGACTTTCACACCCGGTTTAATCCACACCGCTGCGTCTGTCCTCCGTCCTGGGGCTGGTCTTCTCCCTCATCTCTGCCGGAGGCTTTTAATCTCTTCTGCCACTCTTCTGGAAAGTCACCAGCAATGCACGCTGCTGGCTCTGCAGGAGGGTCAGGGGGACGGCCCTCGGCCTGTGCGTGGTGCCAGCCACCCTCCCTGCCTCCCTCTGCGTGCGTCCCGTGTCCCTGCCTGGGGTGTGTGTGTCGAGTGACTAACGTCTCTCTCCTGCCTCTCCCTCCTGTCTGTCCGTGTCTAGCTCTACCTGGTGCGCACCATGGCCGAGTCCTTGGGCTCTGCCGAGCTGCTCAGGCAGCTCAAGTCTCTGGGCATGGAGAGGCTCTTGCATGCGGTTAACACGTTTCTGAGGCAGTCGTGCACCTACCTACCCCTTTTAACCTTTGGTGGTAAGACATCATTTGTTTCTCTTGACGTTTATGGCACGGAGGCGAACTGCTCCGCTACAAGTTGTTCTTTCCCCAAAGCAGCAGCAACGTGGCCGCGTAGACAGGCACCCGGACCCCTCGGGGAGCTGGTGCGGGGCCCTCCCGACCAGGGCGTAGCGGAGCAGTCCTTCTCTCATGGGCTTTTTGAGTTTGGCATAACTAATGTACCATGTATATTTTCTCCCCCACAAATGTTTCCTTGGATAATCCAGCTTTACATGGTGAGAACCATGCTAGAGTCCCTCATTGCAGACAAAAGTGGTTCCAAGAAAACCTTGAGAAGTAGCCTTGAGGGGCCCACCATATTGGACATAGAAAAATTTCATCGAGAGTCATTCTTCTACACTCACTTGATAAATTTCAGTGGTAAGAGATACTGCTGAGCAGCATCCGGCCTGGCATGTCCTAACACCACTAACACCGTCTAGAATGCTTCCGCCCGCCTGACCACCCCCTACCCCGTCCCTTGGTGCACCCAGACGGTGACTCGTCCTGCCCTCTGTGGCGGTGGCTGTACGTCCCTGGCCTGAGCTCGCTCCACAGGGCGTGGTCCCTACAAGGGTATAAACTGAGGAGCCCGGGCTGGCCCTGAGACATGAACAGAAAATCTTTTCAACCCATGCGGGGTTGGAAACAGGCGAATGTAATCTGGTGCCTGAGTTGAGACACAGGCATTGATAAATACTAGAAATGGCCCTTGCAGACCATGACGTGGGGGGAAGGTGGCGGGTGCCCTGTGCCAGGCAAGCCCATCCTGGGTGACACCCGGCCACCTTGACCGGCCACCGGTGGGTGCGCTCTCTGCCCTCCGTGTGTCTGTCCCGTGTTCTCATCAAGTCCTCCGTTGTCCACCTCTTGCTCAGAACAGGATCCCTGCTGTCTTGGCTGGGGTGCTGCGAGGTATTGGAGGAAATAGTACCACTTTTGCTGTTAACTCCATGAAAGGATGGAGTTCGAGTGTGGGCTCTTTTAATCTGTCTCATTTTTGCGTTAGACAGACCTCCCTGAGTGTGCCTCTAATGCTGCAGCCTGGACATTGGTTTTTATCCTAAGTGAAAGTGAAGAAGTCCTGTTTTTTTGTTTTGTTTTTTGTTGAGACGAAGTCTTGCTCTGTCACCCAGGCTAGAGTACAGTGGGGCGATCTCAGCTCACTGCAAGCTCCGCCTCCCAGGTTCAAGAGATTCTCCTCCCTCAGCCTCCCAAGTAGCTGGGATTATAGGTGCTCACCACTGCGCCTGGCTAATTTTTGTATTTTTAGTAGAGATGGGGTTTTACCATGTTGGCCAGGCTGGTCTCAAACTCCTGACCTTGTGATCCACCCGCCTCGGCCTCCCAAAGTGCTAGGATTACAGGCGTGAGCCACTGTGCCCAGCCAGAAGTCCTGTTTTTATGTCTCCTTTTGAGAAGAACATTTTTAGGTAAGACACAGTGGCTCATACCTGTTAATCCTAACACTTTGGGAAGCCAAGGCAGGAGAATCACTTGAATTCGGGAGTTTGAGACCAGCCTGGGCAACATGGCGAGACCCCCATCTCTATAAAAAATACAAAATCAGTTGGTGGCACGTGCCTGTGTTCTCAGCTACTTGGGAGGCTGAGGCAGGAGGATCGCTTGAGCCCAGGAGTTGAAGGCTGCAGTAAGCTATGATCGCGCCACTCACCTCCAGCCTGGGTGACAGAGTGAGATAGACTCTGTCTCAAAAAAAAAAAAAAGACACTTTCCCCCTGGATCCCACTGAAGGGCTCACAGGGTTGATGAGGTGGCTTTACCTGCAGCTATGCCCAGCTGGTCCTGTCCCTAGTGCAAGGCCCCGGTGACCCCTCCCCACTCATGTCCATGCTGCATGGCTTGGGGCTGAGCGAGGAGGAGCAGGCACCCAGCACACAGCCCTTGTGTCATCTCTGCTAAAGGTTTTTTTTTGCTTGCGGGAGATAACATGGAGTTGTTTGAACCCTCCCAGAAACGCTGCAGCAGTGCTGTGACCTTTCGCAGCTGTGGTTCCGAGAGTTCTTCCTGGAGCTGACCATGGGCAGGAGGATCCAGTTCCCCATTGAGATGTCGATGCCCTGGATCCTGACGGACCACATCCTGGAGACCAAGGAGGCATCGATGATGGAGTGCGTGTCCTGCGGGCCTGTCTCCAGCCTTTGTGTGTGGTGACCGGGGGTCCTCAGAGGAGGTGGCGGAGAGGCCGGGACTGTTTTTAGTATTGTATTTGAAATCAAGTTTCTGGGCCTGGGCAAAATAGCAAGACCCCAGTCTCTACAAAAATGAGAAAACTTAGCCTGGTGTGGTGGCTGATGCGGGAGGATTGCTTTACCACAGAAATTTGTGGCTGCATTGAGCTATGGATTGCACCACTGCATTCCAGCCTGGCCACGTAGCAAGACCCTGTCTCCAAATAAAAAAAAAAAAAAGAGAAATCATGTTTCCTGGGGTAAAGCTTTAGAGATTAATACAAGTAACTAACCAGTTTCTTGGTGTCAGACTGGAATTGAGAGCTCAGGCACTAGAACCAGTCACGTTCCTACTTTGCATGGGTGCTGGCTGGGACCCGGGGACTCAGCCTGGACCAGGGAGATGGATGAACCTGGACCTTCCCCAGGCCTTCGTAGTGCAGGCCCTGTGAGGTGGCCATGCCCGTGAGCTGCCTTGCGGGAGCCCTGTGGCCTGGCCTTTTGTGTGACACAGCCTCTGACCCAGATGAAGTGGGGAAAGGAAGTATTGATTGAACAGCTTTGTTCTGGGGATCAGGACTGTGGACCTAGATGGAAGGGCAGTCTTTCAAAATATAAAGTTCATGGAAGGGAAAGTGTTTGGAAAAGGGTGTGTCTCATGGTGAGCGACTGGGGAGCCGCCCAGCCGGTCTGTCTTCTGAGCACCGTGAGTGGGAAGCCCCTGAGTTCCTTGTGCGTCAGTCCTCACACATCCCTTGTGGTGCCCAGGAGATGGTAAGGGCAGTCACCTTCCACTCTCTGTGGCTGTGGCATGGCCATGCCATTTGTGTGGGCAGAGCCTCTGATGGCTCGTTGCACAGCATTGGGGTGGCGTGAGGAGCTGGAACCAGCTTGGAGGCCTCCTTCAGGCATGGGCCTCCTTGCCCCTGGCCATGGCCTTTGTCCAGATATGAGGTAGTGGGAGACGGGCCTTCAACCATGGGCCATGCTGGACATGCTCCTGGTGAGCTGTGGGATCCAGGACCTTCACCTTTGTTCTTTTTTTTTTTTTTTTTTTTTTAATGCTGTCTATGTACTTCCGTTGGTGTAATTTTTTCTTTTTTTTCTTTCTTTCTTTTTTTTTTTTTTTTTTTTTTTTTGAGACAGAGCCTTGCTCTGTTACCCAGGCTGGAGTGCAGTGGCACAATCTCAGCTCATTGCAACCTATGCCTCCCGGGTTCAAGCAATTCTCCGGCCTCAGCATCCCAAGTAGCTGGGACTACAGGCACCCACCACCACGCCCGGCTAATTTTTGTATTTTTAGTAGAGATGAGTTTCATCATGTTAGCCAGGCTGGTCTCGAACTCCTGACCTCAAGTGATCCGCCCACCTCGGCCTCCCAAAGTGCTGGGATTACAGGCATGAGTCACCGCGCCCAGTCCACCTTTGTTCTTTTCCAGTCAGTTCATTCTTTTTTTTTTTCCCCCCAACAGAGACAAGGTCTTGCTCTATTGCCCAGGCTGGAGTGCAGTGGTGCAAAGACAGCTCACTGCAGCTTCAACCTCCCAGGCTCAGGTGATCCTCCTGCCTCAGCCTCCTGAGTAGCTGGGACTACAGGCATGCGCCACCACACCTGGCTAATTGTTTTGTGTTTCATGGAGACGGGGTCTTGCTATGTTGTCCAACCTGGTCTCAAACTCCTGGCCTCATGTTATCTTCCTGCCTCATCCACCTAAAGTGCTGGAGTTCATTCTCTATCATTTTTTTTGGACAGGGTCTCACTCTGTCACACAGGCTAGAGTGTAGTGGCACGATCTCAGCTCACTGCAGCCTCAACCTCTCAGGCTCAAGTGATCCTTCTACCTCAGCCTCCCAAGTAGCTGGGACTCAGGCGTGCGCCACCACGCCCAGATAGTTTTTTGTAGTTTTGTTAGAGACAGTATTGCCGTATTGCCCAGGCTGGTCTTGAACTCCTCACCTCAATCAAGTGATCTGCCCACCTCAGCCCCACAAAGTGCTGGGATTACAGGCATGAACCACCAAGCCTGGTCCTTGGAGTTCATTCTGGAAATAAGAAAATAATTTTCTTTTGTTAAAAATCCTATGTACTTGTAGTGAAATATTTTAAAGTCTGCTAAGTGAGAAGATGCAGGCAGGTGGAGGCCCTTGTCCGTGTGTGGCCTTCAGTGAGCGTCTGCTGTCCCCAAGCATCCTCGCAGCCTGGTGGGTGTGGCGGCCGCCTCAGGCGCAGCCACCACGTGCTTTCACAGGAGGACTGGTGTTTGAAGTGAAAGTTGTTTTTCCTTACGTGAGAGGTGGAAAATGGAGTTGAGTTTCTGAGGTGGGGCGAGGCTGTCGGAGCTGCGAGTGAGTGGCAGAGGCTGCTGGTCACACTGCTGCTGTCCTCTGCAGGTACGTGCTCTACTCCCTGGACCTGTACAATGACAGCGCCCACTACGCGCTCACCAGGTTCAACAAGCAGTTCCTGTACGACGAAATTGAGGCCGAGGTGAGGCCCCTGCAGCTCCATTTCTGTTCATTTCCTTCAATTAAATCTCCTTTCTCTTTTTGTTTTCTCCCAAGTATTCAACTTTCTTTAAAATATAAGACAGTATAAACCACGAAGCAAGCATGTGGGAGCAAGCCCTTCCTCTGTGGATATGCTTCCACGATGAGTGCAGGATGCGCTTTTTCACTTGACCGTGTGTCACTGCGGTGTCTGTGTCCTCATCTATTTTTGGTTATGAGCATGATCTTTGATGTTCAACTGAAGCAACTCCTGTTTTATTTCTCTATTTTTTTGGTTTTGGATTTTATAAATAGCACTCTGCTGCACTCCCTGGCATGTTTTTTATTTGCATCGCATGACTTCTATAGGACAAATTCCCACAGGTGGAATTCTCAGGTTAGTGTATGCACATTTAAGGAGATGAACCTTATTCTACACATCATCTCCTCTGCCTTCTCACAAAGACCACCTGAAAATGGTGCTTCAGGGAGATGTCACAGGTCCCCGGCCCTGCAGGATGGGAGGAGGGCAGAGACGCCCTTCTTGGCCCTGTCTGCTGGGCAGATGGGTCCTGGGTCCCACTTGCCACGAAGCACAGGTATTCTCCTCACAGTTCCAGGAGATAGTGCGAATCCCATCTGCAAGTAAGGGTCTTTTGAGGGTACCTCCTGACCAATCTCACACCCAGAACAGCCGCTTTGCTCCAGGGAAGGCCCTCGGTGGTGCCTCCTGGAGTGCACAGTAGGCGGAGCTGCCCCAGGGCAGGAACCCACCTGCAATGCACAGTAGCTCCTCGTGGTCACTGCACACAGTGAAGAGAGCCTTGTTGATTCTCTCTTGCATTTCAGAGAATAGGAATATTTTTCTCCCTCAGTAAGATTGGTTCTAGCCTAGTTTTCTGTGGCAGTGTGGTAGTCACTCCTGGCCACACTGCAGTTTATTTAGTGTGCTGTTGTTGGACAGTAAGATTATTGCTAGTTTCTTTAGTTTATTTTTCTTTTTTGAGGTGGAGTCTTGCTCTGTCGCCGAGGCTGGAGTGCAGTGGTGTGAGTTCAAGCGATTCTTGTGCTTAGCCTCCCGAGTAGCCAGGACCACGGGCACGTGCCACCACACCAGGCTAATGGTGGTGGGCACCTATAATCCCAGCTACTCAGGAGGCTGAGGCAGGAGAATCACTTGAGGCAGAGATTGCAGTGAGCCAAGATCGCACTACTGCGCTCCAGCCTGGGCAACAGAGCAAGACTCCGTCTCAAAAAAATAAAAGAGCCTCAGTTAGTTGCCTTAACGAAACATTTTGTTTTTCACCTTGTTATTTGATCTTGCTTTAGGGAATCAAACTGTAACGTGTGCTTTCTTTTTCTTCAGGTGAATCTATGTTTTGACCAATTTGTTTACAAGCTAGCAGACCAGATATTTGCCTATTATAAGGTTATGGCAGGAAGGTGAGTATCTGGTGTGTGATTTTGATACAAAACGTTTCATAATTTGATCTGACATTCCCATTACAATTTATGGCGTATGAAAAACTTTCTGTCTTCCTTCTACACTAGTTTGCTTCTTGATAAACGGTTACGATCAGAATGCAAGAATCAGGGAGCCACGATCCACCTCCCGCCGTCTAACCGCTACGAGACGCTGCTGAAGCAGAGGCATGTGCAGGTGAGCTGGGGCCGGGCTGTGGTGGGGACGTAGAGTGTGCATTGAAAAGACTGGGTTTTCGGCTGGGTGCGGTGGCTCACGCCTGTAATCCCAACACTGGGAGGCCAAGGTGGGCGGATCACCTGAGGTTAGGAGTTCAAGACCAGCCTGGCCAACATAGCAAAACCCCATCTCTACTAAAAATACAAAAATTAGCTGGGCGTGCTGGTGGGTTCCTGTAGTCCCAGCCGCTCTGGGATGCTGAGGCAAGAGAATCGCCTGAACCTGGGAAGTGGAGCTTGCAGTGAGCTGAGATTGCACCACTGCACTCCAGCCTGGGTGACAGAGTGAGCAAGACTCCGTCTCAAAAAAAAGAAAAAAAAAATGATTGAGATTTCTTATAGCTAGCTAGGTTTAGATATCAGCATGCCTTGTGACTGTGAACGTCCTTATAAATTGTTAGGCATTGAAAGACACACCGTTTCTATTGGGTCACCTCACACACAGGGAACACCTGCAGCATTCTGTATCTGCCCTGCGGCTCCTGGGGGCAGGCATAGCCCGGAGGGGTCAGCCCTTCTCCAGGAGCCCAAAAGCCAGAGCTTAAAAAGAATGAAGGTGAGAAGCACTCATCAGCTCAGAGTATCAGAGAAAACTTTCTCCTGGCCAGCAGGAAGAATTTAAAGATATACAGTGCTTATTTTTTACAGCTTTTAAAAAAAGATTCACATTGCATGCCTGTATTAAAACATCTCATGTACCCCATAAATATGTACACTTACTGCGTACCCACAAACATTAAAAAAAGAAAAAAAATTAAAAATTAAAAGTGATGTTACATTACACACACAAAACTAGTTAGTAAAATATGGAAAACTAAAAAAAATTGCATTTAATTCTACTCTCTATACACGAATAATCATCATGCACATTTTTGGACATTTTCACCAGGGCTTTGTCATATTTTTATGTAGTTAGAACAACACTGAAGTATGGATATGTTCCTAGTAGGCCAAAATAGAGATGGAGTAATTTTATTTATCGTCATAACACCTGTAAAAAGACACACACAGGCTGCCATGTATGTGGGGAGATGGGTCTTGAACGTGGTTGTAAAGGGTGTCGTTATTGACAGACCAGCTTCTCCAGGGTCTCTGGTGAGGCGTTTGTTGTTTTCGAGCTGCTCATGTCCACTCTTTACCTGCCATCCTTCCCTGTGTACGCCAGCTCCTCGGCAGATCAATAGACCTCAATCGTCTGATCACCCAGCGCGTCTCAGCAGCCATGTATAAGTCCCTAGAACTGGCGATTGGACGATTTGAAAGTGAAGATTTGACCTCCATAGTTGTAAGTAATTTCACTTTGCCCTATTGATAAATTGGACTAAGGGTAGGTCCAGTTCTTGTATAGATGATAAAAGAGATGCACTCATCGGGCGTGGCCTATACCAAGCCTCTTGTATAGATAATAAAAGAGATGCACTCACTGGGCGTGGCCTATACCAAGCCTCTTGTATAGATAATAAAAGAGATGCACTCATCGGGCGTGGCCTATACCAAGCCTACACTCAGTGTTCACAATGCTAAATTGACTTAACAAACACATAACCCCAATCTTGAAAAAATCGCCAACTATGGCAAAAGGTAGCACACCACTTAATAACGTGTTTACATTTTAGTATGAACGAGCTAGGAGATAAAAATGTTTAACTTTGGCTGGCACGGTGGCTCATGCCTGTAATCCCAGCACTTTGGGAGGCCTGCGGGGGTGGATCATTTGAGGTCAGGAGTTTGAGACCAGCCTGGCCAACATAGTGAAACCCCATCTCCACTAAAACTACAAAAATTAGGCGGGCGTGGTGGCAGGCACCTGTAGTCCGAGCTACTCCGGAAGCTGAGGCAGGAGAATCGCTTGAATCCAGGAGGCAGGGTTGCAGTGAGCCCAGATCGCGCCACTGCACTCCAGCCTGGGCGACAGAGCAAGACTCTGTCTCAAAAAAAAAAAAAAAAAAAAAAAAAAAAAGAAATATCTTCTTTAGGGACCAAGAGAGCCCACAAGGGTCTTCCTGCTAATTCTTCTACCCCTACATTTCGCTTGGCTGTCTGAATTCATCTCATCTCCAGGTAAGGTCTAATCCTTCTCCTGTTATCTGGACCTTCAGGTTTCCCAGTGAGGATGTGTGTTCGGGGCCAACGTTCCCCGCTCACCCTCTTTGGGCGCTCACCCATTTTTCGGCTGTCTCACGGAGCCTACAGAGGCAAGCCGCTTCCTTCAGAGGGTCTTTGGATTCTCTGCTTTCCTGGTATGTTCCTGTGGTATTTCTTGAAGCAAAAATTTGCAGTGTGAGTCTTCACACACTGCTGTGTTCGTCTGAATGGGAGCTGCCAGTTAGTCCTACCTTCTGTCTGCCATTTTTCCCTGTGTCTCTATCACAATTTGAACACAGGAAGAGGCAAGACTAAGGAACAGGAAAACAGAGGTTAAAAACATCTGAACTGGGGAACAGAGAAAAATAAAAATGAATGAGACAGAAAAGAGCATAAGAAATGTAGAAAACAGTGGAAAGACCTAACGTGTAACTGGAGTGTTAGAGGAGATGAGAGAGAGAGTGGTGTCACGGAAGACTTGTCTGAAGAGAAGATGGCAGAAAGACCTTAACGTGGACAGAAGACACCGGCCTGCCACTCAGGTGTGCCACCCAACTACACATGCTGGAGCCAGGGCCGGAGCCACAGGGGGACCTCAGTGAGCGGGCCCCCGAACCACAGCTCTGTGGATCACCTGACCACCCCCCAACTCTGACCCTCGGCCTGTGGTGCCTTTGAATCTTTAGGATTTAATCAGAGCTAGTAGGCAGTAAGCCTGAATGGGCTGGTTGTCTTCCCTTCTCCAGTGCGTGGTCATTGGTGCATGGCCACACGTCCGTTTCCACTGTGGGAGCAGGGGGAGGGTTTACAGTGTGCATTTTCTAACAAAATGCACAAGGTCCTTTCTCCCCTTCACCCAAGGAGCTCTGGGTCTGAGAACTGGTTGAGGAGCCATGAATTTCTTTTATGATGATTCAAGTTAGGCTGGTATTGGTCGGCCTAGGGCTTTTCCCTTTATCCAGATCAATGAGACTTCCGAAGGCCGATCGTTTGTGCCAGCCCTGGGGATACCACAGTCCTTTAGTCAACACTGGCACCCCTGTGCCAACGCTGGCACCCCTGTGAGTCAGGCAATTTGAGTACACATGAGTTGTGCTGCCCGCCACCTGGCACCATTGGAGTCAAGGAGCCCAGGCTGGTGGCCTACAGAGAATAATTTAGACAGAGCTCTTCAAAGATGCCTGAGATGAGAACAGGTTTCAGGGAGCTAAAACAGTAGGCCCTGCTGACTCTGGAATTGAATAAATCAAAATTCCCTCCTAAGACAAAGCTGCCCATGGGAGAAGCTGCTGGGAATAGCATGTAAGCTGGTAAGGGTTAGGATCATGGCGGAGGGGAGCATGAGAGGCAGGTCTCAGAAGGCTTGAGCCAGTGCTGTTACTCTTGGCCCTGACCAACCCCTCTTCCTCTTCAGAAGCATGAGAGAGCTTATTTCACTTCCAGTCGAGCCACAGGTAAAGATCATGGTCCAATCCCCTTTAGACGTATTACACTAAAAAAGAAAATGTAAGTGCACAGCAGTGTCCCTACAGACAGTGGAGGCACGTCAGACAGACACCCACGGACCATGGAAACTGTAACTTCATCTTTCACAGTGAGCTAAAAGAAATGAAGAAAGTAGTAGTTGCTGGCCGGGCGCTGTGGCTCACGGCTGTAATCCCAGCACTTTGGGAGGACGAGGCGGGCGGATCACGAGGTCAGGAGATCGAGACCATCCTGGCTAACATGGTGAAACCCCGTCTCTACTAAAAATACAAAAAATTAGCCAGGCTTGATGGCGGACGCCTGTAGTCCCAGCTACTCAGGAGGCTGAGGCAGGAGAATGGCGTGAACCCGGGAGGCGGAGGTTGCAGTGAGCCGAGATTGTGCCACTGCACTCCAGCCTGGGCAACAGAGCGAGACTCCGTCTCAAAAAAAAAAAAAAAAAAAATAGTAGTTGCTGTGAAAGAATAATATAAATGAGAATTTTTAGAAATCCAGAAATAGGCTGGGCACGGTGGCTCACACCTGTAATCCCAGCACTTTTGGAGGCTGAGGTGGGTGGATTGCCTGAGGTCAGGAGTTCAAGACCAGGCTGGCCAACGTGGTGAAACCCCATCTCTACTAAAAATACAAAAAATTAGCCGGGCGTGGTGGCACATGCCTGTAATCTCAGCTACTTGGGAGGCTGGGGCAGGAGAATTGCTTGAACCCAGGAGGCAGAGGTTGCAGTGAGCCAAGATTGTACCATTGCACTCCAGCCTAGGCAACAGAGCAAGACTCTGTCTCAAAGAAAAAAAAAAATAAATCGAGAAATAAGGTTATTGGAAAAAAGAAAGTTTTGAAAAGAGAAAAGGCCGGGCACAGTGGCTCATGCCTGTAATCCCAGCACTTTGGGAGACTGAGGCAGGCAGATCACGAGGTCAGGAGATCAAGACCATCCTGGCTAACATGGTGAAACCCCGTCTCTACTAAAAATAAAAAAATTAGCCGGGTGTGGTGGCGGGCACCTGTAGTCCCAGCTTACTCGGGAGGCTGAGGCAGGAGAATGGCAGGAACCCGGGAGACAGAGGTTGCAGTGAGCCGAGATCGTTCCACTGTACTACAGCCTGGGTGACAGAGCGAGACTCCGTCTCAAAACAAAAACAAAAAAAAAAACAGAAATAAGAATGAAGGCTGGGCACTCGGTGGCTCGCTCCTATAATTCCAGCACTTTGGGAGGCCAAGGTGGATGGATCACGAGGTCAGGAGATCGAGACCATCCTGGCCACCATGGTAAACCCCGTCTCTACTAAAAAATACAATAAATTAACCAGGCATGGTGGCACACGCTTGTAGTCCCAGCTACTCGGGATGCTGAGGCAGGGGAATCGCTTGAACCCAGGAGTTTTTGAGGCTCTGTCTCAAAAAAAAAAAAAAGGAATGAAAAGAGGGAACATTTTTAAAATCAAAAAGAAATTAAAGCAGAAAAAGGATTTGAGAGGAAATGATGTTCTCAGATGATCATCATCATGGATGATGAAGATTCAGTGTACCTGTCATACAGCTTCCTCAAGAAGAAAACCAAAGCAACGGAACAGGGCCGACTGGCATCTATTTCAAGAAAATATTGATAAAATAGAAGACACCTTGAAAGTGTCTATTAAAAGCATACATCATGTATTTGGTAAAACCGACCCAAGCTTGTCAACACTTAGAAATACTGCATCTTAGGCTGGTTGAAGATTAGAAAAAATAATAATAATACATTTAAAAACGGTATTGCAGTGAAAGTTTTGGACTTTCCAGGTGAGGAAGAAGTCCTTGGGCTGTCTGAGCAGGGCAGGCAGGGAAGGAAAATCCGATTGTCCTCAGACCTTCACCAGAGCCAAGGAAAGGAACTGTGAATCGAGGGTTTGGTCGCCAGCCAAATTGATCTTCTGAGAATAAAGGCTGCAGACAGATGGTAATGAACGTGCCAGGGCTCCAGAGGATTGTTCATTCCTGGAGAACAGACCTTGGCTGGCAGACACTGGGCGCTGGCGGGCACAGTGCGTGTCCCTGTGAGCATCTCTGCACTTCAGAGCAGGGCCCTGCGTATTCATCCTTAGAGTCAAACAGGCTGGGACTCAGAGACAGACCTGTGGCGGCCTTTTTCTACGAGCGTAATTTGGTACAGGCCATGGTGTTTCTGTTGGCATTGGCCAAATATGATTTTGAGTAAAATCATTGGTCGAGGCTTTGATCGAGGCCATTACTGTCCAATAGAAATAGAACACAAGTCAGATCCGTAATTTGAAATTTTCCCATAGTCTCATTAGAAAAGGAAATAGGTGAAGTTATTTTTAATAACATACTTAATCCACTGTATCCCCATATTAATTCACCACGTCATTCCTATGGCAGTATAGTTGAGGTGGGTATTTGCTAGTCTGTTTTGTCCTACTCAGTCTTTGAAATCTGGTGTCTCATGTAGTGCGCCTCAGGTGGGAGCAGCTGTGCTCCGGCCCCGGCTGCCACATCGGACAGTGCAGCCTGGGCGAGCTCCAGAGCAGCGCACGTGAGGGCTTGCAAGGCCTGTGGGAACAAGTGCACCTGCCCTGCCACCCACACGTGCCTTTCAGTGACTTCAGGCACCTCAGAGAAAGCTGGCTCGGCTCCAACGCCCAGGGAGATGCAGCCGCCGGCTGGGTTATACTGCAGGGCAGGGCCGGGGCTCAGCGGGCACATGGGGGGAAGGGTGGCAGTAGCAGGCCACACGTGCACGCTGCCCCACAGGGTGCTGGACAGCAGGGGTAGGTGGCGTGGAGGTGACTGCAGTGGAGAAAGGCATGACCCAGTGGGGGTGACTGAAAAGGTGGGGTGCCAAGAAGCAAGCTCATGTCACCTGTCAGAGCCTACGCTCACTGGGGGCTGCCTCCGTGCAGCCCTGCCAGGGACTGTGAGGCCTGGGTGGGATCAGAGGCCACTCGGCGCCTCCTTCCTGCCTGGACCAGCTCTGTCACCCACCCCTGTCTTTGGTGCCACAGGAGCTGGATGGCCTGTTGGAAATCAACCGCATGACCCACAAGCTGCTGAGCCGGTACCTGACGCTGGACAGCTTCGACGCCATGTTCCGGGAGGCCAACCACAACGTGTCAGCGCCCTACGGGAGGATCACCCTGCACGTCTTCTGGGAGCTCAACTATGACTTCCTGCCCAACTACTGCTACAACGGCTCTACCAACCGGTGAGCGTGCCCGCCACACAGGCGCCCACAGGCGAGGCGCTCAGGGACCCATGTCCCCGCAGGCTTCCTCCATGTCACCAGGTCCCTGTCTCCCTGCTCTTGCTGCTCCCCATCACTTCTCACATGAAGAGCACGCAGGCCCTCCAGTGTCTTCTGTGTGCACAGGCAGCCTCGGGTCTACCCTCGGGTGGATGGTCATGGCTTTGCACGTGGGGCTTGCGTGGGGCTGCATCTCCTGGCTTTCTGTTTGCCTGATGGTGGAAGTGGGGTGAGTCTGCTTCTTATGCTTCCGTGCTGGCATGTTGGAGTGTGGGGAAGCCACCCTCCCACCCACCGCCCATGGACAGCATGAAGTGATGTGATTGGTGGTGAAACGGTGGATGCTGGCAGTATCCTGAGGTTCAGCCTCATAGTAGGGCCTGAGTCCTGGGACAGCCCTGCCCTGGGCTCCGCACACCGGGTGGCGGTCATTCTGGCTGAGGTTCCTTCTCTGCTCACTGAGCTCAGCATCTATACAGTGTCAGCGCGTGCCAGGGACATGTCTGTGTCACCCACCATGCCTTCCCATAGACACCAACAGCCTGGGGGGATGACCAGGGCACCAAGCAAGGTGCCTGGCCACTGAGCTCCATCCAGACGTAGAGGAGTGCAGGTGTGTGCACATGCGAGTGTTAGGAGCACTTTTACAAATAAGTGCTTGTGCTTGCCTCTGATCTCCGCGTCCCACCCACATGTGGCTGAATTC